>NT_167248.2:2342034-2675318 GCF_000001405.40 Homo sapiens
TGAGATAACCAAGATGCAAAATCCTAAAATCCTCCATTAAGCACCTACTAGCTGCAGAGGCCCTGCTGGGGCCCTGAGGGAGATGTGTGTGGCAGACTGCAGGCCAAGTAAGTCCTTCTTTAAGGCTGGTGTCATGAGAATTACTCAATGCCGCCTCCTGCTGGGGAAGGACACTTCACCCCTTTTATGGAAGCCCAACGGGAAGGACTCATGGGACAGGGCAGGCTGCCCTGTCTCTTTTTTAGGCAGTCACTGCAATCACACATGCTCACTAATCCAGTTCACTAAGGTAGGAAGCCACAATAAAGTTTGGAGCCAAAATTGTAGATATAAAGAGAGTTCCTTTATCTGGAATGGCCTCGATTTTTGAATAAGGAGTTTTTTGTTGTTGTTTTGTTTTGTTTTGTTTTGTTTTTGAGACAGAGTTTCACTCTTTTGCCCAGGCCGGAGTGAAGTGGCAAGATCTCTGCTCACTGCAGCCTCCGCCTCCCGGGTTCAAGCAATTCTCCTGCCTCAGCCTCCTGAGTAGCTGGGATTACAGGCGCCTGCCACCACGCCTGGCTAATTTTTGTACTTTTAGTAGAGATGGGGTTTTGCCATGATGGCTAGGCTGGTCTCGAACTCCTGCCCTCACGTGATCCACCGGCCTCGGCCTCCCAAAATGCTGGGATTACAGATGTGAGCCACCAAGCCCATCCATAAGGTTATATTTTTTAATGTCCTGCCTCCTCCTCTTTTTTTTTTCTTCTCTTTTTGTTTTCAAATAACTAAAGATGCACAGAAAGTTGCAAAATTAGTACCGAGATGTCCTGTGCACTCTTCACGCAGCTTCCCCAGTGGTAAGCTCTTACATACTACAGTACATTATCAGAACAAGCAGTTGATGCATATTTTCTCAATGCATTGCAGTAGGTGGATTTGGTACTTGAGACCCTCAACAATCTCTTTCCGCATATCATGACTAACAGTATAGGCTCATGGTTTTTAAAGGACTGCCCTTTGAAGGAACTGGATGGAATTTTGTTTGCAAAGAGCTGAGAATCACTGGAGAGGCAATAAATGGAAATGTTCCTGTAGATTGTCACTATAGAGAGCAGGGCTGATGGATGTCAAAGGATATCCAGGGATATAAGCCCTCAGCAGGGAGGAGAGCAAAAAGGCCAGTGTGGTTGGTTATTGGAGAAGTTATTTGGATAGTTTTTAATTAGAGACATCTCTTGCATGAATGGATTTCCTAATGAAATCAAATTTTGATTGTGGAAAGCATAATTAACATGTAGGAAACATCAGTATATTCTAGGACCTGAGAGTAAAGGATGAAGTCCCTTTTAGAGAGATACACTGTTCTCTTTTAGGAAGATGGGCATAGAAGTGCAGGAAGTCAACTAGACGTGTTAAAATATAAATTTTTGGCTGCTTGTAACAGAGACACAAATGCCACTGGTTTAAATTCGGTAGAAAATGTTTTCCCACCCTTGGATCCAAGCACATGAGGACCCTGCCCGGGCTCCATGATCTAGAGGGACCTGCTCTATCATTCCCCCAACTTATAGGACAAAAAGTCCGAGAAGCCAAAGGGATAGACCTACCCATGGAGGTTGCATCTCTTCTACAAGTACTACAGTCTAGGTACTTGGAACCCCTGAATTCCTGGCACTAATGGCCCCCAAGCCTGCTTCCAAGTTTGCATGGGCCTCCTCCTGGGGCCATCCTCCCGGGGGTTATGCCTCGCTGCTGTCGTGCATGCTCTGAGACCCCAAAATGTGGCTGTTTTCAGAGAAGGATATGGGTCTGGAGATTTTAGGGACTTGAATTTTCAGGAAAAGAAAGTAGGGCAGATGCAGGTAGAGGACCCAGAGCTAGTTTTCCTCACTCAGCCATATTCTGCCATGGAACCTAGGGGAGTCTCAGAATTCTAAATTCCAGCCTGGCTGTCTTAGCCTGGATTCCCCAGAAAACAGATTCTCAGATAGATTTATCTGCAGAAGTTTTATTGGGGAACAATCTTGGGACAAACACCTTTAAAAGCTGAGAGAAACGGGACAGGGAAAGGGAGCAGTTGGACTGTAATGAAGCCGTAAAGAGTACTGAGCTGATCTCATGGGTTGTGGAGGCCTCTGGCACTGGAAAAGTCCTTTAAATTTGGCCAAACTCGGCCGGGCGCGGTGACTCACGCCTGTAATCCCAGCACTTTGGGAGGCCGAGTGGGGGAGGATTATCTGAGGTCAGCAGTTCAAGACCAGCCTAGTTAACATGGTGAAACCCCGTTTCTACTAAAAATACAAAAAATTAGCCGGGCATGGTGGCATGCGCCTGTAATCCCAGCTACTCAGGAGGCTGAGGCTGGAGAATCACTTGAACCCAGGAGGCGGAGGTTGCAGTGAGCAGAGATTGTGCCATTGCACTCCAGCTCGGGCAACAAGAGCGAAAGTCCATCTCAAACAAACAAACAAACAAACAAACAAAAAGGTGGCCAAACTTGAAGCAAGGTAACCAGGACTTTGTATGTTCTTATCTTATCTATCAGTCATTGGATGTGGCTGCCCCCAGGGAGGGGAGGTGTAACCTTGGGCAAGGCAGCTCTTTTCAGCTAAGGGCAATTCCCAGAGACAGAGCTGTCACAACCAACACCCCTGGCAGCTGGGGAATAAGTGACAATGTTGAAGGTAGGATTTGGGTGGCACACAACAGTATCTGCTACACTAGCCTTCAAGATCAGTATGAAGGTATATTTATCAAGACAAAAGCTGGAACATGTTTTATTCAATAATTTATTTGTTTGACTTATAACAATAAACCATCTCTAACACACATTTCCCTTCCTGATATCAGACAGCTGCTCTGAGGGATACCCGAGACCCACATTCAGGAAGTAAGATAGACATCAGCCTGGACTGCTGAATAGATGCCCTGTGATTTATCTTCAGACATGACTCAGTGGAAATGCAGTTGACTCCATTCTAAAACCTCTCTTGAGAATATTTCCAGGCCCAGTCAACTTATCTTGGTCTCACTATAAGGAAAGGAACTGAGATCAGCTGCACCCTGAGAGGCTAAGATCCTGATAGGGAGCAGGTGAAATCAGGTTGGAAAATAGACAAGACAAAGGCAGGCAGATGTAAGAGGTATTCAAAAGCCCAGTTGTGCTCTATTTTTGCCTTCCACGAGGAATCTTACGGGGAGCTTCCACATTACCCGGTTATTGGTCACGGCGGTGAGTTAAGGCTGTTTTATTGAATGAAATCATCAACCCCCCTCCTTTTCCTGCTAAAACGCAATCTGTTTCCAAGACTTTCCTAATGTAGAGTGATTTTATTGAGCCTAGACCATGGATTTCCCATCTGATAACTCTTTAAGAGGGATGAGATAGAACATAATGTGAGAAAATAACATTGTTCCAAGATTTGTAAATGCTAATAATTGTTGAAGTCCCATGGTAGGTAAATAGAGGTATTTTCTTTATTTTTGTGTAAGTTTGAAAATTTCCATAATAAAAAGTGTTATAAATTGTCTTAGCAGGTCACATAACTAATAATAAAGGTAAAATTTTTGTTGGTCTTAATGAGAGAGAATTTGGAAAGTGGAGATAAGCGGGGCTTTGGAGCTCCTAAACTATTCAGGCTGTGTTTTGACTCAGCGAGCTCAAAGTGGGAGGGCAGGAGAGCTCGCTTTTTAAAAGATCGACAGCGCCATCTACCGGTAAGAGCGCCCAACTCCCTTGCTAAGGATGATATTATGCTAGGGTGATAGTAGCAAGCCTCATTGTTAGTCACCTAAGAAGTTAAGACAATAAGAAATCATTCAAAAAATAAAATGATGGCAGGGCGAGGTGGCTCACGCCTGTAATCCCAGCATTTTGGGAGGCCGAGAGGGGAGGATCGCTTGAGCCCAGGAGTTTGAGACCAGCCTGGGCAACATAGTGAGGTCCAAATCGCTACCAAAAAAAAAAAAAAAAGAGAGAGAGAAAAAAAGGCGTTAAAATTAATTTAAAGATACACAATAATGAAAATATTACAAAGTACTATTATTCAGCCATAAAAAAGAAATTACATTCTATTTATTTATTTTATTTTATTTTATTTTGCAGACAGAGTCTTGCTCTGTCACCCAGGCTGGAGCGCAGTGGCGCAATCTTGGCTCACTGCAACGTCCGCCTCCCCGGTTCAAGGGTTTCTCCTGTCTCAGCCTCCTGAGTAGCTGGGATTACAGGCACGCGCCATCACGCCCAGCTAATTTTTGTATTTTTTTTAGTAGAGACGGGGTTTCACCATGCTGGCCAGGCGGGTCTCCAACTCCTGACCTCAGGTGATCTGCCCGCCTCGGCCTCCCAAAGTGCTGGGATTACAGGCATGAGCCACCGCGCCCAGCAGAAATTACATTCTGATACATGCTACAACATGGATGAACATTGAAAAAATTATGTAAAATGAAATAAGCCAGACACAAAAGGACAAATATTGTATGATTTCACTTACGTTAGATATTTAAAATGGGGAAATCTGGTTTGCCAGCACAGCAGGAAAAAAAATAAAGTAAAATACGAAAATCATAGAGGTGAAAAGTCAATTTGGCCAGGTGCCGTGGCTCATGCCTGTAATCCCAGCACTCTGAGAGGCTGAGGCAGGAGAACTGTTTGAGGCCAAGAGTTCGAGACCAACCTGGGCAACATGGTGAGACACCCACCCCCACCACCTCTAAAAAAAAAAAAAAGAAAAGAAAATAAGTCGATTAGAGGTTACCAGGGGCTGGGCGGAAAGGAGAATGGGGAGTTATTGCTTAATGGGTAATGAGTTTCTGTTTGGAGTAATGAAAAAAAATTGGAAACAGATAGTGGTTGACAGCTGCACAACAACGTCAAATGTAATTAATGCCAATGAATTATACATTTAAAATGGTTAGGCTGGGTGCAGTGGCTCAGGCCTGTAATCCCAGCACTTTGGGAGGCCGAGGTGGGAGGATCACCTGAGGTCAGGAGTTCAAGACCAGCCTGGCCAACATGGTGAAACCCCATCTGTACTAAAAATACAAAAATTAGCCAGGCATAGTGGCAGGCACCTGTAATCCCAGCTACTCAGGAGTCTGAGGCAGGAGAATTGCTTGAACCTAGGAGGTGGAGGTTGCAGTGAGCCGAGATCATGCCACTGCACTCAAGCGTGGGCAACAGAACGAGACTCCGTCTTGAGAAAATAAAATAAAATAAAATAAAATGGTTAAATGGGAAATCTTACCTTATATACATTTTCATATATATAACATACACACACACACACACACACACACATATATATATACACACACCACACACACATACAAGTATGAGCCACCACACCTGGCTAAATTGACTTTTCACCTCTATGATTTTCCTATTTTATTTTTATTTATTTTTTTCCCCGCTGTGCTGACAAACCAGATTTCCCCATTTTAAATATCTGATGTAAGTGAAATCATGCAATATTTGTCCTTTTGTTTCTGGCTCATTTCATTTTGCATAATTTTTTTTCAATATTCATCCATGTTGTAGCATGTATCAGAATGTAATTCCTCGTTTATAGCTGAATTATATATATGTTTATTTTTACCACAGTAAAAGAAATTTTAGGCCAGGCATGGTGGCTCATGCCTATAATCCCAGCACTTTGGGAGGCCAAGGCAGGTGGATCACTTGAGCTCAGGAGTTTGAGACCAACCTGGGCAACATGGCGAAACCCTGTCTGTACTAAAAATACAAAAATTAGCCGGGCGTGTTGGTGCACGTATCCATTTCAGCTACTTGGGAGGCTGAGGTGGGAGGATCGTTTGAGCCAGCGAAGTCCAGGCTGCAGTGAGCTGTGATTGTGCCACTGCACTCCAGCCTGGGTGATAGAGCCAGACCTTGTCTCATAATAATAATAATAATGATTAATTAATTTAATTAATTATTTTTTTTAATTTTTTATTTTTTGAGGCGCAGTTTCAGTCTTGTTGCCCAGGCTGGAGTACAATGGCATGATCTCGGCTCACCACAACCTCCACCTCCCAGGTTCAAGTGGTTGTCCTGCCTCAGCCTCCCTAGTAGCTGGTATTACAGGCATGTGTCACCACACCCGGCTAATTTTTGTATTTTTAGTAGAGACAGGGTTTCTCCAGGTTGGTCAGGCTGGTCTCGAACTCCCGACCTCTGGTGATCTGCCCACCTCGGCCTCCCAAAGTGCTGGGATTACAGGTGTGAGCCACTGCACCTGGCTAAAAAAAGAAATTTGTAATGAAATTGACTTCAAAATAATTTAAAAGTTAAGAAAAAAACCACATTACACAAATATGATATAAACTTAAAAGAATGACATAAAAAAAAACACACAAGAGCAAAAAAGGACGCAATGAAATATGGAAACTAGTGAATGGAAACAGTGAAATGACAAAATAACTAAATAAACTAGTAGCAAGATACCTGAAAGGAAAAGTTGACTGCCAATCAAAATACGTTGCTGGGTGACCAAGAAATCAAAGTTAAGAGAGGTAGATATTTTAGGAGTATTTCATCCAGGTCATAGTAAAACCCAGTCCAGGAATAAAACATTGTATGTATCTATACCAGCCTTGTTTTAAACAAAATCTAAAATAGCTTAAACACAATACAACAGAATTAAAAATTACAACTAAGGCTGAGCCTGGTGGTGCCTGCCTGTAACCCCACCTACTCTGGAGGCTGAGGCAGGAGGATTGCTTGAGGCCAGGAGTTTGAGACTGCCCAGCCTGGACAACATAGCCAGATCTCATCTCTAAAAAAGCAATAAAATGAATTAGCCAGGCTGTTGGGGCACATGCCTGTAGTCCTAGCTACTTCCTCAGAAGGCTGAGGCTGGAGGATCACTTGAGCCCAGGAGTTTGAAGCTGCAGTGAGCTATGAGTGAGACCCCAAAATCTCTAAGAAAAAGAAAGAAAAATACGAAGGCAAGTAAAGAGTTAGAAAAATCAGATAAAACCAGTAAGATTAGTATAAACATCATGCTGTGCTGGGGGTGGGGGTCGCAGGTTTGGAACTGAGCTCTCTAGAAGCCAATTCAAAGAGGGAAACACAATCATCACATGGCTTCCAGTGTCCAAAGTCTCAGAAGTAGTGAGACAGCCAGGTGGGAGGGGTTCCCTGGAGAAATGCCAACCAGCCTGCCCACTGAGGTGGAGCCTCAGGAAGTTTGTGCCCTTTGCAGCGGGGAGCAGCCTGGCCCCTCTTCTTAGTGTGTGGATCCTGGGATTTGAATGGCGGGTGGGAAGCGCTCTAGTAGGGACTCTGGCCTAGCGACAGTCCCTGTTTCTCCGTTTTCTTCCTTTTCATCCAATAAAACCCGTCTCATTCACCATTCAGATTGTCTGTGAGCCTGAATTTTCGTGGCTGTGGGACAAAGAACCCGTCTTTAGCTGAACTAAGGAAAAGTCCCGCAATAGTAGCACAACTATTCCTTTCCCTGAGACCAGGAAGCAGTTTTCTTCTGGTCTCCCTTGACCAGAAGGGGTGTGATAAAGTGAAAAACATCTCAACCACACCACTACCATAAATACAAGTTTTCATAGGATTTATTCATTTCTTCAGTGTTCCTGTTACAGCTGGTGGCACCATGTTCCGGCAGAATCAGTCAGATCAGTGCAGTCCCATGCTGTGTGTCCATGCCACTGGTCTGGCTTAATCCAGGGATGAATTCTAGTGTACATGAAACAGATGGCACACATATTCTTCCATCAAACTGACAGAAGAAGTCTCTCTCCACCCATCTTTTGATATGTAGAGCATGACTGTGAGTTCAGTGTTATTATACACTTGATGTCACAGCCATTTTGAAGCTGCTGATTAAAAGTAGGTTATGGCTGGGCGTGGTGGCTCATGCCTGCAATCTCTTAGGGAGGCTGAGGTGGGAGAATCGCTTGAGCCCAGGAGATCAGCCTGGGTAACATACCAGACCCTGTCTCTATTAAAGAAAATTAAGAAAATAAAATTAAAATAGGTTACAACAGAATACTCATGGCCAGAACATACCTGTCTTCATGTTCCCCTGCAGGGAACAATGACTAAACAGCTCATGATTCTTGTCCCTTGAGCCCCGCTTTCCTAGATTCCATAAAGGCCACCCTCTTCTGCATCCACATTCTTTCTTCAGTTGGCGCCTAGTACCATGGATTTGATTTTTGCTTCCTTAGGTCTAGTCTTTATCCATGCATACTTCCCCTTGGCTCCCTTTGATTGGATTTATTTACTCCCCAATTTCCTTAGCACCATCTACAGTGTCTTTTCCAGTTAGTGCCTCTCATTCACTGTGCACAGATTCCCCACAACTTTCATTCGTAGGTGATTAACTTTCATGTAATGTCCCAGGAAACCCTTTACTAGCTGTGTGACTTTAGGCAAATTACTTAACCTCTCTGAGCCATATTTTCATCATTTATAAAGCTCATAATGCCTACCTTGGAAGGATGTTTGGAATTAAAGTAAGTTAGAGGCTGGGTGCAGTGGCTCACACCTGTAATCCTAGCACTTTTGGAGGCCAAGGTGGGCAGATCACCTGAGATCAGGAGTTCTAGACCAGCCTGGTCAACATGGTGAGACCCCCGTCTCTTCTAAAAATACAAAAATTAGGCTGGGCACGGTGGCTCACACCTGTAATCCCAACACTTTGGGAGGCTGAGGTGGGCTGATCACCTGAAGTCAGGAGTTCAAGACCAGCCTGGCCAGCATGGTGAAACCCCATCTCTACCAAAAATACAAAAATTAGTTGGGCATGATGGCGGGTGCCTGTAATCCCAGCTATTCGGGAGTCTGAGGCAGGAGAATCGCTTGAACTTGGGAGGCGTATGTTGCAGTGAGCCGAGATCGCACCACTGCACTCTAGACTAGGTGACAGAGCGAGTCTCAAAAAAAAAAAAAAAAAAAAAAAATTAGCCGGGGGCGTATTCCCAGCTACTCAGGAGGCTAAGGCAGGAGAATCCTTTGAAGCCAGCAGGTGGAGGTTGCAGTCAGCCAAGATCGTGCCACTGCACTCCAGCCTGGGGGACAGAGTGACACTCTGTCACTCAAAAAATAACATAAAATAAATTATAATAATAATGGTAACAACAGCAAATTGTTATTGAGTTCTTATCGTGCCAGACACGATGCTAAGAATTTCGTATACAAATATTTGGTTGAGTCATCTCAACAAGCCTATCACATGGGAACTCTGACTATCCCCACTTTACAGATAAGGAAGATGAGGCTTAGAGAGCTTAGTGCTGGGCCCATTAGTTACAGTAGTTATAACTATAATTATTCAATGTCCTTCAATGTCATGAGAAAGTCACCATCAGCCTGGGAGTTCAGTGGGAGGGTCAGGAAAGACTTGAACAATGAGTTGTTTGCAGATGAATGGGCTTTTGTGTTTGTTTTGTTTTTATTATAAACCCAGTACTATACAGGTCTTTGTAAAAGTACAAAGTACAAAGTTGAAAAGTCCTGAAAAGCTTCTACCACCAAGGAATAACCGCCGAAATATATCTCATCAGAACTTTCTCCATGAATACACTTTTTAAAAATTATCACCAGCAGTTTCATGGAACACGAATACTCTGTTTAAAAAAGAGATAAGCTTTTATGTCTATATTACTTTATTTTTTCTGAGTATTATTTTTTCCCCTGATTTTCACCGAAAGGGTTGCTCTCTATGTTGTTGTTTCAGCCCTTCCAGTAGTTTAAAACATGCATCTTTAGTTCTAGTCTAATTCATGATTTCCCTTACATCTATTTAAAGTTATAATTTTATTTAACATCAAAGGTTATTCAGTAGCTTTAGTCTTTCCCCTGAACCAAACACACTATTTATTTATTTATTTATTTATTTGTTTATTTATTTATTTATTTATTTTTGGAATTGGAGTCTCACTCTGTCACCCAGGCTGGAGTGCAGTAGTGCGATCTCAGCTCACTGCAACCTCTGCCTCTGGGGTTCAAGTGATTCTCGTGCCTCAGCTTTCCGAGTAGCTAGGATTACAGTTGCCCGCCACTACGCCCAGCTAATTTTTATATTTTTAGTAGAGATGGGGTTTTGCCATGTTGACCAGGCTGGTCTTGAATTCCTGATCTCAAGTGATCCGCCCGCCTCGGCCTCCCAAAGTGCTGGGATTACAGCCATGAGCCACTGCGTCTGGCCACCAAATACATTTTAACTTCTTTCCTCTTTCCATTCCTCTTACTGTACCCTTCTAGGATTCCCTGGGTTTTGTTAAAAGCTTCTGGAACTGGAATGTAGCAAATGAATGTTCCATTTAACAGGCAGAGAAAGAGGAGGTGGGCAAATCACAGAACCAAAGTGCAGAGTGGTGAAGAGCTCCAGTTGCGTGCAGGGTGGGGTGGCTGCCAGGGCCCTGGTGCCTTCAGTCATTAGTTCTGCAAATGTTCATGAGTTCCACCAGTGGTGTCTGCCCAGCAGAGAGCAGGAGCAGGGGTGAGGGTGAGGACAAGAGACAGACAGAGCCTGGAGGGGCAGTCAGCTGCACAGGAACGACCTTCTGTGCAAGCTGCAGGCTCTGCACCCAGCCAGTACCTGAGCAGGGTAGAGGTCTGATGAGCTGACTTATAGGATGGGCTGGAGGACGCAGAGCCTGTGGGTATGAGGCCAATTAGGAGAGTGCTGTCACCACCCAGGCAGGAGGCCATGAACATCCCCATATGAGAAAGAAGGGCATAAACAGGAAACAAATTTAACAATTAAATAAAAGCACCTCCCTCATGCAGGAAACTCGCCCTGTGCCAGGCCCTGCAGAACCATCTGCAGAGTCATTTCCTCTCTTGGCAACTTGGCAGCCCCTAGCAAACACAATGCATCTTGGCTTGCCATCAGTGCAACCCTTGTTCTTCAGATACAGGTAAAACGCCAAATCCCTAAGAAGGCCTAGAAGGCTCTGCAGTGTCAGCACCAGCACCCCCACCCCTTGGACCCTCTCTGTGGTCACTTTCTTGGGTCCTGCAGATGCTCCAGGCTCCACTCAAATTCTATTGGATTAAGGCTCACCCTAATGACCTCATTTTAACTTGATGACCTCTATAAAGACCCTATTTCCTAATCAGATCACATTCTGAGGTACCAGGGATTAAGATTTCAGCATATCTTTTGGGGGTGGGGGACACATGGTCACATCCTGAATGACTATAGCTCAAACAGGTCTTTGTTAGGTGAAAATAACAGGTGGAAAAATCACTGAGCACTTCACCTTATCTCAAACTTATGACTTCAAAATCTCTACAGTGGACTGGTTTCCCAGCTGACCTCACCTTACGTGGAGTGTTGCCCAATTCACACTCTCCAGCCTTCCCCACACTGACTTTAACTTCCACATGTTCCTTCACTTCATTCCTGCATAAACCTGGGTATGGTCCCTTCATTGTCTCTCAGTGATGTGGAAAGTTTTCATGATGAGTCTACCCTGCTCTCTCTAATACAAGTAGGATACAACAAACAGCATGTTAAGTTAGCAAATTTGACATTAACGTCTATCTTAAAAAGTGGCCAACTATGGGCCAGGCACAGTGGATTACACTTGTAATCCCAGCATTTTGGGAGGCTGAGATGGGCAGATGGCTTCAGCCCAGGAGTTTGAGACCAGCCTGGGCAACATGGCGAAACCCTGTCTCTATTTAAAAAAAAAAAAAAAAAAAAATTAGCCAGGCATGGTGGTGCACTTGTAGTCCTAGCTACTTGGGAGGCTGAGGTGGGAGGATTGCTTGAGCCTGGGAGGTTGAGGTTGCATTAAGCCAAGATGGCACCACTGCACTCCAGCCTGGCAACACAGCAAGACTCTGTCTCAAACAAACAAACAAACAAACAAAAAAGTGGCCAACAGAGGAGGTAGTAGTTTTGTCACTAGCTGTCATGTGGAACCCCAGGACCTAGCCTTTGGTTTCAAATACTGTTTTTCATTTATAGAAACTAGGACCCCTTAGAATGCAAGGCTTAGGTGACAACTGATTCCATGTCTCAGAGAAGGAAAGAATCAGGACAGGACTTGAATGTTCTGTTGTTGCCATAGAGCAAGGATGACTTCAAGAATGTGAAGGACAGGCTGGGCACGTGGCTCATGCCTGTAATCCCAGCACTTTGGGAGGCCAAGACGGACAGATCACTTGAGCAGAGGGGTTCAAGACCAGCCTGGGCAACGTGGCGAAACCCCATCTCTACAAAAAATACAAAAAGTAGCTGGGCATGGTGATGCATGCATGTAGTCCCAGCTACGTGGGAGGCTGAAATGGGAGGATCATCTGATGCTGGGAAGGTCAAGACTGCAGTGAGCTGCGACTGTGCCACTCCAACCTGGGCAACAGTGAGACCCTGTCGCAAAAAAGAAAGAAAAGAAAGAAAGAGAGAGAGAGAGAAGGAAGGAAGGAAAGAAGGAAGGAAGGAGGGAAGGAAGGAAGGAAAGTAAGTCAAGGACAGTGCTTAAAAAGACAAAGGAGCCAATTTCAAAGAGCTCCCATTGTTCAAGTTGACAGTCGGGCATGAAAGAAAGAAGATGGGGGGAGGAATGATAATTATGGTTAATTGAAGTAAATTGAATCTGTGGCAGGCCATGAAATCACGATAATAACAGATAAAAATTCACATAAAGGGCACAAAAGATGACTGTAATAGAGAAGAATTGAGTTTTAAAATTTTATTTTAATAAAAAGGGAACTATTCATTTTGTCTCTTCTATTAATTATGTGTCTGTTTATAAAGCAAAGATAGGTGCTTGCTTTTGTCTGTGTAAGCAGAAAACCCACAGAGAATGCTGAGAAAGCCAAGTAGCCCTGTTATAGTAGGCAGCTAGTCAGGCACGAGCAGAGCAGGAGAGGGCTTCCTACCACACACACCCACCAGGAATGCCAGGCGAGCATCAGGTGATGGCCAGGCGGTTATTAACTGTTTCTCTAAAATAATAACTGGTAGCAGCTGGCGCCAGGGACAGGCAGCTCCCAATAGATAGAAAAAACCTGAAACTGGTGATCAGCAGCTTCCTGATAAGATCTCAGGAGTTGGGCGAGTGGACTCAAGCATGCTTACTAAGAGGCAAAACTGTGGAGTTTAACTGGTGTATGTCCTTCCTCTACGAATTTTAGACTGGCAAGGGAAGAACGCCTCAAGTGAGCATGCGTACAACTCCAGTAAACACACTGTGCATGCAGCCCTTTCCAAGGGCTAGCAGACCACTGCACATATGGACAGCCCAGCCCAAGGGAAGAATCAAGGGAGAAGGAACACCAAGACCCCCGAAGCATGCAATGTATAAAACCTCAAGTCAGGCCGGGTGCAGTGGCACACCTGTAATCTCAGCACTTTGGGAGGCCAAGGTGGGCAGATCACCTGAGATTAGGAGTTTGAGATCAGCCTGGCCAACATGGTGAAACCCCGTCTCTACTAAAAATACAAAAATTAGCCAGGCTTGGTGGTGCACACCTGTAATCCCAGCTACTTGGGAGGCTGAGGCAGGAGAATCGCTTGAACCCGGGAGGCGGAGGTTGCAGTGAGCCAAGATTGCACCGCTGTACTCCAGCCTGGGTGACAGGGAGAGACTCCATCTCAAAAAAAAAAAAAAAACAAAAAACAAACAAAAAAAGACCCAAGTCAAAAGATCAAACCACACACTTGATCTCTAAAGTCGTCCACTTGGCCCTCTTCCAAATGTACTTTCCTTCCTGCTCTAAAGCCTTTTAATAAACTTTCACTCCTGCTCTAAAACTTGCCTCGTTGTCTCCTTCTGCCTTATGCCCCTCAGTCAAATTCTTTCTTCTGAGGAGGTAGGAATTGAGGTTGCTGCAGACACCTACGGATTCACCGCCAGTAACAGCCCTGCTGTAAGTATGAACGTTAGCAGAAATAAGAACGTCTGACATGAGATGATGTCAGAGGCAATAATGAAAGAGAAGGGAGTTTCAATAGTAGGTACCAAGACAATAAATTAACCAAAAATATCACTAAAAAGAAGAGCTAGCCAAGTCAACCCAATTCTTCATCTTCTAGAATATTGAATATTTAAATTGCCCTACTAGTTATAATAAAATACAAATAAGATATGCATAAGATTTAATACTGCTAACAGATCAAGTCAGTATATCATAATGAGAGAAAAATTCATTATGTAATAATGGTCAAGAGAGATTATTGAAGTGTGTTATATTAGGGGGAGAAAATATGTTGTGAGATTCTTGTTTGTTTTTTTGTTTTTGTTTTTTGATACGAAGTCTCGCTCTGTCACCCAGGTTGGAGTGCAATGGAGTGATCTCGGCTCACTGCAACCTCCGCCTCCTGGGTTCAAGCGATTCTCATGCCTCAACCTTCCGACTAGCTGGGATTACAGGCATGTGCCACCACGCCCGGCTAATTTTTGTTTTTTCAGTAGAGACAGGGTTTTGCCATGTTGGCCAGACTGGTCTTGAACTCCTGACCTCAGGTGATCCATTCTCCTCAGCCTACCAAAGTGCTGGGATTACAGGTGTGAGCCACCGTGCTTGGCCCGCAAAATTCTAAAATTTATGTAAAAGATGTGTACCTAACTAAAAGCAGTTATATTCCTCAGTGAGATATAATTTCACACCCACTAGGCTGGCTATAGTAAAAAGAGAGATAATAAGTGTTGGCAAGGGTGTGGAAAAATTGGCACTCTCATGCACAGCTGTTGGACAGTGAAATGGTACAGCACTTTGGAAAACAGTCTGACCATTCCTCCAAAGGTTGAACATGGAGTTACTGTATGACTCAGCAATCCTACTTCTAGGTTTATAGCCCAGAAAAATGAAAATCTATGTCTACACAAGAACTTGTTCACCAATGTTCATAGCAGCATTATTCATAATAGCCAAACAACAACGACGACAACAACAACAATAAAAAATGGAAATGGCCTAAATGTCCCTCAACGGATGAATGGAAAATAAAATGTGATATATACAGCCATACGCTAGAATAAAAATGAATTTGAAATAAAAAGAAATAAAGTACTGATATGTGCTACAACATGGATGAACCTTGAACACATTGTGCTAAATGAAAGAAGCCAGTCAAAACGACCCCATGTTGTATTATTCCATTTATATGAAATGTACAGAATAGGTAAGTCCTTAGAGACGAAAAGTAGATGAGTGGCTGCTTAGGGCTGGGGTGGAGTAGGGGAGGGTTGCGAGGAGATTGGGAGTGACTGCTCATGGGTTTGGGCTTTCTTTTGGGGTTGATGAAAATGTTCTGAAATTGATTACGGTGTTGGTTTTGTAACTCCATGAGTATACTAAAAACTACTCCCTGGTTTTGTACATTTATTTATTTTTATTATTATTTATTTATTTATTTATTTATTTATTTATTTTGAGACAGAGTTTCTCTCTTGTCGCCCAGGCTGGAGTGCAATGGCACAATCTTGGCTCACCACAACCTTCCGCCTCCTGGCTTCAAGCGATTCTCCTGCCTCAGCCTCCTGAGTAGCTGGGACTATAGGCATGCACCACCATGCCCGGCTAATTTTGTATTTTTAGTAGAGATGGGGTTTCTGCATGTTGGTCAGACTGGTCTTGAACTCCCAACCTCAGGTGATCCGCCTGCCTCGGCCTCCCAAAGTGCTGGGATTACAGGAGTGAGCCACCACGCCTGGCCTCATTTTATTATTTTATTAATGATTTTTTAATTTTGTGAGTACGTTGTAGGTATGTATGTTTATGGGGTACATGAGATATTTTGGTGCAGGCATGCAGTGTGTCATAATCACATCATGGAAAATTGGGTATCCATCCTTTCAAACATTTATCCTTTGCATTACAAACAATGCAATTATACTCTTGTAGTTATTTTTAAATGTACAATTAAGTTATTACCAGCTGGGCGCAGTGGCTCATGCCTATACTCCTAACACTTTGAGAGGCCGAGGCGGGCAGATCACCTGAGGTCCAGAGTTTGAGACTAGCCTGGCCAACATGGTGAAACCCCATCATTCCAAAAAATACAAAAGTTAGCCAGGGGTGTTGGTGCGTGCCTGTAATCCCAGCTACCCGGGAGGCTGAGGCAGGAGAATCATTGGAGCCCAGGAAGTGGAGGCTGCAGTGAGCTGAGAAGGTGCCACTATACTCCAGCCTGGGCAACAGAGGGAGATTCCATCTGAAAAAAAAGAAAAAAAAAGTTATTATTGACTGTAGTCCTCCTGTTGTGCTATCAAATACCAGGTCTTATTCATGCTTTCTAACTATTTTTTTTTGTCCCATTAACCATCCCCACGTGTCCCCCATAGCTCTACTCTTCCCAGCCTTTGGTAACCATCCTTCTACTGTCTCTGTCCATGAGTTCAATTGTTTTGAATTTAGATCCCACAAATAAGTGAGAACATGTGATGTTTGTCTTTCTATGCCTGGCTTATTTCATCTAACATAATGACCTCCAATTCCATCCATATTGTTGCAAATGACAAGACACCATTCTTTTTATGGCTGAATAGTACTCCATTATGTATATGTACATTTTCTTTATCCATTCATCTGTTGATGGACACTTTAGTTGCTTCCAAATCTTGGCTATTGTGAACAGTGCTGCAGTAAACTATAGTTATTATTTTCTATTGGTTGATCATTTAGTCTTTCTACTTTAAGACAGGAGTAGTTTACCTACCACCATTAAATTGTTATACTATTCTGTGTTTTTCTGTATACTTGCTATTACCAGTGAGTTTTGTAATGAGATTTATTCTCATTCATTAACATCCTTTTCTTTCAGATTAAAGAGCTCCCTTTAGCATTTCTTGTCAGACAGTTCTGGTGTTGATGAAATCCCTCAGCTTTTGTTTGTCTGGAAAAGTCTTTATTTCTCCTTTATGCTTGAAGGATATTTTCACTGGATATACTATTGTAGGGTAAAAGTTTTTTTCCTTCAGCACTTGAAATATGTCATGCCACTGTCTCCTGGCCTGTAAGCCTTCCACTGAAAAATCTGCTGCCAGACTTATTGACGCTTTGGGAGTTTGATCATTAAATGCCTTGAGGTAGTCTTTGAGTTTAATCTGCCTGGCATTCTATAACCTTCTTGTATTTGAATGTTGATATCTTTCCATAGGTTTGGGAAATTCTGTTATTTCTCTGAATAAACTTTCTATCTCTATCTCTTCTGTACCTCCTCTTTAAAGCCAATAACTCTTAGATTTGCCCTTTTGAGGCTGTTTTCTAGATCTTGTAGGCATGCTTCATTGTTTTTTATTATTTTTTCTTTTGTCTCCTCTGACTCTGTATTTTCAAGGAACCTGTCTTCAGGTTCACTAATTCTTCTGCTTGATTAATTCTACAATTCAGAGATTCTGTCTTTTCTGAAAGATTAAAATAAATAAAATTTTAAAAAGGCTGGGCACAGTGGGTCACACCTGAAATCCAAGCACTTTGAAAGGCCAAGGCAGGCGGATCAACTGAGATCAGGAGTTCGAAACCAGCCTGGCCAACCCAGCAAAACCCTATCTCTACTAAAAATACAAAAATTAGCCAGGCGTGGTGGTGGGCATCTGTAATCCCAGCTACTTGGGAGGCGGAGGCAGGAGAACCTCTTGAACCCAGGAGACGGAGGTTGCAGTGAACTGAAATTGTGCCACTGCACTCCAGCCTGGGTAACAGAGTAAGACTCTGTCCCCCCCACAGAAAAAAAGAAAGAAAGAAAAGGAAAAAGAAAAAAGAAAAAAAATTTTCAAAAGAGTCTTACATTCTTCAGCGTGTCCATTGTATTTTTCAACTATAGAATTTCTGCCTGATTCTTTTTAATTATTTCAATCTCCTTGTTAAATTTATCTGATAGAATTCTGAATTCTTTCTCTATGCTATCTTAAATTTTTTTTTTTTTTTTTTTTTGAGATGGAGTCTCATTCTGTCACCCAAGCTGGAGTGCGGTAGTGTGATCTCGGCTCACTGCAACCCCCGCCTCCTGGGTTCAAGCGATTCTCCTGCCTCAGCCTCCTGAGTAGCTGGGACTGCAGGCACGTGCCACCACGCCCAGCTAATTTTTTGTATTTTTAGTAGAAATGGGGTTTCACCATGTTAGCCAGGATGGTCTCGATCCCCTGAACTCGCGATCCACCCTCCTCGGCCTCCCAAAGTGCTGGGATTTCAGGCATGAGCCACCATACCTGGCCCTTGAATTTCTTTTAGTTTCCTCAAAACATCTATTTTGAATGATCTATCTGAAAGATCATATATCTCTTTTTCTCCAGGATTGGTCCCTGATAGCCTATCTAGTTCATTTGATGAGGTCATGATGGTATTGATGCTTATAGGCGTTTGTCGGTATCTGGGCATTGAAGAATTAGGTATTTATTGTAGCCTTCACAGCCCTGGGCTTGTTTGTGCCTGTCCTTCTTGGGAAACCCAATAATGCTGTGGTTTTGCAGACTCTTAGAAGTACTGCCTTGGTGGTCTTGGATAAGAGCTGGAAGAATTTTCTGGATTATCAGGCATAGACTCTTGTTCTTTTTGCTTACTTTCTCCCAAACATACAGTCTCTCTCTCTTGCTGAGCCACCTGGAGCTGGGGGTGTGGTGACACAAGCACCCCTGTGGCCGTCACTGGGACTGCACTGGGTCAGATCTGAAGCCAGCACAGCACTGGGTCTTTGCCAGGGCCTTCCCTTCAGGGCAACTAGTTCCTCTAGGCTAAGAGCTTCTCCAGAGATGCTGTCTGGGAGCCAGGGATTGGAGTCAAAAACTTTGGTAATTTACCTGATGTTCTGTTCTACTGTGGCTAAGCGGGCGCTGACACCACAATACAAAGTCCCTCCCACTCATCCCTCCCCTTTCCTTAGGCAGAGGAGCCTCTCCCTATGGCAACCACCACCACCAGTCCACAGCAATTCTGCCAGTCCACCACCAATGTTCACTTAAAGCCCAAAGGTGGCCGGCTGTGGTGGCTCACGCCTGTAATCCCAGCACTTTGGGAGGCCGAGGCAGGTGGATCACTTGAGGTCAGGAGGTCAAGACCAGCCTGACCAACATGGTGAAACACTGTGTCTACTAAAAATACAAAAATTAGCCAGGTGTGGTGGTGGGTGCCTGTAAGCTCAGCTTCTTGGGAGGCTGAGGCAGGAGAACCTCTTGAACCCAGGAGACGGAGTTTACAGTGAGCCCAGATGGTACCACTGCACTCCAGTCAGGGTGACAGCAAGACTCCGTCTCGAAAAAATAAAAATAAAAATTAAAGCCCAAGAACTCTTCCATCAGCTTGTGGTGAATGTTGCCAAGCCTGGGACTTACCTTTCAGGGCAGCAGGCTCCCCTCTGGACCTGCCCTGAGCCAGAGGGGCAGGTCCAGGACAGAATCTACACCTAGACTTGGGGACTCCAAGAGACTGCTTGTTGCTCTGCCCTACCATGGCTGAGCTGGTGCCTAAGGTACAAGACAAAGTCCCCTTTACTTTTCCCTCTGCTTTTCTCAAACTGCAGGAGTCTTTCACCATAGCCACCATAGCTGGGAATGTGCTGGGTCACTGCTGAAGACAGCACGTCTCAGAGTCTCACACAAGGCCCACAGTGTACTACCTGGTTATTGCTGCTAGTTATTCAGGGCCCAAGGGCTCTTTAGTCAGCAGGTGATGAATCCTGCAAGTACTGGCCCCTTCTCTTCAAGGCAGCAGCTTCCCTTTTGGCCCAGGTGTGTCTAAAAATGACATCTGGGAGTTAGGGCCTGGAATGGGGGCCTCATGACTCGGCCCAGTGCCCTATCCTACTGTGGCTGAGCTGGTATCCAAGATGCAAGACCAAGTCCTCTTTACCCGTTGCTCGTCTCTCCTTAAGCAGAGCGAAGGAGTCACTTTCATTGCTAGGAGCTGCACTGCCTGGGATTGGAGAAGGGGTGGCACAAGCCCTCCCTTAGCCATACCGGCTGGTGTCTACCTAGGTCAAGTGCAACCCTAGTCCATTGGCTGTAAGTCCAGCCGAGCACTAGGAGTTGTCTAGGAATTGCAGTCCTTGGGTCCTAGACTGCCTTTTCTTCTTTTTCTTTTGTAGAAATATGGCCTTTTTATGTTGCCCAGGCTGGTCTCAGACTCCTGGGCTCAAGTGTCCCTCCTGCCTCAGCTTCCCCAAGTGCTGGGATTATAGGTGTGAGCCACCGCACCCAGCCTAGACTGCCTTTCAAGTTTACCTAGGACACCAGAGCACTTTGGCCCATGGTGGTGAGGCTTGCAGAGAAACTCAAGTTCCAACCACTGGGAGAGGTGATTTCCCTCTGGCTAGGGCTGGCCCAGATGCCCCCTCCACATGCAGGTGCCGGTCGATCCCAGCATGACTTTGCTCTCCGCTATGACAGTGCAGCAGTGAGTTCAATATAAAGTCCCCCACCCCATGCCCTCCCTCCCCAAAATGCAAAGACTCTCTTTCCACGCTGCAGGGACACTGCCAGGGAGGACGGAAGGGGCGTCACAATTCAAGACTGTCTCTCCTGCCCTCCTCAATGTTTCCTTTAGTGATATGAAGTTAAATCCAGTTACTGTGATTGCTCACCTGATTTTTGGTTCTTGTGATGATGCTTCTCTGTGTGCAGATAGTTGTTAAAAGTTAGTGTTCCAGGCTGGGCACAGTGGCTCATGCCTGTAATCCCAGCACTTTAGGAGGCTGAGGTGGGAGGATCATTCCAGGAGTTCAAGATCAGTCTGAGCAACATAGTGGGACCCCATCTCTATAAAAATTTAAAAATTACCCAGGTGCAGTGGTGCAGGCCTGTTGTCCCAGCTACTTGGAAGGCTGAGGTGGGAGGACTCCTTGGGCTCAGGAGGTTGAGGCTGCAGTGAGCCCTGATGGTGCCACTACACTTCAGCCTGGGTGATAGAGGAAGACTCTGTCTCCAAAAAATAAAAATAAAATAATAATAATAATTGCATTCTTAGGCTGGGTGCAGTGGCTCACACCTGTAATCTCAGCAGTTTGGGAGGCCAAGGCGGGTGGATGACCTGAGGTCAGGAGTTCAAAACCAGCCTGACCAACATGGTGAAACCCCATCTCTACTAAAAATAAAAAATTAGCCGGGCATGGTAGTGCACACCTGTAATCCCAGCTACTTGGGAGGCTGAGGCAGAAGAATTGCTTGAACCCGGGAGGCAGAGGTTGCAGTGAGCTGACATCGCGCCATTGCACTACAGCCTGGGCAACAAGAGCGAAAATCCATCTCAAAAAAAAAATGCATTTGCTTCTTAGGGGGTTTCAGACATATAAGAGAATCCTATGTATTAAATGCAAGATTTTTTTTTTTTTTTAAGATGGAGTCTTGCTCTTGTCGCCCAGGCTGGAGTGCAATGGCGCGATTTCGGCTCACTGCAACCTCCGCCTCCTGGGTTCAAGCGATTCTGCTGCCTCAGTCTCCTGAGTAGCTGGGATTATAGGCGCTTGCCACCATGCCCAGCTAATTTGTATATTTTTAGTAGAGACAGGGTTTCACCATGTTGGTCAGCCTGTTCTCGAACTCCTGACCTCAGGTGATCCACCCGCCTCGGCCTCCTAAAGTGCTGGGATTACAGGTATGAGCCACTGTGCCCAGCTAAATGAAAGATTTTAATTAAATGCTTAAATGAGTTTAAGTCTAAAATCAATATTTAGGCCGGGCGCAGTGGCTCACGCCTGTAATCCCAGCACTTTGGGAGGCCGAGGTGGGTGGATCACAAGGTCAGGAGATCGAGACCATCCTGGCTAACACGGTGAAACCCCATCTCTACTAAAAATACAGAAAAATTAGCCAAGCGTGGTGGTGGGCACCTGTAGTCCCACCTACTCAGGAGGCTGAGGCAGGAGAATGGCGTGAACCTGGGAGGCAGAGGTTGCAGTGAGCCGAGATCACGCCACTGCACTCCAGCCTGGGTGACAGAGAAGACTCCGTCTCAAATAAATAAATAAATAAATAAATAAATAAATAAATAAAATCAATAATGTGTTTTAATCAGTTTGGATTATTAAATCCATAAATGTCTATGTATTAGTTGTGTACATAGTGTATAAATAGAAGAATATTATTTAATGCTTAAATGCTATTTGTTTAATAAATTCATAAGAGAAACAAAATTACATTAAGTAGAAATACCTTAACGACCTTTAGACACTGAGAGGGTGTCCCAGGAAAAGAGAGGGGCACCTGAGCTTGAAGGCTGGTGACAGATGTTTAAGGGGCCACTAACATACCAGATAGATTTTATCTTCCTAGACTCATCATCTTTGCACCTATTAATCATGAACAGAGTTAGTTCTCCTGAATTCATCATATGACAATGTCACAGTGGACAGAGAGACTCAAGAGAAGTGAGTTTTGACTGGGTGAGTCAAGAGGGATTATGGTCTTGAGTAGCCAGGGAGTGATTTAAGTACAGGATTCAGAGAAAGGAGGGACAGAGGAAGAGGTGCTAAAGAAACAACCCTCTGGCCGGGCGGGGTGGCTCACGCGTGTAATCCCAGCACTTTGGGAGGCTGAGGCGGGCGGATCACAAGGTCAGGAGACCAGACCATCCTGGCCAACATGGGGAAACCCCGTCTCTACTGAAAAATACAAAAATTAGCTGGGGATGGTGGCACATGCCTGTAATCCCAGCTACTCGGGAGGCTGAGGCAGGGGAATCGCTTGAACCAGGGAGTCGGAGGTTGTGGTAAGCAGAGATCACGCCACTGCACTCCAGCCTGGCAACAGAGCGAGACTCCGTCTCAAGAAAAAAAAAAAAAGAAAGAAAGAAAGAGAAAAAAAAACACCTGCTGCATCAGTCACAACTGCCATCCTGAGGCCAAGAAGAACTAAATGGTCTCAAAATTATTTCACAACTTGTTGCTACCACCTTTCCACAGTGGGGCTTGTCTAGCCAGAGAATCAAACATTAATTCACTTTAGGCTGGTCATGGTGGCTCATACCTGTAATCCCAGCACTTTGGAAGGCCGAGGCAGGAGGATCACTTGAGGCCAGGAGTTCAAGACCAACCTGGGCAACAAGCGAGAACCCCATCTCTACAAACAAACAAACAAACAAAAGAGTAAGCACGTCATACACATCATAGAATTCTAAGAACTGAAGTAACCTTGTAACATTTAGTTCATGGTAAATACATAAAGGAAACTATTATTATTATCACCCAACAGTGTGTGTGTAAGTGAAAAATGTCTTTTTTACTGACAAATGGCTAAGTGAATGCTGTTTGTTTGAGGGATGAAATATTTAAATGAGAAGCCAACTCAACTCTTCCTCTTGATCTTAGAGTCATTCTCTCAAGTGTAACTCCCAGTGCAAAGCATCACATCAACTTATCAATCGACTGTGATGTCAACTACAGCCTCTGCACCAGACCAGCCCTCCTCTGTGGGACTAAGAACTATCCTGTGGTCCTGCCAGGACTGCCTCACTGGGACAACGCACTGCATTAGGATCTATCCCTTACGATGGCTCAGGGTTTTCCAGTCTCTAAGGCACCTTATCATTATCTTACCTAAACTTCCTAATAATCCTGTGAGGGAGGCTGGACATCTGCTTTCATCCCATGTTACAGATGAGAAAACGAAGGTCCACAGAGGTCAATGACTTGCCTAAGGTGACCTGGCACAGAAAGTTGTGTGGCAGAAGGGGAACCTCTGTTTCCTAACTTCTGGATAAGCGCCCTCCTAGGATAGGAGAAATGAATGACTCTTGCTACTCCAGCCACCACTTCCACTAATTAACCACTAATAAAAATGTAGAAATCAGTATGCCAGCAGTAGTCCCTGTTGCAAACATTAGGACCTTTCTCATATCACAGATTACTGAAGACATTCCCTCTCTTTTTGTTGTAGTTGTTGTTGTTTGGTTTTTGGGTGTTGTTGTTGTTGTTGTTGTTCTTCTGAGATGGAGTTTCCCTCTTGTCACCTAGGCTGGAGTGCAATGGTGCAATCTCAGCTCACTGCAACCTCTGCCTCCCAGGTTCAAGCGATTCTCCTGCCTCAGTCTCCCGAGTAGCTGGGATTACAGGCGCCCACCACCACACCTGGCTAACTTTTTATTTTTAGTAGAGACGGGGTAGCACCATGTTGGCCAGGCTGGTCTTGAACTCCTAATCTCAGGTGATCCACCCTCCTTAGCCTCCCAAAGTGCTGGGATTACAGGTGTAAGCCGCCTTTCTTTTCTTTTCTTTTTTTTTTCTTTTTAGTCTTGCCCTGTCACCCAGGCTAGAGTGCGGTGGAATGATCATGGCTCACTGCGGCCTCAACCTCCCAGGCTCGGGTGATCCTCCCACCTCAGCCTCCCAAGTAGCTGGTACCACAGGCATAACACCATGCCAAGCTAATATTTTATTTTTTTTAAAGTTTATTTTTGCTCTTATGATGATGATTTTTTTTTTGAGACAGAGTCTCACTCTGTTGCCCAGGCTGGAGTGCAGTGGCACAATCTCAGCTCACTGCAACCTCCATCTCCCAAGTTCAAGCAATTCTTATACCTCAGCCTTCCCTCTAGCTGGGATTACAGGCGTGCAACACCATGCCTGGCTAATTTTTGTATTTTTAGTAGAGATGGGGTTTCACCACATTGGCCAGGCTGGTCTCCGCCTGCCTTGGCCTCCCAAAGTGTTGGGATTACAGGTGTGAGCCACCATGCCCGGCCTACTCTTAATTTTTTTTTTAAGTGCTCAAGCTAATTTTTTAATTACTATTTGTAGAGATGAGGTCTCCCTATGTTGCCCAGGCTGGTCTAGAATTCCTGGGCTCAAGTAATCCTCCTGCCTCAGCTCCCAAAGTGCTGAAATTACAGACATGAGCCACCATGCCCAGTTCCACCATTTTTTAAGCAACAACTAACGTTAATCCAAAGACCACCCTGAGGGGACTGGCCACATCCCCCTGGGACCCTCCACTGTTAAAGTCCATCTTCCCTGAGCCATCAGCACCAAGCATCAGATGAACTTCACTGCCCTGGCTCAGTGTTGCCTGTGTGTGAGCCTCAGCTCCCCATCCTCTCTGGGCCTCAGTGTCTTCCCTGTGCAGTGTGCCCCGCAGTGCCCACCCAATGGGGTTGTTGTGAGGATTTGCTGGAAGGGTGTGTGTGCAAGCCCCTTGTCCAGGACCTGGCCTATATGTAAATATAATAAAAGTTCGTTGTTATTTCTGTTAATTGCATATTGTACTTGAATACTCCCTGGACAGATAATGAGAAAAATGAGGTTTGAGTCACCACCCCTGTCACTTGTAACCCTGTGTGAGTTGCTTAATCCCTCTAAATCTCAGTTCCTCCATCTGTAAAAATTTTTTTTTTTTTTGAGACAGAGTCTCGCTCTGTCACCCAGGCTGGAGTGCAGTGGCGCGATCTCGGCTCACTACAACCTCCAACTCCCGGGTTCAAGCGATTCTCCAGCCTCAGCCTCCTAAGTAGCTGGCATTACAGGCACCATGCCTGGCTAATTTTTGTGTTTTTAGTAGAGATGAGGTTTCACCATGTTCCCCATGTTGGACTAGGCTGTCTCGAACTCCTCAGGTGATCCGCCTGCCTCGTTCTCCCAAAGTGCTGGGATTACAGGTGTGAGCCACCGTGCCTGGCCGCAAAAATCTTATAATGCCTTCCTCACAGAGAATAATGAAGGTTAAATGATGAAACGCACAGAGCATTTTAATGCTGAGAAGGGCTTCATGAGGTTGTTGAAAAATGTCAGTGAGGCTCTGGGAGGGCTACAGCCGGAGTGTAGATTAGACTCTGGGTGTAGCCGCATGGCTCAGGAATTGAGTGGAAGAAGAGAGATGATGAGAGAGGGGGAGGGACAGAGAGAGAGGATCAGCCATTCCTTCGTGCCTGCTGAGTGCCTGCCCTGGTCCAGACCCTGTTCTTTTTGCTGGGGGTGCAGCAGTGAACTAAAGAGACAAAGCCCCTGTCCTCGTGGTGCTTATGCTCTAGTGAGTCTGTGGAACAGAGCAGGGGACTGTTGACACCAAATTTAAATGTGCGAATAGGAATGACTATGGAGAAGAGGCCACCAGGAAGAGGGACAGAGAGAAATGAGACTCCAGGCTTGATAGAATGACCTTGGGCTGGTGGAAGAGGCAGGTGCTGAAAACAGGCATGGAACCCCTTGCCCTAGGGCAGGGAGAAACCAAGAGAGTCCAAGCTGGGAAAAGAATCAGGTGAGGAGGTTGAGGTGTTGACGAAGGGAGTGTGCTTGGTGATGGGGAAGGTGGGCTCTGAGGAAGGTGTTCCAGGAAGGACTTCTCAGTGTAGGATGGAGCCTTATGGCAGATGCTGGGACCGGGCATCTTCTCCAGAAATGCCCATCTGCCACTCAGGCAGGCAGGCAGGCAGCTCCCTACCCCTTGAGTTCTGGTGTTTTTCCTACTCCTTTCTCCCCTCCCACAAGCTGCCCAACTCCCAGGGACCTGACTGGATGGAGAGTACATACACCTGGACCACTGCAGGCATGGCACAGGGAAGAGAGAATCCAGACCCAAATCACCTCCAACCCACACCTGCTGATTCTTCCGTGCTTTTGTAGACTGACCCTTCGCTGCCCTCACTCCAACTCCTGTGTGAGGATGTTGAGCTCCTGGGAAAACCGAAGGGAGGGCAGGAGAGACAATACTGTGACCAAAGGCTGAGACTGTGTCATCACTTGGGAATGAAAGCATCAAATGCCACCCCAGGTGGGATTGTTGGCTTCAAGGTTTTTTTCTCCCTTTCCTTTCTCCCTTTTCTCTTTTCCTTTATCGAGGTCTGCTATTTACTCAGCAACTGTTCAAAGTCTGTGGTTCTGTGGGACACAATGTGCTAAATGATGCCTGTAAGGGAGGAGGTCAATGTACCTCCACTTCCAAGAAGCTTGACTTTCCGGGGAAGAAAAGACAAGTGAAGCGCAGACATTGCGACTTTTGGCTTCCTGTTTCTGTGAATTGCAAGGAATCCTGTCCACCTGGCCCTGGAGCCGCCTTCTGGGACCTCATCCTTGCCCCCTGCTGCAGGTGCCATCTCAATTAGTCCTGCTGTCCCTCCTCCCCCTTTCAGATTCCAGCACAATTCTGGAACAGCTCTCCCACCTGGCCGGGGTGAGTCTGAGGCTCCACCCTCAAGCACTTGGGCACTGATCCTTTGTGAAGGATGGGGATAGCAAGACAGCGTCTGCAGGGGCCCCTAGAGGGCCTTGGGGATGGCTAGAAAACAGGAATGAACAGACTCACTTCAGCTTATGCCCAGACTCACTTCAGCTTATGCCCAGAAACAAAGAAACCAAGGAGAAGCAAATTCCATAAGTGCTTTTATTTTATTGGAGATGAGCAGGGGAGGCACTGAAAAGTGGGGATAGTGCTGGAAACATGTTAACAGGGCCTGGATTGAGCCCACACAGCAAGGGGCGGGAGCAGGACTCTAACTCCCAATGTTGGGTTTCCCTCTATCGTGCTCTAGCCCCACTGCAACCTAGGGCTTGGAGGATTAGGGAAGCCAGCTGGGATGTTCCAAGAAGAGCCAGGAGGGCGGAGAACTCCAGGAGGAAATGGGTTATTGATACCTGGGTATAGATGAATATTCCCCCAGCTGCCTCCTGGATACCGATTAATATTCCCCCAGCTGCCTCCTGGATACCGATTAATATTTCCCCAGCTGCCTCCTGGATACCGATTAATATTTCCCCAGCTGGTACCTGGGGGTTGATTATTGATACCCCAGATTCCCTCAGGGTGTGGCATGGGCCTCGTTCCCCAACCAGTCCCAGGGCCTCCACCTCCCCAGGACACACTGGGATTCAGGGTACCCCAGGGGTGATCAGGCAGAACCCTGTGGATGAGAGACCAGGGAGGGCGTTGGGAAAGGATTTTTCCCCCGGCTCCCAGTGAATTAGAACGGGGCAGTCGTCTGGACTCCGAGTCCTGGTGGAGGAGTGAAGCCTCGGGTGAGAGGCCTGTGGCATCGGGAGAAGACTCCCCAGGCAAAGGGCCACTGCCCGGAGCGAGGGCCGCAGCACTGGAGAGGTAAGAGAGTTCTTCAGGCAGCGCTTCCCCCAGGCGGTCCTCAGCCGCAGCAGCCATCATCTGCCAAGGATCCTCAGGGGGCCAGGAATCCATGGCAGGCAGCCCCCACGATGGAGGCCACCTCTGCACTGCAGAACCTCCTGCAGGTGGGAAGCCATCTGATGGAGGCACGCTGAGCTTCAGAGGAACCCTTGCCAAGTCATTAGACCTAGGGTCCAGAGCGGGCTGCGGATGTTCAGAGTTAGAGGGGCCAGTGGAGGAAGGTTGTCCGAGCTGAGGCAAGTCGGTCCCGAAGTTTTGGGAAACTTTCTCCTCCACAACACCGATGCTCCGGGCAAAGAGGCCTGAGGGAAAGGGAAGATAAAGCAACCAGTGGTCTCCAGTCCCCGAGTCCCCAGTTCCCTTTGCTTCCCCTATGCCTATTCTTCCTTTTCCCTCAGGGACCTAAATGTGTACCCTCCTGCCTTTACCCCTTTCCTTAATTCCTGTTTCCTGGGGGACCTCCAGTCCCTCCTGCCCAAGGGCATCACGGCCTCCATACCTGGGAGATGAAGACAGACCAGGAGCAGGCCCAGAGGAGCGCAGCTCCCTGCCACGCGGCCCTGCATCCTGCTCAGCACCCGATCTCCCTCAGCCCCAAGACAGCCAGCCCTTTATCCTGGTAGTGGGGTGGGGGACAGCAGAAACAGGCTGGGCTAGTGGTTGTGAAGACAATAAACCTCCACATTCCACCCTCATTCCTAATGCGGTCTGTGGCAACAGGTGTCACTTGAATGAATGTCCCAGAGGAAGCTGGGTGTCTCCCGCCCTGGCTCCTTTCCTTGACCTCCCTGCCCCTTCTTGGCCCAGGTGTCCTGGCTCACAGCTCATCCCTGGTTGCCAGCCTCCCCAGCCCTGCTTCTCTATACACAAGGACCTCCACCCTGGGGTCCCACTCTCTTAATTGCCTCTCTCAGCAACAGAAACACTTGTTTCTTTTTGGGAGCTGGATTGTTTCCTCCCAGCACCCCTTTCTCGTGCATCCTCATATCTCCTTCACCTTGGCCCCAACCTGCAGGAGGTTCTGGGGTGCAGAAGTGGCCCCATCTGAGGAGCTGCTCCTACATGAGACCCTGGATCTAGCTAGGGAAATGGGCCTGGATGCCATCCTTATGAGATACTGACTAATTCCTGCTGCTGCAGTGACAAATTACCATGAACCGAATGGCTTACAACAACATGGATTTATTACTTTACAGTTTTGGAGATCAGAAGTCTAAAACAGGTCTCAGTGGATTAAAATAAAGGTGTCAGCAGGGCTGTGATTCTTTCTGGGGGCCTCAGGGGAAAATCCCTTTCCCCGCTTTTTCACCTTCTAGAGGCATCCTGTGTTCTTTGGCTCATGGTCCCCTTCCTCCATCTCCAAAGCCAAAATCAGCCATTTCTTACACTGTATCACTCAGACTTCCTCTTCTGCCTCCCATGTCCACATTAAGGGACCCGGTGACTACACTGGACCCACCTGAATAATCCATGATAATCTCTGTGAAGTCAGCCGAATAGCAACCTTAATCCCATCTGGAACCTTAATTTCCCTTTGCCATGTAACCTAATTCCTACGTTCCAGGGATTAGGATGTGGACATCTTTGATGGTGTTGGGGTTGAAGACATCATTCTGCCTGCTACTGGTGGTCAGATGTGCCACAGAGTATAAGAAACCTTGGGAGAAAGTGGCTATTTCCAAGTAACAGTAGAGGAGGGCCTTTAAATGCTGCTGTCAAATGGCCAGGACTTGATCCTTGTTGAAGCTGGGCGATGAGAATGTAGAGATTCATTAACAGTTTGTTGGCTTTTAAATATGTTTGCAAATTTTATTATAAAAATGCAATGGCTTTGTTCTCTCCATGGCTTCCGGGAGGCCCCAGGAGTAGGCTTCCCTGGCTGCCCAAGGTCTAAACATGAGCTGTCGGCTGATTCTACTGCTGTGTCCTCCCCACCTGCCCCTGCTGGCTTAACCACTGGAGGAGTGAAGAGCTCCACTTCAGAACTGGCAGTGGATGGAGCCCAGAGGCCTTTTTGGATGACATGCATGAGTTTTACACAAGCTTTTAATTTGGAGCACAGCAGGAGACTCGAGGAAACACCACATCAGAGAGCCTTCTCTCCCTGCAATTCCCATTCATGAAGCATCTGAGGACCTCGATTCCTGCCATTGGCTGCAGATCAGGGGCCAGACGCTGGACCAAGGGTGATTCAATCCCTTTCTGGTCAATGTAATACATTTCTGCTGATTCCAGACTTGGAGTTTCAACAGTTCTAAATTCAGGACCAGACAGCACCACCCTGATAGGAGGGAATGGGTTAAGTGCTACAGTAGGGGTGAATTCCTTTGCAGCCAAGCAGAGGCTCTGAGAGGTGGCCTAGGGTGGGGGGTGGGGCTCCTACAGGGACAAGCACAATCCACTCTGCCCTCCTTGGGATGCGGGAACTTCGTCCGCCTCAGCCTCTCCCTGCCTGTCTCAGGACTTAAGTCGCATGGACCCCACCACACACTCCACTTTCTCTCTCTTCTCCAGTGGAGGCGACTCCTCTTTCCCACGGGGGCACTCTGCCTTCTCAGCCCTCACCTGAGAGCCATGTTGCTCACACTCTCACTTTGGACCCCAGCAGAGCAGGGAGTGTGAAGATGGAGAGACCACCGGCAGCTCTGTTCTGCCACAGGCTGGGCCTCTTGATCTAGGCCAGTGAGTCACCCTGCTTGGCTGCACTCCCTGCCCCGCTCCCATCCTCTCAGTCCTTTACTCTCTCCACCCCCAGCTCCAGGAACAACGCCCAACTGGCCTCCTACTCAGCTGACAGGAATCTGGTTGGAGTTGTTGTGTCCCAGCCTTCCCAAGCTTCCAGGTGTCCCAGAAACCCAGGAAATCGAGACTCATGACTCCCAGAGAGGATGGCATCTAGAAGGTGAGGAATGCTAATGGTGGAAGAAAAGGAGTTTGGGTGGGGAGGGGTGGGGAGGGGAGGGAGAGAAAACACTGAGGGCCCTAAATAAGGGGAAGGGGGACCCCACGGTGAATGAGGAATGGGAAGAGAATGGATTTCCTGGAGCAATGAGAGAGGAGGGAAATGGCGGAAGGACCTGGGAGGCCAGGCAATCTCTGCTTTCAGTTCAACAAATATTTATTGTCTTCCTCCTCTGTGGGAGGAGCTGGAAGGTAGAAGAGAAACACAGCCCGCTTTTGAAGGAAAATGAGGGACACAGAGACCTCTAGAGGCGTAGGAAGAGCACCACCCAGACTCTCAGAGGAGACCCAGGATTCCAAGAAGGCAAAAAGTCTGCACCTAGTCCCCACAGTTTACTGAGCCATCTGTCCAGGATCCAGGGACAGCAGGGAGCCTGCTCCAACCTCTGAGGGTGCCCCAGTGTCTCCCTCACCCAGGGAATCATCTGGGCACTGAGGGAAATGGCCACAGGAAGGGGCTGAGATAAGGGCCTTGAGAGGCAATGGGTGTGTTGGGGACGGTGATCTAGGAGGGCGTGGTGAGCTCTGTAATGGAGGGTGGGGTGGAATTGGGAGCGAAAGCCCAGTGGCATATTGGGTGGGTTGACTAGATGTCGAAGAGAGGTCAGTGAAAAGTGGCCACTGTTTCCAGATGATGGTTTGACTTTGCTTTATTTGGTAAAGGGGAAGAGGAAGGTATAACTTCTTCAGGCGTCAGAGGTGCTCTGAGAGCATTTCAGGGGTTTCCCAGTTGAGAAGGTGATGGGGGTGTTACTCAATGGACCATTTCAACACAGTAGAGGGAATTGTAAGGGGTGGTGATCTGGCTGAGGGGCACTGTGGTGGAATGGGAATTTAAACAGTAGGAGAGAATCAAGAGAGGAGCTTTGAATCTACCATTTTGAGAAGAGGAAGGAGGAAGGGGTGATAAGAGAGAGTCTGCAACCTTAGGGTAGTAGAGAAAGCAGAACCACTCTTTTGGGAAGGAGGGAAACTGAGCTAACCCTATGCCTGGGCACTGGACTTCTCCCATATGGGATATAGTGTATGTGCTTGTTTGTGCCCAAGGCATGCACACACACAACAGTTGACTTATGGACTGTCGAGTAACTCTCCTTGGGGTAGGAAAACTTCAGGGTCAGCTAGCTGGGGCCCCAGAGGCTTCACTTGGGCTAGGATATCCCGGATGGAGCGGCAGGGGATCTTTCCAGCACTGCTGGAGCCACAGGGCTTGGCACCAGCGGAGGGATCAGGATGGGGAGAGCCATCGGGGCCCCCAGTCAGTGTCAAGGAGGAGACAGACATGCAAGGGTGACCAGAAGAGCTGGACTTGCTGCCACAAGGCTGAAGGATGATTTTGCCACTCGATTGGGAACTGGAGCTGCTGCTGAAGGAGCCGGTGCCTGGTGGGGAGCAGGGGCTCTGGGAAGCACTGCCGCAGGGATGGTAGGGTGAACCGGCGCTGCTGGAAATGCTAGAACTGCTGGGGACTCGAGAACTGGAGGGAGAGCAGGGTCCCTTGGAGCCCGTGGAGCCGCCTCCACAGAGCTGGACCCCACCAGTCCCCACTGGCTGGAACGCAATGGCCGAGGAAGCTGCCGACTGGCTGGGGATGATGGGGTTGCTGGAGAAGTATTTGCCCTCAGAGATGGGGGGCCCAGCTGCAAAGGAAGGGACCCCTGGAGAGCCTTTCACAGGGTTCTCTTTGGTGAAGTAGCCCACAGGGTAGATTTTACCCTTACTGTAGGTCATGCCTGGAACCAGATAACTGTCAGAGGAGCCACCCACCACCTCGTAGCCACCATAGGATTTGTCTACAGAGGTGATTGGGGGACAGGGCTTGCCTGGAAGGCCACCATTGCTACAGGGGGGACCTTGAACCACTCCAGGGGCACCAGAACCGTGCTGGTCCACCACCACCACCACAGGTCTCTGACCCCCTGACACAGAGTGGGAGCTGGGGATGTAGGGGCCAGAGTGCGAGACGATGGGCCCTCCACTGCAGGGAGAGTCGGGGATGTCCGAACTACAGGGACGCTGGTTGGAGCTGACGCTTTGGCCACTGCTGGATACCCCAAAGGTTTGGGAAGAGGAAGAGCTTTGTCCAGGCTGGGAAGGGTTTAGTATTCCGCGGTAAGAGTTGTCATTGGTTGGCAGAGCAGAGCCATTCCCTACTTGGAAGCTGCTGCTGCTGAACTGAAAGCTGCTGCTGCTGCTCGAATGAGAGCTGCTGCTTCCCGAGTGAGAGCCGCTGCTTCCCGAGTGAGAGCTGCTGCTCCCCAGCTGGGAGGAACCGGATGCACCTTGTAGACTAGAGCCAGATCCGGAGGAGTAGCTGACCTGGGAATACCCCGTTCCTGGCTTAAAAGATCCTGCAGAACCACCCTGGGCAATGCTGGATCCGCTGGAGCTACCACTGGAGCCACCACCAGAGCTTCTGGCACTGGAAATGGAGCTGCCAGAACTGCTGGAGCCACTGTAGCTACTGAAGCCGCTGGAGTCACCCTTCCCAGTGAGGCAGGGGTCGTTAGGGGAGGTGATACGCGTGGGGTCCTTACAGGGGTCTGAGAAGGTGCCAATGCTCTTAGCCAAGGTCCCTGTGGAGGAAAGCAGTGGTTAGTAAGGGCCAAGGAGGCTTGGCTTCCTCCCTCACCTTTCTGCCTTATCTCAGTAATCGGCCTCTCGGGTTTCTCCCAAGCAGAGCGCAGGGAGAGTTTAGGGATGGAGAAAGGAGGAAGAACTGGCTATTGTCTCTAAAGGATATTGAGGTGGCCGAATAAAGGCATTTCTTTGTTTGGGAAGGGTGGGCAAACACCAACCAGAAAAATAGAAAATTACGTGCCAAAGTGAGTGACCTCAAAGGAATACATTGAATATAAGAGGGGGCTGGGCACAGTGGCTCACGCCGGTAATCCCAGCACTTTGGGAGGCTGAGGTGGGAGGATTGCATGCGCCCCAGAGTTCAAGACCAGCCTGGGCAACATAGACCCCGTCTGTATTTTGTTTTTTAATTAAAATTTTTTTTAAAAAGAAGAGGGAATGGAGAAGGGGCAGGAACAAATAGGTCTAAAAGAAAGGACCCTGAAGAGACAGAGAATTGGGGAAACTGAGGCTATGAGGAGTCCAGGCGTAAATTCTTAGGGGAAAAATCCTGGGCCAGACAGTGGGACCAGAGGGAAGAAGACAAAAGGCAAAACAATGGAGGGCTGAGAAGTGGAGACACATATAGAAGGAGACACTGGAAAAAGACAAAGCTGGGGGCAGAGGGGCTGAAATAAAGGAAAGGGCACTCGAGGACTAAGATTTGGTCACCAGCTTCTTCGTGAGAGCCCAGGCTGGGGTCAGGAATGGAAACCCTATTTCCTATCTCAGCACTGGCCATGCCAGTAAAGCTGGGTGGGGGCCAGGATGTGGGGTCACTACCTGTTGCTTCAGAACCTGCTGGTACCAGTGTGTCAGGACACCGCACCCTGAGCCAGCCCTGCTCTCGCTGGCCCAGCCCAGGGAACCAGGACGAAACCCCACGAACCTCCGAGGCTCCTGGCCACAATCAGCTTCCCTCTCTGAGCACACCTGCCTCTGTCCAGCCCCTCATCTGACTTCTGCTGCCTTGACTTCCCTCAGGGATGTGGAGCCACATCTTTCCTTATCTTTCCTTTCCTTTGCTGAAAACCCCAGGCCCAACTTACCCCATGGTTCCTCCATGACTCTTTCACCTGCGTTCCTTCTGCCTTCCCTAGCCCCTCCAGGTCCCACGTGTTACAAACAGAGCCACATACTAGCAAGTTACTGAACCTCTCTGAGCTTTAGTTTATACATTCAGAGGGGCCAAATTTTCCCTGCCTTCCCACAGCATTACTATGAAGAAAACTAAATGAGATCATCCACCTGGAAGTTTTTTCTTCTTTTTTTTTTTTTTTTTTTTTTTTTTTTTTGTGAGATGGAGTTTCTTGTTGCCCAGGCTAAAGTGCAATAACACGGTCTCAGCTCACTGTAACCTCTGCCTCCTTGGTGCAAGCGATTCTCCTGCCTCAGCCTCCCAAGTAGCTGGGACCACAGGTGCCCGCCACCACACCCAGCTAATTTTTTGTATTTTTAGTAGAGAGGGGGTTTCACCATCTTGGCCAGGCTGGTCTTGAACTCCTGACCTCAGGCGATTCACCTGCCTTGGCCTCCTGAAGTGTTGGGATTACAGGCACAAGCTATCATGTGCGGCCAGATGTTTTAGAAAGTGTAAAGCATTATATATTATGAATTATTACTGCCACTCATCCTGATCCCTGCACCAACAACTAGACTGCCATCCTCTGTGATGTCCCTGTTCTCTCCTCAGAAAGAAATTCTCTGCATGCACCTCCACGCCGAACCCCAGCTGTGCCAATTCCCTTCAGTCCTCTGCACGAATCCACCATGCATTGCCTCTCTCTTTTGCTATTCCCTCAGACACCAACCACCCACTAGACCATGGGAAGGTCGCAGAAATTCCTCAAGGGCTATAAGTACCCGGTGGTCAACAACACAGGTCCAGGGGTTGCCTGGCCTGGGGTTGAAATCTTGGCTTTGCTGCCTTCTCATGCATGATCTTGAGCTAGTTTCCTAACCTCTCCGAGCCTCAGTGTCCTCATCTGTAGAGTGGAAATAGCAAATCTCCTTTCATACCGTTCTTGTAATGATCAAAAGTGCTAATATAGGCCGGGTGTGGTGGCTCATGCCTGTAATCCCAGCACCTTGGGAGGCCGAGGCGAGCGGATCACTTGAGTCAGGAGTTCAAGACCAGCTTGACCAAAATGGTAAAACCCTGTTTCTACTAAAAATACAAAAAAAAAGAAAATTAGCCAGGTGTGGTGATGGGCACCTGTAGTCCCAGCTACTCTAGAGGCTGAGGCATGAGAGTCACTTGAACCTGAGAGGTGGAAGTTGCAGTGAGCCGAGATTACGCCACTGCACTCCAGCCTTGGAGACAGAGTGGGACTCCATCTCACAAAAAAAATAAAAATAAAAGTTCTAATATATAATCCAAATGTGCTTAAAACAGAGTCTAGCATATAAAAAGGCTCTAAAAATGATATTATTACTATTAAATGTCCAATCATTATCTTGTAGTGGTCCCATAATAAAAATCACCACCACCATTTATATAAACCTCTAGAATTTCCAAAGTACATATCACATACATTATTTAATTTGAGACACACAGACTAGAGGTAGGTGTCATTAACCCCACTTCAGAATTTCAGAAACTGGGGCTCAGGAAGTTTAAGAAACTTACCTGAGGCGACCATACAGTGAGGAGCAACCCCCAGACTCAAAAGGCAGATTCCAGAGCCCCTGCCCGTCCCCTTCGCTGGGTCCTCTCCCGGAGTCTCCCTCCCGCCTCCCTCCTGTTCCCAGGGCCCCCAGCCTCCTACCTGGCAGGAGGAGACCAGCCAGCAGCAGTGCCATCATCCCGTGCCCACCCACACGCCCCATCCAGGGTGCCCGAGACGAGCCCATCTCGGACTGCACGGCCTCCTGACTGATGGCAGCTCGAGGACACCTGGGTCCTTTATGCCAGAGCTGGACATTCCCTGGGCAGGAGTCACTGTGGGGAGAGGAGGAGAGGTGGAGGGGGTGGGTGCCCCGGGGGAAGTTGGTGTGGCCGGGAGGAGCGTGGTAATCAGCCCGGTGCATCTGCCTACTCAGCAGCAGCAGTGGCTGCAGTGTGGGGTACCCATGGCCACGGGGCTCTAACGATCCTGCCACCTGACAGGCCTGGCCCCGGCTCCTCATTGCCTAACCCGGAACCAGGCGCTCTGCCCCACGGCCACCCACTCTGGGGCGGCCACTCTTGCCACGGGACCCAGCTGCCTGGCTCCTTAACTCTCCTGCCTACCGTGGCTTGGCCTGTCTCTCCATCTGCCCTCCACTCGCAGTCGTGGGTGTTTCAGCTTTTTCTTCCACACTTGGGTGCCCGCTCCAGCCCCACCCGCCCAACCCCAATGAGGTCCCATTCACAGCCCCTGATCTGCTCCTTCCTTAGGACCCCATCACTCCACCTCCACTTTCCTCCTTCAAATATGAGTTCTGCCCCCATCCCCCAGGCTCCCCCTCCCACCACTCCCCAAGTACCAGGCCAGCCACATACCTATTACGTGTTCCATCACCTGGGGAACCTTCTCCTTCTCAGAAATGGGGCACCACATTCCCAAAACCAACTCCCTGACCTGTCGCTTCTGGGGACCTCTGGGGACGGCATGGTGGCGGGGGTGGGGGGGTGCTGGGAGCCAGGGCTCAGCCAGGGGAGGGGCCTGGGCTGATGACCTCTGTCAAAGCTGGGCCTTGGTTACTCACAGGGCACTCACAGCCCCTCCCCATGGCTGGTAACCCAGACCTCAAGGGTGAGCAAGAGGCTAAGAAGGCTAATTGGGAAGGTGGTGGCCCCGTAGCCCATCTGCTGGCCCTGGGCTGGATGAGCGAGCAGGAAGCAGCAGCCAGCTCTGGGCAGGTCGAGGAGGGCCAGGCAGGCTCCCGGGTCCTCAAAGGATGAAAGGAGGCCAGGAGAACCGGAGCCCTGCCATCTGCTGAGAGGGTGGTGGCTTCTCCTCCATTGCGTTGGCCTCCCTCCTGCTCTGGCCCCTGCCCCGCCCCAGCCAATTAATTGCTCACTAGTATTGCGGGAGTATCAGTATCGGAGGGAGGTGCCTGGGAGTCCAGCAAGCTGCCCTCTCCTCCCCCCAGGCCTCAGACACCCCTGCTCCCCTCACCCAAACTCACTTCCCAAACCTCATCTCCTCACAAAGGCAGCTCTGTCCCTGGGCCCCTTGGGCTGGTCTCTCCCATTCCCTCTACCTCCTGACCGCCCTTTAAGTTCAGACCAGCAGGAGGATGGAAATGTTTCCTGTCTGTGCTGTCCCATACGGTAGCCACTGGCCACATGGAGCAAGTTTAATCACCAAAGATTTGGAGCTTTAATTTTAATTAATTGTAATGATGTGGTTGGCCACGTGCAGCTAGTGGCTGCCATCTAGTCTTGCTCTTGACTTGCTAGTGACACTCAGAATGGGAGTGGGAGGAAAGAGGGGCTGAGGGAGCTGTGGAGAGAGGAAGGGATAGGACAGGGTCCCCTGAAGGGGGCTAATGCCTTGGGAAAAACAAACAAACAAAAAACACTGGCTTCAGAATGAAGATGACGTGGGTTCAAGTCCCAGCTAACCTCTTGGCTTTGGGCGGCTCTTCAAACCTTTCTGAACTTCCATCTCCTCATCTGTGAAATGGGGGTATTTTAAATAACACTTATTTCGCAAGGTTTTTGTGAACATCAAATGGGAAATTATCAAAAAGGTTAAATGGGACAAGGGGTGCAGTCCCCCAGTAGGAAGCCCAGCAAATGGAGCCCTGCAGGTGCTCCTGTCTTCATCCTTCCACTGGGGGAGACAAATAGGCCAGCTTCACCCCCACAGCCCCAGGCTCCCTTTCCTGAGTCTCCAGCCCAGCCAATGCTAGCAGAGTGTCTTCTGCTCCCTTCCTGCCTTGTATAGAGGTGCAGGCACAAATGTGAGACAGAGATACCATTTAAAGTGATGCTGCTCGGCTGGGCACGGTGGCTTATGCTTGTAATCCCAGCACTATGGGAGGCCGATGCGGGCGGATCACTTGAGGCCAGGAGTTCGAGATCAGCCTGGCCAACATGGCGAAACCCCGTCTCTACCAAAAATACAAAAAAAATTAGCCAGGCGTGGTGGTGGGCGCCTGTAATCCCTGCTACTCGGGAGGCTGAGGCAGGAGAATCACTTGAACCCTGGAGGCAGAGGTTGCAGTGAGCCAAGATTGCACCATTGCACTCCAGCCTGGGTGACAAAAGGGAAACTCCGTCTCAAAAAATAAAGTGATGCTGCTCTTTCCGAACATCATTTCCTCCTGTGGGCCTCCCTAGACTCTCAGGCTTGGCTCCCTGGAGGACCTGGGCAAGGAGGGAGGGGGCACTGGGGTAATGAGGGGAGTGGCAGAGGGCAGGGAGGAGTGGACTAGAAGGTGCTGGGCCGTCCCAGGGTGTGAGGGGAGAAGGCAGCGGAACAGTGGAATCTGTGGCTTCTTCTTTTCCAACACAAACTTCCCCTGACCAGCCAGAGGTAGCAAAGTTTGTCTTGTTTTCTTTGTCACATTCCTCCTGGCTGCCGTCAGAACTTGGCCAAGACAGCCAGGCTGGAGGAGGCACAGTCTCTCCTGGCCTCCTGCCAGGTCTCCAGCCGCCCACGTGGACTGGCGGTGCAGCCACGTCCCTCCTCCTGGCTACTCTCTCCTGTCCACTCCTGTCCACCCCATCCTGCCACCCTGGGCTGCCCAGTTCCTCTACTGTCCTGCCCACCTGTGGGCCCTTGAGCTCTAATCCGCCGTGCTTTTGGTTTTTTACTGAAACCCTGCCTTCTGTGCTAGATTTTACTCTGGTGCTCACCATTAATCTTTCTCTCAGTGCAGGTGGTGGAGACCTAAAGCTAATGGGGCTTAGGAGGGAAGAAAAGGGCATCAGCTGAGTGCCCACACAGGCCAGGGTCACCTTCAGTGAAGCTGCCAGTTTGGTGACGTCCACAGTAGTGCAGGCAGCTCTGCTGTGTTCTACAGCAACAGATTCTGGCCCTGCCCCTGCCCGTGCCCGTGCATTGGACCGGGTGAGAAAGTGTGGGTGGCGTAGACACTCTACACCCGAGAAAATCAAGCTCAAAGCACATGCCTTCCATAGGCAAAAGGTGGGGCTCCCAGCCATGTATCATGAAGCAGGCAGGTCACTGTCCCCTCTGGTCCCCTCCACCCCTCCAGCAGCCCTGTGCTGCTGTGTTTGCTGTGCCAGCCTTGGCCCCCAGTGCACGCTCCTCTGCTGTGTTTTGGAAGTTGCACTGAGAAAGAAGAGAAATTGTTCCTTGCCCTGAGGAGCTGCCATCCAGCTGGGGACACACAGCGTAAGACAGCAGCCTAGAGTGGAGAAGCGGGTAGGCACTTGGCTTCAGGGAGGTGGCAGGACTTTCCCCGGGCCTTGAGGAATGATGAGAGAAGCACAGAGCAGGCAGCCAGACGTGGGGCCTTGTGGTGCTTCAGGTGTATTTAGAACCAGCGGATGGCGTGGGTTGGTGTGGGACATGCATGTGGAGGACAGTGGTATGGGAGAAGGGACAGGCTGCTTGGATCAGGATTGTAGATGACCTACAACACCAGGTTAAAAGAATTTGGATTCTATAGGAATTGCAGTAAATGTGAGAGGGTGCAGGGAACCAAACGGCTTTGAATGATCACGAAGGGGGCTGAAGCATGGCGTGCTGTAGTCCCAGCTACCCAGGAGGTGGAGGTGGGAGGAATCCGAGGCCAGCTGGGGCAACTTGAGGGACTCCATAAAGAGGAGGCTTGGGGCACGAGATCCACCATGTACTGACTGCCTGCTGCAGGCGGACACAGTGCCTGGGTATTTAACATGAGTTGTCTTGTTCAATCTTCACAACAGCCCTACAGGGTAAGTGCTTTTTCCCCCTGTTTCACAGATGAGAAAACTAAGTTGAAATTATTTGTCCAAACCAGCTGCTAACAAGCAAAAATGTTTGAAAAAGATTCAAACCCAGGCCTGTTGGACTTCCAGGCCCACATAGATCCTATTACTCTGCAGCTGACACCATGCTATAAATGAATGGCAGAGGTTCATGGACAGGCTTAAGAGGCTCCCTAAACCCTGTAAGGATGTGTGCAAAATTCCTTATGTATATGAATATTTCTAGAGAGAAGATTTCTGCTGTCAAAGCTGGCCAGGTATGGTGGCTCACGCCTGTAATCCCAGCACTCTGGGAGGCCAAGGCAGGTGGATCACTTGAGCTCAGGAGTTTGAGACCAGCCTGGCCAACATGGCAAAACCATCTCTACTAAAAATACAAAAATTAGCCGGGTGCGGGGGCAGGCACCTGTAATCCCAGCTACTCAGGAGGCTGAGGCAGGAGAATCATTTGAACCGGCGAGGCGGAGGCTGCAGTGAGCCGATTTCATGCCACTGCACTCCAGCCTGGGTGACAGAGTGAGACTCCGTCTCAAAAAAAAAAAAGTGAAGAGTTCCTAAGTGAAGGTTACTGGCTCATGAGGTCCCTCCTCCACAGCTTTCCTCCTCTGGGGGCCTGAGAGTCAGGACAGAAGTTCTAGCACAAGTGTTTCACATAGGGGTCCTTGGTAGACCAGGGCTTAGGCTTGGAAGAAGGAAAATGGAGTGAGCACGAGGAAGAGAAAAAGCCTGGAAAAGCAGCTTATTTTGTGCTGAGGAGAGAAGGAAAGGGGCCACCCAGAGCTGCTCTGGGGCTCCAGGGCCTGTGGGCTCCTCCCCTCCTTTGTTCCTCTCTGCTTGGCTCCAGCGAGAGGCCATTTCCTCTCCTCTCTCTTTCTCCATGGCACCCACGCTTCCCTGTGGACTCACCTCTGCAGCCACAGCAACACCCTCCTCTCCTTGGCGTGGAAGCCAGCGCTCCTGGCCCACTCCCAGTAGGGGATGTCCTCTGAGTTGTTTTTCCTGTGCGGGGAGGGGTGGACTGAGTCATCCACACTCTTCACCTGGTTCCTCTGGTGACCAAGAACATAGAAGGAGAGGGCACATCCCCAATCAGGTGTTCCGAACATCTCTGCGGGGACTGACCCTCCTCAGCCCAGGTGCTCCCATGGGACTGGCTACACTTCTTGACTCAGTTTTAATCTCTCCTTCTCTGCCTTCCTGTTGGGAATACCCCCTCACTTCTGTGGCTTCTTTCCTGTAGTAGACGATCAAGGGTGGAATCTACAGTCCATGGGCCCTGACTTCTTGCCTTCGTCTCAAATAGACTCTGCAGCCAGCCATCTATGCAGCGCCCCAGTGGCTTTGAAATGCAACAGAAACCATCACCCCTGGACCATGGGCTCCATGCCAGTGGGCAAAGCACAGGTGCGTTCACTGAGTTCCCAGCACATAGCTGTGGCAGGCACTTGGTGATATTTTGAAATAAAAGAATGGAAGAATGTGTCCAAGCTGTGCTTCCCCTTTCTACCTTACTCAGGGACATGGTGCCCTCCTCTCTGGTTTCCTGCCCTGTGCCCACCCCCCACCCCCTGCAAGCACAGCTCTTATGTGCAAAGCCCCTGTAGGTGCTGGAGGGATTCACTGATGGCCTTGGCGGAGGTGGCAGTGGGCATGTGCACTTGGCTCTGACACAGCCACTCATGCAACACCCTGTGCAATCTCGGCCTGGGCCTGTGTGTCCTGCCCTCATTCCTCATGGGTGACTGTCTCCCCTGAGCCACTCTTCTCTCTATTGGATTAGCTCCTTTTATTTCCCCCTAGGGATGCAACACATTTTTATGAACAAACAGCAGTGTTCACATGGCTGTGATGAGGACGTACTGGGGTTTCCCCTGGACATGGCATTCATCTGATGCCAGTGGTGGGCAGGACCGTGCTGTATACTTTAAAAAAACCCTAGGGTGTTCTGTTAGGTGCCCCCACTGCAGCATAACGAGTTGCCCTTAGCTGAGAAGCCCTGTCCTGGGGCCTGTCCACACCATCCTCTTCCTGAGATTATTCCTGGTGTGGGCGGTGCTCGGCTCTACCTTTCCTTCCTTCTTCCCTGCTTGGCTCCTGGTCCATGGCTCTCTCCTCTATGGAATGGCCTCCTGGAGCTTGGCTGGGTCAGCCCCCACTTTCCACTCTTCCCATGCCTGTCCTCACCCTCCCAGCAGCCCTGCCAGCCTCCGACGGGCCCAGGGCACTGCAGCCGGCACTTGGGAGTGAAGACTGGGGCCAGAGCCAGGCGCACCTTTGGCCACTGAATCCTGAAAGAGGAGGAATTTGGCAAGTGGGGTTCTGCCCACCAAGCTTTCTTCCCCCCGCTCCCCTGAGTCTTTTCCCTTCACCCCCACTTCCCAAAAGCAGCAGGGAGTCAGCTGTAGGGCAGTCGCTCCCTGGGCCGAAGCCTTCCTGGCTGTTTCCGTCACACCCTGAGGCCACCCCTCTTATCTTGCGAGGAGGGAGGCACACAGAGGCTGTGATTAGCTGTCACAGTAGCAAGACTGTTCCCCTCTCTGTCCTGCGGAGTGAGTGTGAGGGAAAAGAGCTCTCCTTGTCTGCTCATTATGTGCACCTGTTAAATAGTCATTCTTTCCACTAGGGCTATTAGTGGTTTTTATTGTTACTGGTCACCCAGAATTAGAGTCACAGCTTCCTCGACAGGGTGAAAGAGAGCGCCAGGGTGCAGTCTGAACGTGCTCTCGGGAGAGGAGAGGCCGGAAAGACTTGTACCAGGAGGGACTTCTAGGCTGGGCTGGCCCTTGGAGCGCCTGGGAATGGGACTGTGGTGGCCCATCTTCCCTCCTGTGTTCTGGGTTGTCTGAGTGCCTCCGGGTGAGAGTCCTCACAGGAGGGAGCTTCTCCTACTGCCCAGTGTCTCCCTGGCACCTGAGGCATCACCCAGCACACAGAGGTGACCAGGAAACACAGACTCCTGTTAGAGAGGCATCTCGTGTCCCGCTCTGTTCTCTTGGGTCCTGGGACTAGAACATCTTCACCAGAGACCGGCGCTGACTCCTTGGCAGTGTGTAACATTCAGCTCGGTGCCGACGTCTGCCCATGCAGGACTGATCTCCATTCTCTCAATGACCCTAGGAGACAGGAATTATTATTATTATTATTATTATTATTATTATTATTATTATTATTATTATTTTGAGATGGAGTTTCGCTCGTAGCCCAGCCTGGCCAACATGATGAAACCCCGTCTCTACTAAAAATACAAAAATTAGCCGGGTGTGGTGGTGCACACATGTAATCCCAGCTACCCGGGAGGCTGAGACAGGAGAATCACTTGAACCCGGGAGGTAGAGGTTGCAGTGAGCTGAGATCGCACCACTGCACTCCAGCCTGGGCGACAAGAGCGAAACTCTGTCTCAAAAAAACACACACACACACACACGTTTGGACCATCCCTATTTCCTCGCTCTGCCTAAGCTGCGTCACACCATTCATCACTAGGTGACATCCTACTACAGATACCTTGTAAGCATCTGTGTATCTCTCTCCTCCCTCACTGGAAGGCAGCTCCCTGAGGGCAGGGCCCTGATCCCTTTGACTGGCTGTGGTATCCTCTCCTGTAGACCACTGGCTCATGAAATTATCAGGGAGAGAATGTGTAAATGATGATCGTGAGGTCCACTTGGACAAGCAGCCTGTGCCTGAATTTTCCTGAGGGCTTCAGAGCCTGTCTCGCCTCGCCTCACATGCCTGGCTCACCTTAGAACGGTCACCTTGACGGCTAAAGGGACACCTGTGTGCCTTGATGGTGGACCCAGGGAGTGGATGACATTAGTGAGGGAAAGAGCAAAGGCTCTGGAGGAAAACACCTGAGAGGAGTCTCTAGGCTGCCCTCTGGTGGCAGTTCTTGGAACAAGACCTGAGAGCCGCTACCTTGGCTCTCAGCATTGCACGGGAGTTTAGAGGTTATTAAAGAAATCCCCCTAAAGTCCCATCCCAAGGTCACACAGAGAACGAATGGCTAAGTAGCGACAAGAACCCAAGTCACAGTCTGTTGATCTCACTACCATGCTATCCTGCCTGCCCCCATCACAGGAGTTGAGATTATACTGCAAAAGGAAAGGTGGGGATGGGGTGGGGACTGGGGAATTTGGGGAGGGAATTGATTACTGCCTCTGAGGATATTAGGGGGGAAAACCCACAGGAGGTGCATTTGGCTTAATTCAGCAAGTTTTTTGAGTTTTGATTCAGTGCCAGGCACCTGGTGGGCACTTAATTAAAGATTAGCAGGAGAAGAAAAATGTACAGTAAGAGAGCTTAAGTTTATACCAAAGCGAGTCTTGGGTCTAATGATTTTGAAACATGAAATTGGCAGAGAAGTTAGGAATCCCTCCTGGGCTTCTACGTCAGGGTTTGCCCCCTCTCTAATTTAACTTTTTATCAAATTTTATTGTCATGATGTATATGTTTGTCCTCCCTAAACACAGAGCCCCTTGAGGGCAGGGAGGACTGAAACTGCTTCCTGGGACTGTCACCATCACATAGCACCCCACAGAGCAGATGCTCAATGAATGTTGATTGTGTGGGCAAATGGATGAACAAATGAATGGTTTGGAGTTTCCCTGGCCAGAGAGCTTCAAAGCAGGGCAGACAACCATCTCTTCTGTCTAGTCCAAAGACATCATTCGCTGCCCAAGGCTCAGGGCTGTGCCTGGTGCTTTCTCAAGGTAACTTAGCTTGTATAATTAGATTTTACCGTGATACTAGTTCTAGGTTCTTTTTTTTTCATTGGCCAAGCATTTAATAACTATCTGTCATGTCCAAGGTTCTGGGCTATTGTTCTGTAAATCTGTGATCCTATTCTGTTATTTAATTCCGTGACTCTGTGTTGACATAGACGTGACGGTGTCCCTGGGGCATTTACTCCTAGGTGAGCTTAGCCAAGGCAGGTAGAGAGGAACCAGCATTGTCTAATCTGAATGGATAAGCCAGCACAATGGGTTTCCCTGTGCAAATACCTCCATACCATCCAGGCCCACTCAGTCTCCTCCCCAGCTAATGAAGACAGCCTGTTTGAGTGCCAAAATCCACTGCCTATTAATAGGTACTAAAATCTCCAATTGCCTCATGCCTCCCCCTTCTCTTTCCCACTCACCTACCTGCCATGTCAGCCTGGGAAGAATTGGTTTGCAGCCAGGCAGTCCTCCATCCAGTCTTGACTTTGGCACTTGTGATATGACTTGCACAGGTGAGTTACCTCTCTCAGTGTTGGTTCCTCGTCTGTGAAATGGGGCTAATCATTTGCTTTATTGAGTGCCTTCTAGGCTGGGTACTAGGAGAGAAGGAAGGGATACAAAGAAAGACAAGGCACAGTTGCTGTCTTCAAGAAGCTCATACTTTCCAAGGAAATAAAGGCATGGAAACCCACATAGTGCTGTGGAATTAAAGAAGGCAGCATGCTGTAAAGAGCCCCAGCTTTTTCCCTAGACAACATCAGGGGCTCAGTTCCTTTCCCTCCTTTCTCTCTTCTTTAAGAATTTCTCTTAGCTGGACATGGTGGCACATGCCTGTGGTCCCAGCTACTCAGGACGCTGTGGTAGGAGGATCCCTTGAGCCCAGGAGGTCAAGGCTGCAGTGAGCTGTAACTGCACCTCTGCACTGTCCAGCCTGGGCGACAGAGCAAGAACCTGTCTCAAAAAATAAAAAATTAATTAATTAATTAATTTTTTTTCCTCCTAACTAATTCCACGTTATTGGCTTGAGGGTCAGTTTGAGGGGTCCAGACCTCCTTCTTCCTTTCTATCCTTAGCTTCCTGCCACAGTATACCCAGAGATGTATGTGTTTCTCCCCACCCTAGGCACAATTTTTTTTTTTTTTTCTGAGACAGCTCTGTCATCCAAGCTGGAGTGCAGTGGTGCAATCATATCTCACTCCAGCTTCAACCTCTCATGCTCAGGTGATCTTCCTGCTGAGTAGCTGGGACTACAGGCATGCACTACCATGGCCTGGCTAATTGTTTGTTTTTTTTTTTGAGATGGAGTCTCACTCTGTCGTCCAGGCTGGAGTGCAGTGGTGCGACCTCGGCTCACTGCAACGTCCGCCTCCCGGGTTCACGCCATTCTCCTACCTCAGCCTCCCGAGTAGCTGGGACTACAGGCGCCCGCCACCTCTCCCGGCTAATTTTTTTTTGTATTTTTAGTAGAGACGGGGTTTCACCGTGGTCTCGATCTCCTGACCTCGCGATCCGCCCACCTCGGCCTCCCAAAGTGCTGGGATTACAAGCGTGAGCCACTGCGCCTGGCAACCTGGCCAAATGTTAAACATTTTTTTTGTAGAGGTGAGGTCACACTATGTTGCCCACACTGGTATCAAACTCCTGAGCTCAAGCGATCCTCCTGCCTTGGCCTCCCAAAGTGCTAGGATTACAGGTGTGAGCCACTGTGCCTGGCCCTTTTTTAATTTTAATTTTTTTTTTTTTTAGAGATGGGGTCTTGCTGTGTTGCCCAGGCTGGCTTTGACCTCCTGAGCTCAAGCAATCTTCCACCTCAGCCTCTGGAATAGCTGGGATTACAGGTGCGCCCTACCATGTTCAGCTAACTTATTTTGTTTGTTCAGAGACAGGGTCTTGTTATGTTGCCCAGGCCCAGGCACAGTTCTAATAGAGGAGAGAGACTTTCAGATATGAGCTCCTGCACTTGGCACCAAGATCTTCCCTAATTTTCCCCCGACCTGTCTCTCCAACATGTCTCTCTCTTCTTCGGGTTATTTTACTCCAATCATTCCGATCTACTCTTTGTTAATTGGGCCCTTCATTAAATAATTTAGCCTTTCACAAAACACACATTAAGTGTGCATGACGGCCCAGGCACTGTATTCTCTGTCAGGGTTACACAGATGAATAAAGAGCTGGGATGGGCCAGGCGCGGTGGCTTATGCTTGTAATCCCAGCACTTTGGGAAGCCAAGGCTGGTGGATCACGAGGTCGGGAGTTCAAGACCAGCCTGGCCAACATGGTGAAACCCCGTGTCTACTAAAAAAAAACTACAAAAATTAGCCAGGTATGGTGGCGGGTGCCTGTAATCCCAGCCATGTGGGAGGCTGAGGCAGGAGAATTGCTTTAACCCAGGAGGCGGAGGTTGCAGTGAGCCAAGATCGTGCCATTGCACTCTAGCCTGGGTGAAAAGAGCAAGACTCCGTCTCAAAAAAAAAAAAAAAAAAAAAAAGAGCTGGGATGATGTAGTGGTTAAAATCAGTGTTGTTAGCATAGCACAGACCTAAATTGAAATCCCAGTTCTGCCATTTGTCCCCTGTGTGACCTTGCATGGGTCACTGTACCTCTCTAGGCCTGTTTCTGTCTTCTGTGAAATGATCATGATAGCATTGTTATGCAAATTAAACGAGAGCTTAAGCTGTAGAGCATTTACCAACAGTGCCCTATGGCACATGCGCAGTAGAAAGTAGTTGCAATAGTGTGTAGCAAATACTTTGCATCCTAGGTTGGATTCCCCAGAAGCAGGCCCTGAGACAAAGATTCAAGTAAAAGAGATTTATTTAAAACTAATGAGAAGTTGGGCAGGGTGGCTCACGCCTATAATCCCAACACTTTGAGAGGCGGAGGCAGGAGGGTTTCTTGAGCTCAGGAGTTTGAGACCAGGTTGGGCAATATAGTAAGACCCAATCTCTACAAAAAAAATTAGCCAGACGTGGTGGCATGCGCCTGTGATCCAGCTACTTGGGAGGCTTAGGTGGGAGGATCGCTTGGGTCCAGGCTTCAGTGAGCTGTGATCGTGCCACTGTACTCCAGCCTGGGCAACAGAGTGAGAACTGTCTCAAAAATAAATAGGCCAGGCACAGTGGCTCATGCCTGTAATCTCGACACTTTGGGAGGCCAAGGCGGGCAGATCACCTGAGGTCAGGAGTTTGAGACCAGCCTGGCCAACATGGTGAAACCCTGTTTCTACTAAAAATACAAAAATTAGCTGGGCATAGTGGCGCATGCCTGTAATCCCAGCTAGTCAGGAAGCAGAGGCAGGAGAATCGCTTGAACTCAGGAGGCGGAGATTGCAGTGGGCTGAGATCACACCACTGCATTCCAGTCTGGGCAACGAGAGGGAGACTCCGTCTCAAAAATTGAATAAATAAATAAATAAATAAATAAATAAAAGTAATGAGGGGACTGGGCATGATGGCTCACACCTGTAATCCCAGTGCTTTGGGAGGCCAAGGCAGGAAGATTGCTTGAGTCCAGGAGTTCCAGACCAGCCTGGGCAACATGGCAAGACATCATTTCTGCAAGAAATTAAAAAATTAGCCCAGTGAGTGGAGTGCATCTATAGTACCAGCTACTCAGAAGGCTGAGGCAGGAGGACCACTTGAGCCCAGGAGGTTGAGACTGCAATGAGTTATGATTGTGCCACTGCACTTTAGCCTGGGTGACAGAGTGAGACCCTGTCTTAAAAAAAAAAAAAAGTAATGAGGGTGGGGAGGAGTGGAAAGGGAGTGGGAAAGTGGGACCCAAGCACATGAGTGGAACCAAGCTAAGTCTCATGGAGGGCTGGGGTACTGACACCTTCATATTTGTCCACCGTTGGTTAAGGCCTGGGGGCGGGCTGGGGGAGTGGGAGGGTGGTGGCATGTGAGGATGTGGGAGAGAAAAATTTCCAAGTGCTTCCAGCTCTCTGCCCCTGGAAAAGGTCCCGGCAGAGGCATAGGCGGGGCTGTTGGGAGTGATTTAGCACTCTGGGAGTCCGTAGGCACAAAAATGGTAAAGGGGTTCAAGAAGAAATGCGTAGAACACAGTCCCTGCCCCACAAGGTTCATGGCCTGGGAAGGGAAGACAGACATGAATAAATCATTGCCATAGGGTGACTGGGGTGAAGGGCGTTGGGGGTCGGGTGGGGTGCGGGAAGGAGTGGTGTAGGCAGAGGCATCCCTGAGGAGAAATGCAGCTGGTTTGGGAGAGGACGGCCATTCCAGACATAGGGAACAGCACACACGAAGGCTGATGCACATACGCGCAAGGGCTGGTCCCTAGAGCTGGTGGTTCTGGCCACGAGAGCTCATCACCTGGGGGCAGCTTCTGTACCTGCACCCTGTATGAGGCTCCGGGTCTGCCCTTCCTGGTCCATCCTCCAGACACACTGCCTGTTCTTCTCTCAGGTCCCGCTCCGGGCCCTCCTCCCAGAAGCCTCCCCTGACTAGTCCAGCTCACCGTGACTCTTCTGAACTCACGGCGTTTACTGCCAAGGCTATTACGTTGGCGCTCGCTCATGTCATTATTAGGAAATATGCATTTTTACTGTCTTTGATGTTATTTAAACTTGCCTGTAAATTCTGTCTCTCTCAATTTTAAGTTCTGAGTAGAAACTACATATTTTTATTATTTATATTCTTATATTCTCCCATGGCACCCGGCATTCGTGGACACATTGAGGAAGTAAGATAATGAATGAATGAATGGGTGAATCCAGTCCAGCTTGGGGCCTATTTAATTCTACTAGGCTCAACCTACAATTCTTATGTGTTCTCAGATTATTCCTAAACCCTAAGCTTAGTTTTGTTTCATTCGGACCACATGTAGTTTTTTTTTGTTTTTTGTTTTCTGAGACGGGGTCTTGCTCAGTCGCCCAGGCTGCAGTGCAGTGGCACGATCTTGGCTCACCGCAACCTCTGCCTCCCAGGTTCAATGGATTCTCCTGCCTCAGCCTCCTGAGAAGCTGGGATTACAGGCGCCCGCCACCATGCCCAGCTAATTTTTTTGTATTTTTAGTAGAGACAGGGATTCACCATGTTGGTGAGGCTGGTCTCGAACTCCTGACCTCAGGTAATCCACCCGCCTCAGCCTCCCAAAGTGCTAGGATTACAGGTGTGAGCCACCACGCCTGATCTCATGTGTAGTTTTTTGGTTTTTTATTTGTTTGTTTTTTTGAGATGGAGTCTCGCTCTGTCGCCCAGGCTGGAGTGCAGTGGCACGATCTCGGCTCACTGCAAGCTCCACCTCCCAGGTTCACGCCATTCTCCTGTCTCAGCCTCCCGAGTAGCTGGGACTACAGGCGCCGGCCACCATGCCCGGCTAATTTTTTTTGTATTTTTAGTAGAGACTGGGTTTCACCATGTTAGCCAGGATGGTCTCGATCTCCTGACCTCGTGATTCGCCCGCCTTGGCCTCCCGAAGTGCTGGGATTACAGGCGTGAGCCACCGCGCCTGGCCTCTCATATGTAGTTTTTAATGAGAGTTACCACATAAGCAAACTGGGTTCTAAGTGGTGAAATTTAAGGTTATGCAACCTCAGTTTCTTTTAACCCCTCTTCATCCCTAACCCTGGTCGGATACTTGATTGACAGTAGACCATTGGGATCTCTGAGCTCCTGTCCTTCTAACCTGATTGCCTCTTTAAAGGATTTTGAAAAACTATGTCCCTTGCACATTTGTATTGTTTTGAGACACGGTCTCACTCTGTTGCCCAGACTGGAGTGCAGTGGTGCCATCTTGGCTCACTATAGCCTCAACCTCCCAGGGTCAAGCAATCTTCCCACCTCAGCCTCCTGAGTAGCTGGGACTACAGGTGCGGGCCACCACATCTGGCTAATTTCTTAAATTTTCTGTAGAAACAGTTTTGCCATGTTGCCTAGGCTGGTCTCAAACTCCTGGCCACAAGCAATCCACCCGATTCGGCCTCCCGAAGTGCTGGTATTACAGGCATGAGCCACCTTGCCCAGCCCCTTGCACATTTTTAAGTCAACATTTAACATTTGTAATAATTTAATAGCATTCCAAAGGGTATGCTTTTCAAGGAATTGCAAATACATGTTAAAAATCACATCACTATTTATGTATTTATTTATTTATTTATTATTTTTGAGATGGAGTCTCACTCTGTCTCCCAGGCTGGAGTGCAGTGGTGCGATCTCGGCTCACTGCAACCTCTGCCTCCCAGGTTCAAGCAATTCTCATGCCCTAGCTTCCCGAGTAGCTGGGATGCCCAGCTAAGTTTTTTGTATTTTTAGTAGAGACAGAGTTTCACCATTGTCCAGGCTGGTCTTGAATTGCTGACCTCAAGTGATCTGCCTACCTCAGCCTCCCAAATGCTGGGATTACAGGCGTGAGCCACCATGCCTGGCCATGTCAGTTTTTAAAATTAAAAACAATTTGTTGTGCTCAGTCTGTCGGAGACTGCACGTCACTCTAAGTGTAGCAAATTGAATATAATGCCATAGAACTTTCATATCTGTTAGCATCCTTTTAAAAAATACGTGAACAAGCCCTTGAACAAGTGTTAGAAACAGTTATTCTATTTGTATTGCAATTATTGCAGTTAACCAAAACTAGGAATATTCACAAGGATTAAACATAAAAAGTTGGTCAGGCGCGGTGGCTCGTGCCTGTAATCTCAGCACTTTGGGAGGCCAAGATGGGCCGATCACTTGAGCTCCGGAGTTTGAGACAAGCCCGGGCAACACGGTAAAACCCCATCTCTAAAAACAAAACAAAACTAAACTAAACAAATACAAAAAATTAGTCAGGGGTGGTGCACCTGTAGTCTCAGCTACGCCAGAGGCTGAGATAGGAGGATTGCTTGAGCCCAGGAGGTTGAAGCTATACGAGCCATGATCGTGCCACTGCACTCCAGCCTGGATGACAGATGGAGACCCTGTCTCAAACAAACACACAAAAAGACATGAAAAGTAACTTATTGAAAATGCATCTCTTGGCCAGGCGTGGTGGTTTACACCTGTAATCCTAGCACTTTGGGAGGCCAGGGCAAGCAGATCCCATGAGATCAGGAATTCGAGACCAGCCTGGCCAACATGGCAAAATCCCATCTCTACTAAAAATAGAAAACTTATCTGGGTGTGGTGGCACACACCTGTAATCCCAGCTACTCGGGAGGTTGAGGCAGGAGAATCACTTGAATCCAGGAGGCGAAGGTTGCAGTGAGCTGATATCTGTCGTGCCACTGCACTCCAGCCTGGGCGACAGAGAGATAATACGTCTCAAAAAAAAAAAAAAAGAAAAGAAAGAAAATGAATCTCTTAATGAGATGGGAAAGGTTGATTTGTTTCCTATTGACCTTTGGCGGCTCTGGGAAGGGCACTCTGGTCAGGCCCAGGACAAGCAGGAGATTCATTCTAGCGGGGGGCACATATTAATCTGGAAACTGATTCCCTTAAAACTGGTCCTGCCGACACACCCCTGGGAAGGTTTGCATATACCACTAGGGGTATCCAAGCCATAGGCCATTAAACAGAGATGAAACTTGCCTTCCCATTCTTTAATATAGTGTTCTCAGAAAGGGAGAAATGTGGGCCTGAATGTTATTGTGACTTGCATAGTGACATTTCCAACCCTCCTCCTGCTAAGCCCCAGAGCCTTACATGCTGGACATGGGCAAGATAGGAACTCAAGTTACTTCCAGGTCTCCGTAAGTTTAGGACTGTGAAGAGGGCATCCTAATAGTCAAAAACATAAGTGTTGGCCGGGCACGGTGGCTCACGCCTGTAATCCCAGCCCTTTGGGAGGCCGAGGTGGGCAGATCACGATGTCAGGAGTTCGAGACCAGCCTGGCCAACATGGTGAAACCCCATCTCTACTAAAATACAAAAATTAGCCGGGCATGGTGGTGCGCACCTGTAATCCCAGCTACTCAGAAGGCTGAGGCAGGAGAATGGCTTGAACCCGGGAGGCGGAGGTTGCAGTGAGCCGAGATCGTGCCATTGCACTCCAGCCTGGGCATAGAGTGAGACTCCGTCTAAAAAAAAAAGAAAGAAAAAGAAGAAAGAGGCCAGGCGCTGTGGCTCACGCGTGTAATCCCAGCACTTTGGGAGGCCCAGGCGGGCAGATCACGAGGTCAGGAGATCGAGACCACTCTGGCTAACACGGTGAAACCCCGCCTCTACTAAAAAATACAAAAAATTAGCCTGGCGTGGTGGCGGGCGCCTGTAGTCCCAGCTACTCGGGAGGCTGAGGCAGAATAGCGTGAACCCGGGAGGCGGAGCTTGCAGTGAGCCGAGATCGTGCCACTGTACTCCAGCCTGGGCGACAGAGCGAGACTTCGTCTCAAAAAAAGAAAAAAACAAATAAATAAAAATAAATAAAAAAGACCCTAAGTGTTAGTTAAAGCAGCAGCCTAGATTCAGAATTAAGAAAACATGATTTTTATTTTTCCGTTTCATGGAAGCAGCAGCGTCTACTGATAGTTCCTGCCGCCGGCCACCAGGTGGCAGAAGGGAACACAGTACCATAGCCCTGCCCCAGCGATCGCGCGGGCAGGAAGACCGGGTGGGAGGTAGGTGGGGCCGAGGCCTGGAGGCGAGGTAGGAGAGTAGGCTTAGGCTGTCAGAGGAAAAAACGGGCGATGTGAGGACTAAGTATGGATCTCAGGAGGGGACAGGAAATATTGAGAACACCACCTTACGGGTTCAGAATAAAACCGAGGGAATGAGGAAGAGGTTTAAGGAGATAGGCTAAATTGGGAAGAATTCACGGGGAATCAGAGGGTGGAGAGGGCGTGGGTGCCTGGAGATGCCTGGGAACAGAACGGCTGAGGGGACTCCATTATCTGTACTCTTCCCGGGGTGGGTCTAGGTCTGGCTCCTCCTGAGGTCGGTTGTCCACCTCAGGGGCAGGAGGCCAGGGGTTTTCTGGGGGCTGGGGTCCTGCCGGCCAAGGGTCGTCAGGCCGGGGAGGTTGAGGAGGATCCGTTCTAGGCGGTTCAGGGGGCCAGACTCCAGTTTCAGGCAGGTCTCTCCAGGGACGACTGGGGCGGGTAGGCGGAGGATCTTCAAAGAGAGGGGGTGCCCCTGGCCAAGGGTCACCGGGGACTGGGGGGCCCTGAGGCAATGTTGGGGAGCCTGCCTCCTCTCGGTCCTCTGCGGGTGGGTGAGAGGGGTGGCCCTCGCTGCCTGAGATGCCTGTAAAGGAGGAAGGAGAAAGGTAAGAGGTGGTGAGGGCTTCTCTCCCCAGCCCCACCCAGCCCCAGCCCCAGGAGGAGGAGCCTGTCTGGACGGACGCAGCCTGAACTGACCCACAAACAGACCAAAAAAGTCACTCTCAAAGAGCTCTCGGTAGGTTTGTAAATACTTAACTGATGGTAAAATGTCATGAACCCCTACCCCCGATGGATCTGAACCGTTCACTTGACCCACTTTAAACTGACCAGACTTCTCCAAATAAGCTCCATCCACCCCTGGTTGGGGTACCCCACTAGCTTTGTCCTCAGGCCAACCTGCAACCCAAAGTGGGTTACACCTTGGCCCCCAGGCACACAGACCCCAGCTTTACAAGGACCCCAGCTCCTTAACACAGATCCCAGCTCCGAGGAAACTCATCCCCCCACGTTAATCCTGACCGACTTTGCCACATGGAGCCAGCAAACCATTTCTGGTGAGAGCCAAATGCACCTTCTGCACCATGTCCCCCACCCAATGTGTCCAGAAAGCCATTTCTGGTGAGCCAGATGCACCTTCTGCGTCCCCTGAATTCCTGTCCCCAACCCCATGCGTCCAGTTCACCTCCGCCATCTTGAGTATCCCTCATCACCCCAAACTGCAGTCCCTGCCTCTGTTCCCACCTCACCTCTGGTGTGCAGGCAAAGGACCAGGATCCCCAGGAGCTTCCAGTTGAGGATCATGGCTATGTACTGGCCCCCAAAGCTGGGGTGGGCTGAGTCTGGGTGCCTGGGAACCCCAAGAGGCTTTATAGGGGAGGAGTGGAGGAGGGGCCAGCCCAGTGGCACAGGAATACCATCAGAACAGAACTGGTCAAACCCGTTGGGAAGGCCTGGGCTGATGTGTCACCCCTGAAGGTGGCGTCCCTTATTTTAGTCCTCCAGCCCAGGACCCAGCTGCCTGCTCTCCCTATCATGACCCAGAGCCTGCGTCACCCCACCCTGGTTTTCACACCCTCCATCCACACCCTGGAGCAGTCAATACCCACTTGGCATCTCCGTAATCACAGAGATGTCCACCTTCATCCCTTGCAACTATTGGAAGCCAAAGAATGGGAGCAAACCACGCGATGGGCGTTGGGAAGCACCGTAATTACAGGGTTGGGAGGCAGGATGCCTGCGCTGGGGGAGGAGGTGCCTTTCAAACCTGGGATGCAGCTGGGACAGTGTCAGCTACTACCCCAGCCTCCCCACTCACCCCCGCACTGAAAGCTCCCCGTGGGGCTTCGTGCTTTCCTGGGAACTTCCCTTCCCCCATGGGATCCAGGCATCCTGCTCTCCACCATGTCCTTCTTCAGGCATGCAGGGGACCTCCAAGCAATGATATCCAAGGAATTCCATCTGGCAGCCACCCAGGATGACTGCAGAAAAGGAAGGACACAGGAGGATATCCTGGTTCCCTCTTCCCACCCAGAGCTGTTTGCATCAGTCCTGCCAATGGCTCCGGAAGAAGCTGCCAGGCTCCAGCAACCTCAGCCCCTTCCTCCTCCCTCAGGAATCCACCTATCCGCCTCTAGGACCTTGGCTCTAACTCTATTGTACTCGTCTCCTCCCTCCCATTCTCCTTTTGGTCTCAGCTCCTTGATCTAAGCCTCCCAGAGAGACCCTAGAACGTTTCCCTCAAGGACCTTTCTGCCTGGAAGTCTGTTAGCCTTTCAGAAGTAACATGTCCAAAATAAAATTTGATTCCTCCCAGGTTGTTCCCTGCCTGGTCCGCTACCCCACAGTAAGGAACACCTTATTATGCAATGGCGTGATCTCATCTGTTCCCTCCAGGGCTCACGCAGAAACCTTCGTTACACTCCTCCACCATCCACCTGCAAGCCCCTCCACACCCTGTCCAAACCCAGCCCATCATCCTGAGCCACCATCTCCCCTGAGCCTCCCCAACACCCTTCTAATTGGCCCCCTTGCTCCCACTGTTTATCCCTCCCCCTCACACAAAGCCTGTCCTCCACCAGCAAAAGAGGTCTTAAAATATACATCACGCGGGCCTGGTGTGGTGGCTTGCGCCTGTAATCCCAGCACTTTGGGAGGCCGAAGCGGGCGGATCACCTGAGGTCGGGAGTTCAAGACCAGCCTGACCAACATGGAGAAACCCCGTCTCTACTAAAAATACAAAAATATTAGCCGGACATGGTGGCACATGCCTGTAATCCCAGCTACTCAAGAGGCTGAGGCAGGAAAATCGCTTGAACCCAGGAGGCAGAGGTTGTGGTGAGCTGAGATCACACCATTGCACTCCAGCCTGGGCAACGAGTGAAATTCCGTCTCAAAAAAAAAAAAACATATATAAAAAAACATATATATATATATCAGGCCAGGCGTAGTGGCTCATGCCAGCACTTTGGGAAGCTGACACAGGAGGACCACTTGAGCTCAGGAGTTGTGTGCGCTGCTTCACCTGCAGCAAGACTGTGGGCAACACGTGGGAGGCCTACCTGGGGCCGCTGCAGTCCAAGTACGCTGATGGGGACGCCCTGGGCCTGAAGCGCCACAGCCGCTGCCTGCCGCATGCTGCTGGCCCACGTGGACCTGATGCGGAAACTGCTCAATTATGCCCTCCTGGGGAAGTGAGTTAGACCCACCCATCTGCTGCGCTGGGTGCCGGGAGCAATCGCTGACCACAGTGCGTGGATATGTGTACCTCACTCTGGAAGGGACCATCCAGTAAGTCCCTCAGGAAAAAAAATGTACACCAAATCATGTTGTGTCTTCCCTTTGTTTGGGGAGTGAGGACAGGTTCTCGCTCTCTTAGGCTGGGGTGCAGTGGTGCGATCACAGCTCATTGCAGCCTCAACCTCTTGGGCTCAAACAATCCTCCCAACTCAGCCTCTGGAGTAACTAGGACCATGGGTGCACGCCACCATGCCCTCCAATGTTTTTTATTTTTATTTTTTATATAGATGGAGTCTCCCTATGTTGGCTGGTCTCAAACTCCTGGGCTCAAGCGATCCGCTCACCTCGGCCTCCCAAAAAAGTGCTGGGATTCAGCTACTCCGGAGGCTGAGGCAGGAGAATTGCTTGAACCTGGGAGGTAGAGGTTGCAGTGAGCTGAGATTGTGCCACTGCACTCCAGCCTGGCAACAAGAGCAAAACTGTCTCAAAAAAAAAAAAGTGCTGGGATTACAGGCGGGAGCCACAACACCGGGCCCCCTTCCCTGGTTTTTTTTTTTTTTTCTTCTTCTTTTTTTGAGGCTGAGTCTCGCTCTGTCACCCAGGCTGGAGTGCAGTGGCATGATCACGGCTCACTGCAACCTCCACCTCCCGTGTCCAAGCAATTCTCCTGTGTCAGCCTCCTGAGTAGCTGGGACTACAGGCTCACACCACCACACCCGGCTAATTTTTTGTATTTTAGTAGAGACGAAGTTTCACCATGTTGCCCAGGCTGGTCTCAAACTCCTGAGCTCAGGTGATCCGCCTGCCTCAGCCTCCCAAAGTGTCAGGATTACAGGCGTGAGCCACCACACCTGGCTTTCTTCCCCGTTTTTAAAGAAGTACTCCAATGGCTATTGACTTACAGTAAAATCCAAACTTGGCCACATCTCGGCCTCGCAGCAGCATCCTTGAGCATTCTCTACAGAGACCTCCTGGCCTCCACAGGAGCCCACTTCAGGCAGGCCTCTGCACAAGGTCCCCCGCTCAGAGGCCTCTCCCCAGAGTCAGTTTCTATATCATCGTACTGTACTTTCTCTTCAAGCACTTATTTGAAACGATCTCGTTCATCTGTTTAGGTCCCATCTGCTCGCTCTCTCTCCCACTAGGATGTAGGCTCTCAGGGTCCAAGTGGCCCCCAGGCTAATACAGTGCCTGGCTCTGACATTCCTGTTGAACGAGTGAATGTTTCATCTTCCCCACTCCTAGCATTTATCATCTTCCAGAAGAAAAGAGTTTTAAAACAAAAGTTGAGAATAAAGAAAAGCAGGAGCTTCCCAAACATTTCCAAAGCTGCCTAGAAAAAGGATTTGAAAAGGTGCCACCCATAGAGAGAGCTATGGGTGGGACCACTTCTCACAATCTCCAAGAGAGATGGCTGCAGGGAGAATTCCCACAGATTCCCAGAAATAACATTTCCAAACAATGGCTCCTTCTGTAGTCGTCTTTATTTAGAGCAGAATTCAGACTCAGCTGGTATCCCCCAGGGCAACCCCAGGATGGGGAAGGGCTGGTCTGTCCCCACCCACTTCTCCAGGATCCTCCCAGCCCCCAGGCTGGCTTTCCCTCCAACTGTCAGCTGCTTAGCTGCTCATCTGGGGATTGGAGCTGGAGCATCTGTCAAGGTTGTCTCCTTGACAAACAGCTTCCTCTTTGGAAATGGCTTCACTCAGGTCCTGCAGGTCATCGAGCAGGACAGAGAGGGACCCTGGGAAGGAAGACAGCAGATGAGCACCAGACAAGGGAAGGTGCTCGTGGTTACAGAGGAAACAGGGCTGGCACAGGAAATGAGGAATGGGAGAGAGGAGGCTCTTTGGTCCAAGCTGGGCATCGCTAAAAGAGGCTAAGGGCCTCGAAGGACCGCAGAGAACAACACTCATCATGCGAGAGTCTGAAGAGGAGATTCCTGAAGTGCGCGCATTTGTCCCTTGTCCCTTTGTGCTTGGCCCAAGACCTTTTATGGACTCCCTGGTGGGCACTGCTGCTGCTACAGGTGCAGAAGCTGAACACTCTGGAGGCCTGGGGCTGGACACCACAGATTTCTTCTTATCCAGTAGGGAAGGAAGAACTGTCAACAGTCGCTGCTGCTTGTAACGGGAGAGGAGACCTTCCTGCTGCAAGGTGGCCTGGGAAGGAGAGGGTTAAACCTAGCCCGGATAGAGCCTCCCTCACCATCCTCTTTCCACACCTCTAGCCCAGGAACCAGCCCAGGATGGGCCCTAGTGTCTGCCTGTCTGCCCTCCTGTCTCCTACCAGCATGAGGTTCTTATCCCTCTCTAGCTCCTGCAAGCGCCGGGCCAGTCGCTGCCCCTCCTCCTTCCGGGCCTCCTCCTGCAGACGCCTGAGTTCCTGGCTCCGCTCCTTTTCCTGGGCGGCTCTGCGCTGAATCTGGCGCAAGGAGACCACTACAGAGAGGCCAAGGCACAGAGGAGGCAGGTGTGAGTCAGGCCAGAGGCAGCCAGGCACCATGAAGACAGGAACAAACGCTGGGTCACCAACTCTGTGGCTTGGGGAGGCTGTTCTGCTCTGTGGATCTGTCTCTTCTGTACAGTTGGAGGGGTGGGCTGATGTTCTAGGAGCCTGGGAATCTGAACCTAAGTATCTTCCTCATCCCCGAACCATCCTGGAGTTCCTCAGGGGAAATCTGAACATGAACTGGGTTAGATTTTGTGCAATTAGTGTTCACTGTCTTAAAGTGTGATGATTGCAGCTATATAGGAGAATTTACTGGCTTTGGGAGATGCGGCTGAACAACTTATGTTTACAACTTACTTAGGCGTGGTGGCTCACGCCTATAATCCCAGCACTTTGGGATGCCAAGGCGGGCGGATCACGAGGTCAGGAGCTCGAGACCATCCTGGCCAACATGGTGTAATCCCGTCTCTACTGAAAATACAAAAACTAGCTGGGCATGGTGGTGGGCGCCTGTAATCCCAGCTACTTGGGAGGCTGAGCCAGGAGAATGGCTTGAACCCGGGAGGCAGAGGTCACAGTGAGCCAAGATCATGCCACTGCACTCCAGCTGGTGACAGAGGAAGACTCTGTCTCAAACAACAACAACAACAACAAAACATTAAATGATTACAACTTAAAGTGATTCAAAAGATGTACAAATATGTGTGTATATAGATAAGAGACCAAATGTGGCAAATGTTAACTGCTATATTTAGTTAGAGAAGATACATTCATTACACAATTCTTTTTTTGACACATGGTCTTTCTCTATCACCCAGGCTTGAGTGCAGTGGCACAATCTTGGCTCACTGCAGCCTCGACCTCCCGGGTTCATGTAATCTTCCCACATCAGCCTCACAAGTAAGCTTGGGGTACAGGTGCCCACCACCAGGCCTAGCTAATTTTTGTATTTTTAGTCGAGACAGGGTTTCGCCATGTTGTCCAGGCTGGCCTCAAACTCCTGACCTCAGGTGATCCACCCACCTCGGCCTCCCAAAGTGCTTGGATTACAGGCATAAGCCACCGCGACCGGCCATATGCTGTTTCTTAATCTGGTGCTGGCTACATGGGTGTGTTCACGATGTGATAATTCATCTGTGCTACTCCTGGATACCTTCATTACTTCCTGTAATGAAGCTTTGAACACACTTTGAGGGGAAAATAATAACCTTATGTCTTAACACTTCCTTCTTCCTGGAAGGCCCTATCCACCCTGGCAAGGCTCACCGGCCTTGGCATGCTCCCTCCGAGCCTCGTTCAGCCTCCTCTCTGTGTCTGAGAGTTGCTCCCGCAGCCGAGTTTCCACTTCAGCCACCTTTTCTTGCAGGGCTGGGGTGAAAGTGCAGACGGGGCATATCAGCAGGAGCTTTGATTCGCAGTTCCCACCCCACCCTCCAAGGGAAGCACCCATTTCCCTCTCGACACCTTGCCCGTAGAGTTCCTGCTGCTGGGTCAGCTCCTGCCGCAGACTGGCAGCCTCCTCTGTGCTCTCCTGCTGGCCCTGGCGTGCTACCTCCAGCTGCAGCCCCAAGCTAGCCAGGGACTCCTGGGTCTGCTGCAGCTCCTGCTCCAGCTGCTGGGCCACCTTGCTCAGCTGCTGCCGCTCTGCCTCCCCTAAAAGGAGGGGGTGCTGGGTCAGGCCTCTCCCAGCACCCTAGACACTGGGTTTTTCCTCATCCTCTCCACCCTCTGGCAACCAGGTGTACCTTGCTCCCGAGCCCGGCCCACCTCCTGCTGGATGAGGCGGGCACTCAGCTGCAGTTCTGCATCCAGGCGGTTCCGTTCTTCCCGCAGCTGCTGCAACTCAAGGCTCACATCTGTGACCGGTGGTGGTAGGGGACAGCTGGGACGGGGAAGAGAAAGAGTCAGGAGAAATCACCCAGCTGCCTGATCCCAAAGCCCCCATCCCACCTCAGTCCTCATGGTTTTGGGGGTCCCAGCAGCCAATGCCCTAAAGCCCCATCCACCTCAAAGTGCCCAAACTTCACCTCTCCTGGCGCAGCTGAGCAAGGGCAAGCTTTCGAGCAATCAGGCCTGGGAGGGAAAAAGCAGGGAGAAAAAGAGATGAAGTTTGCATGGGAGAAAGTGGAGACAGGGAGTAAGGGAAAAAGAGATGCAAGGACTGGTGAAAGGAGGAAGGTGAATGGATGTGGGATCAGAGAGAGCTGGGTCAGGAAGAAGAAAGTCCGAGCTGGTGGGGTGGGGGCAGGACGTGGCTCGCAGTTGTCCTACGCACCCCGAATGGTGTGGACCTTGCGGACAGCATAGCTGAGTCGGTTGTTGAGGCTGGGAAGCTGGGCGGCAGCCCCTTCCACCTTAGCCATGGTGGTCTCGAGCCAGATCTGAGAGCTGGAGAGGGCACAAGTCACTGATCCTCCATGCCTCCCCTCATTCCCAAAGGACTTGCTGTGCCTTGTATAGACAACTCCCTCTAATCCTGTCCCATTATACAAGTACAGAACGCACAGCTTCCGTCAATTATCTAAAGGACCCTTGCCCCAAGAATGCATTAAATGACTATCTTTTTAAGCAACCTGTTAAGCTTATTTCTCACAACTGTGTTTTGCTCACTATCGTGTATCAAAGAGTAAAGTTATCCTCTCTGGTCAGGGGCAGTGGCTCCTGCCTGTAATCCCAGCACTTTGGGAGGCCGAGGCGGGCGGATCACCTGAAGTCAGGAATTGGAGACTAGCCTGGCCAACATGGTGAAACTCTCTCTACTTAAAAACACAAAAATTAGCCGGGCATGGTGGCTCATGCCTGTAATCCCAGCTACTCCAGAGGCTGAGGCACGAGAATCACTTGAACCTAGGAGGTGGAGGTTCCAGTGAGCCAAGATCGCACCCCTGCCCTCAAGACTGGGTGACAGAGCGAGACTCCATCTCAAAAAAACAAAAGAAAACAAAGTTATCCTCTCCAAGCCCAGGAGTGTCGATCTAGCACCAATGACGGGCAGGTCCACATGCTTTACCAGCTGGCTGTGCCAGAAGTAGGACCAACCTGGCTCATGAAAACTGAGCAGCTTAAACAGGCCCCAGGAGGAGGCCAAGGAGTGTCTGGGGCCGGGCTGGGGTTTCCTCAGGAGAGTCCAGGTCTGCACCCACAGAAAAACACATGATGATGAAGGCTTGCAGCTGCATCCCCAGCAGCACAGCAAAGTTCACTTTGATCTGGAAATTGTTCCAGTAGATGCTTCCAACACCTACCACAGTTCTTATTAAAGTCTCCAATTACCTAGAGACAATCTAATAAACCCAGCAACAATCAGAGTTTGGACTACTTTAAGCCTGGAGGACTTTCGGCAAATGCATCATTACACAGACCATTTCTGTGATCGCCTGGTACCAAAGTCAAACCCTGTCCACAGTGCATCTTTCTGTTCTCCTGGAGGTAGGGGGCACCCGCGATGGATTGAACCCGGGTGGTAGGTCATTATAACTAGTTTAATTCCGTGCAAGTTTGAAATTTTTCATAATTTTTAAAGCTACATTAGTCCCTAAGGTACAAATCCAAGAGAAGGAAGTGGTGGGCAAGGACTCATCCTGCATCTTAATTTCGCTAAACCAAAAATTATCTTTATCTAAATTAACCCATCAAGAAGAGCCTCACGATAACAATAAACATTTACAAGCCAGAGACTGTGCTAAGAACTACCTGCCGGCCGGGCACGGTGGCTCAAGCCTGTAATCCCAGCACTTTGGGAGGCCGAGGCGGGCGGATCACGAGGTCAGAAGTTTGAGACCAGCCTGGCCAACACAGTGAAACCCTGTCTCTACTAAAAATACAAAAAAGTAGCCGGGTGTGGTGGTGTGCACCTGTAATCCCAGCTACTCAGGAGGCTGAGGCAGGAAAATCGTGTGAACCCGGGAGGCAGAGGTTGCAGTGAGCTGAGATCGTGCCATTGCACTCCAGCCTGGGTGACAGTGCGAGACTCTGTCTCAAAAAAAAAAAAAAAAAAAAAGAACTACCTGCCTTGGGTACCTCAGTGTCTAAGGCTGAGGGGAAGTCATCACCAGCACAAAGAAGCTTTGCTGTTTTCTTAGAGGTTTTTCTGAAGGTCATACAACAGTTGTAGGTAATGAAACAACTAGGAAGTTGGTAGGAGAGACAAAGGCTGGCAATTGATTTAGAAGGAAACTAACTGGCTTACATTTTAGATGGAATAGTAAGCAAGTTAAGTATATAATAAGCAAGTAAGTATATAGCTTTAAATAAATAGACTAGGCCAGGTGCAGTGGCTCACACCTATAATTCCAGCACTTTGGGAGGCTGAGGTGGGTGGATCACCTGAGGTCAGGAGTTCAAGACCAGCCTGGCCAACATGGTGAAACCCCGTCCCTACTAAAAATGCAAAAATTAGCCGGGCGTAGTGGAGGACACTGGTGGAGGATGCCTGTAATCCAGCTACTCGGGAGGTTGAGGCAGGAGAATCACTTGAACCAGGGAGGTGAGGTTGCAGTGAGCCAAGATTGCGCCATTGCACTCCAGCCTGGGTGACAGAGCGAGACTTTGTCTCAAAATAAATAAATAAATAGACTAAATTTTTCTCCAGTGAAACGGATTGCCCGTAAAATTTTAGAAAAAAAAAGGAAGATGAAGTGTCTACACTCTCCATCCTTGAACAATACTGCAAGTGAAGATCCTCCCGGGTGCTCTATTTAGCTCAACCCATTACTAGACTGAACTGCAGGAGGAAGCAAGGCCTCACCTCCAGCCAAACATGCAACGGGAAATTCATAACAAGCAATCAGGTATGAATGCAGAAGGGGCTTCCCCAGGAAAAGAAACGAACACAGGAACATTGATAGAGCTAAATCTGCCCAGCCCTGTAGCCTCCAGTGGCCACTTTCCAGCCCCTCTTGCCTGAGGATCCTCAGCAACAAGGTGCCCAGGAACCTGAGGTGGCAGAAACACTACTCCACCCACCCCTCCATCCCTGATACCTGCTGACAGCATTGACCACAAGCCTCAGCTGCTCCTCAGCTGAGGCTGTCTGCTGCTGCCACCGACGCCTGGCCTCCTGAGCACGGCTCAGCTCCAACTGCAGGCCCTGGGGAGGATGCAGCAAAGGACAGGGTCCCTCCCTAAGTCCTGGCTGCAGCCCCGGAACAGGGGCTCCCTTGCCCTCCCCGAGTCTCTAGTAGGCTGACACCAACCTTGGCACCCATACGCTCCACCTCCACCTCTGCGGCTTTGTCCTGCAGGGATCGCTGCAGGATGGCCTGCTCCTGGCTCTGGGATGTCACTTTTTCCTGGAGTGAGGCCACCTGGGGGAGGAGAGAGAGCTGGGCAGGGCCCTCTAGAGCTAAAAGATGAGGGGGGCACTGGAAGCAAAGTGGCAGGTGCAGAGATCTCTGTAAGAATGCCATGCAGGGGCTGGGGGGAGGGGGGGCGGGCGACGGGGGTGGGTCGCAGCACGGTGGCTCACACCTATAATCCCAGCACTTTGGGAGGCCGAGGCAGATGGATCACTTGAGGTCAGGGGTTCAAGATCAGCCTGGCCAACATGGTGAAAGCCTGTCTCTACTAAAAATACAAAAATTAGCTGAGCGTGATGGCATGTGCCTGTAATCCCAGCTACTCGGGAGGCTGAGGCAGGAGAATCACTTGAACCTGGGAGGCGGAGGTTGCAGTGAGCTGAGATCAGGCCACTGCACTCCAGCAGGGGTGACAAGAACAAGACTCCTTCTCAAAAAAAAAAAAGAAAAGAAAAGAAAAGAAAAAGAATGAATGCCACGCAGGGAGACAGAAGCTTAGGTTCTGAGGATGGAATCTGAACCCAGTGTTCCATGTTCCACATTCCATGTGCCCACTCGAAGATGGGAATAGCCCTTGACCCACCCCACAAGACCCACCAACTGACCATGCCACTCTCCTCAGATGCTGTCACCTCCTCAGAGAGGCTGTCTCTGAGCATCCTACCTGAGGCTGACTCACCCCACAGTCTCTCCGTCACATTATCTTTTGAATTTTTCTTACTACTTTCTTTTTTTTTGAGAAAAGATCTCGCTTTGTCACCCAGGCTAGAGTGCAGTGATGGGATCACAGTTCACTGTGGCCTCGCCTCGACCTCCCAGCCTCAGGTGATCCTCCCACCTCATCCTCCAGAGTAGCTGGGACTACAGGAATGAGCCACTATGCCCGGCTAATTTTTTGTATTTTTAGTAGAGACGGGATTTCACATGTTGCCCAGGCTGGTCTCGAACTCCTGACCTCCAGTGATCCACCTGCCTCGGTCTCCCAAACTGTTGGCATTACTTGACTGGGCACGGTGGCTCACACCTGTAATCCCATCACTTTGGGAGGCTGAGGCAGGTGAATCACCTGAGGTCAGGAGTTCAAGACCAAAGTGATCGCATTATAGGTGTGAGCCACTGCACCCGGCTTCAATCTTTCTATCGCACATATAATTACCCAACATTATCTGTTTACTTGCGTGTTCTGTGTCTCTGTTCTAGAATGCAAGCTCCACATTTTAGTTTTGTTCAGGGCTGTGTGCCCAGCATGTGGCAACCACTCAAACACTGGTTGAATGGATGCCACCTTCATGGAAGGAGCAAGGTGCTGGGAGGGAATACCGGGAGAAAAGAGAGTGCAGTGACCTGTCCCTTCAGCTGCTTAACAGAGTCACTGTGTTCCAGCTCCTGGGCCTTTAGCTGCACCATGAGGGCAAACACCTTCTCCCGCCAGCGGTTCAGCAGGGACTGGCACTTCCTGGTAAACTCAGGCTCCAGGGAATCTGAAGGTTGAACCTGAGGGAGAAGGAGTGGGAGAAAAGTGTGGGCTCCTGGGGGAGGAGAGGAAGGAGGTGGCATCTTTGTTTCTCCTCTGTCCTGCCTGGGCAACATGAGCTACAGCAAGAGGAGTTCACAGGAAGGAGATCTAAGCAGGTTCTGGGGCACATTGACCCCTCCTGCCCACAGGGAGGGAGGCAGGGGACAGTAGATGCAGGATGCGGCTGAGGGTGAGGGGTCTGGGGGTTGGGCTGTACCTTCCTGGTCAGCTCCTCCTCCTGCAGGGCGAGGATGTGTGTGAGGCTCTGCACCCGCACCTGCAGCAGCTCCGCGGTGGCATGCAGGCTGTCCCGGTCCTCCTGCAAGTGCTGCGGGCAGAGGAAAGCAGCCCCTCTGTAGGGCCTCCATGCCGCCTTAGGTACCACCTTCTCTCCCGGAGGCTGTGCTCTACACGCTCCTCCAAGGGCCACGCTTGCCTCCCAACCTGATCCCTAAGTCTGCACACAGATACATTCCTGCACCCTCACCTGCATGGTTTCCAGAAGCTTCTGTCGCTCCAGTTCCCATGTCTGGCTGTGGACCTCAGAAGGGACTTGTTCCCCAACATATTTTCTTAGATTCTCAACCAGGGTCACCTGAGCCTCCAAGTCTTCCTGGGTCTTGCTAGGGTTGGGGTGGGAATGGGACAGCCATCAGTGGGGCGCCCTGCAGATCCACCACATCACTAATTGCTGGGCTCCCGTCGGCGTCCGCCCACCTACCTCAGCTGCTTCCGAAGCAGCTCGGCCTCCCTCTGAGCCTCGGCCAGCTCCTTGGCTTCCCCTGCTCTTCTGGTTTCCAGACTACTCAGAGACTTCTCCAAGCCCTCAGCCTTGCTGGTCAAACTGGAAAGAGCCTCCTCGTGAGCCTGTGTCAAAGAGGACAGCTGCGGAAAGAAGAGGGGGCTCAGCAGAGGCTCGACCCCACATGGAGGCCTTCCTTGTTCCCTTCACTCCCACTTTCTGTGACCTTAGAGAATGACCCAACCAATCAGCCAACTGTGCACAGCAAATGGAGAGCTGGCAACTCACTCTCTGCAGCTGCCCCACAACCCATCAGGAGTTCTTGTCCGATCTCCCCCAAAACATATCTTCACCTCTCTGTCTCCGTCTCCACTGCCACCAACCCTCATCTTTTGCCTGGGCAACAGCGACCATCTCCTAACTAGTCTTTACAAACCCTCAGTGGCTTCTCACAGCATTCACAACAAAACCCAGGTGTCTCTCCACACCTGCAGGCCAGGGGACCCGGCCTCTGCCTACCTCCTGAGCTCACCCTGGAGGCTCTCCCACTGCTCCCCGCTCCGGCCACGGGGAGTCTGCTGAGAACCAGACAGCGGCCCCTCCTTGCTCCACAGACCCCAGGCGATAGCCCCTCCTCAGGGTGGCTTCACTGGGCCCTCTAATACCGTCCCTCCCCACCCTACTCTGCCCCATCAGCTGTTCACGTCCTCCTGAGCACTTAGCACTGACCATATCTTGCTTATGTGTATGTGTTACTATCTGTCGGACCACACTGGAAGGAAAGCTCCAGGAAAGGAGGAATTTTGTGTCTTTTGCTCATGGCACCTCAAAGGGTTGCAGGGGTGTCAGAGCCACCAAGAGTCATGGGATGGACTGGAAAGGAGGGCAAAGTGCCCACCCTGCTTCCTGGTCTGCCTCCTCTAGCCCTGTCTCCATACAACAATAAAATTAATTTGGGGTACATAAATGACAAAATTTTTTAGACATAAAATACAAATCTAATCATGTTATTTCCCTGCTTAAAACCTTTCAACAGGCCGGGCGCAGTGGCTCATTCCTGTAATTCCAGCACTTTGGGAGGCCGAGGTGGGTGGATCACAAGGTCAGGAGATCGAGATCATCCTGGCTAACACGGTGAAACCCCGTCTCTATTAAAATACAAAAAATTAGCTGGGCGTGGTGGCGGGCGCCTGTAGTCCCAGCTACTCGGAAGAATGACATGAACCCGGGAGGCGGAGCTTGCAGTGAGCCAAGATCGCGCCACTGCACTCCAGCCTGGGCGACAGAGCGAGACTCCATCTCAAAAAAAAAAAAAAAAACAACCTTTCAACGGTTGCTTATTACTTGAAAAAACAATTTTTTTTTGTTTGTTTTTTTGGAGATGGAGTTTCACTTTGTTGCCTAGACTGGAGTGCAATGGCACGATCTCAGCTCACTGCAAACGCTGCCTCCCAGGTTCAAGCGATTCTCCTGCCTCACCCTCCTGAGTAGCTGAGATTACAGGCATGAGCCACCACGCCCAGCTAATTTTTGTATTTTTAGTAGAGATGAGGTTTTACCATGTTGGCCAGGCTGGTCTCGAACTCCTGACCTCAAGTGATCCACCCGCCTCAGCTTCCCAAAGTGCTAGGATTACACATGTGAGCAACCATGCCCAGCCCTAATTTCTTCCATAAAATAGAGATGGGGGTCTCGCTTTGTTGCCCAGGCTGGTCTCAAACTCCTGGGCTCAAATGATCCTTCCACCTTGGCCTCCCAAAGTGCTAGGATTACAGGTATGAGCCACTGTGCCCAGCCTGCTCATTGCTCTTATGGGAAAGTAGCAAGTTCTGAAGTGGCCAAAGCCTTGTGCCCTGGGTCCTGGGCTCTGCAGCACACTCAGTGCCCCTCATCTCTGTGCCCCAGCCTTCTGGCCTCCTGTCCCCGCCTTCACCTGTTGTCCCACCAAGTGTCTTCCAGCTACCACTGGACTTCACACGCCTCTTCACTGGCCAACTCCTATTCAGCACAAACGGTAGCTTGTTGTTTTTTTAGTCTCGCTCTGCTGCCCAGGCTGGAGTGTGATGTCAGCTCACTGTAACCTCTCTCTCCCAGGTTCAAGCAATTCTCCTGCCTCAGCCTCCCAAGAAGCTGGGGGATTACAGGTGCCCACGACTATACCCGGCTAATTTTTGTATTTTTTTGTAGAGTTCTTCATGTTGGCCAGGTTGGTCTTTAACTCCTGGCCTCAAGTGATCCGCCCACCTCGGCCTCCCAAAGTGCTGGGATTATAGGCATGAGCCACTGTGCCTGGCCTAGCTTCTTGTTTCTAAGTTTCTTTCATAAATCTCCTTTGTCCATTTTCTGATTGGATTGCTGGTCTTTCCCTTACCAATTTCTAGGCACACATTTTATATTAGGGATATTACCCTTTTCTTGTGATCTGAGCTATAAATATAGCTTTTTTTTTTCTTTTTGGCTATTCCTAATGTTCATGTTATAAAGTCAATGGATCAATTTTTTCCTTTATGGCTTCTAGATTTTGGATTTTGACTCACAGGTAGAAAGGCCTTGCCCACTACAAGGTTATAAAGGAATTCTCCCTTGTTTTCTCCCAGTTCCTTTTTTATTTTATTTTTTGAGACAGAGTCTTGCTCTGTCGCCCAGGCTGGAGTGCAATGGCACAGTCTCGGCTCACTGCAACCTCCACTGCCCAGGTTCAAGTGATTCTCCTGCCTCGGCCTCCCAAGTAGCCGGGATTACAGGTGCGCACCACCATGCCTGGTGAATTTTTGTATTTTTAGTAGAGACAGGGTTTCGCCATGTTGGCCAGGCTGGTCTTGAACTCCTGACCTTGTGATCTGCCTGCTTCGGCCTCCCAAAATGCTGGGATTACAGGCGTGAGCCACTGCGCCCAGGGCTATGGTTTCTTTCCTTGACATGTCAACTGGTTACAGTGGCCTTCCCTGAACCCCAGACTAAGTTAGTGCTTTCTAGTCCTTCTCCTTCAAGGCATTCCTCCTGATTGCAATTAATTATGATTAAATTAAATGTGGATGTGTATATCCCCCACGAGGCTGTCAGTTCCATCCACGAAGGCAGGACTCAGGCTAATTTGGTCACTGAGTCTTAGAGATGGCAAAGAGTAAGTACTGAGTTTGAGGACTGAATAATCTCTCTCTCCCAGTCCACCATAGCCCCCTTATACCCACCTTCCTCACTGCCCTCCACAATACCCCTGATGAATTGGTACCTGGAGTAAAGTAGGGAGGCAAACTATTTCCTACTAGAAAGGGAAGCAGGGCTTCAAGTGGTGGGAGGCCACCTGAGTCTTGGGGGAAAAGTGCAACCTGAATTAAGATAAAAGTACCCAAATTCTCCATCTTTCTAGGCCATGTGTGTTTATTTTCACCAAAGGTCTCATCACTCTACTACTCACTACTCATGGAGGGTCTTTTCTGCAATACCTGTTCTTTGCTTGGAAGCTACTGCCCAGCTCTCCGTTATGAATTTGAATCCTTTCTACCCCTGCATTCACCTGCTCTTGGTGCAGCCTCTGAACCTCTTCCAGCTCCCGCTGGCTCCCCTCTTCCAAATTCTTCCGGACAACCTCAGCCCCAGCCAAAGCAGCACGCAGGCCCTCAGCCTCAGCTCGGCCGGCCTTCTCCGCCCGTGCCAGAGCCTCTAGCTCCATGGCCTGGGCCTCTAGCCTCATCTTCTGCTGCAGCGAGGTCTCCCGCAGGAGCCGGACCTCCTCCTCCAGCCGCCGCAGCTCTTGCAGCTGCCGAACGATCACCTCAGCCTGCTGGCTCAGGGCCTGTGACCCCTCCAGCCCCCAGGACCTTCAAAGACAGGTTAGTGCAGGTGAGACTTGTCTCCAGTGCTGGAAGGATAGTTGAGGGCATAAACATAGCCAGGAGAAGGAAAAGAGGACCCCTCTGCTTCCGTGTGGGGAGGTGAAGGGGGTGCTGAAGCTGGGGTATGGGGATGTCTGCATTGACATCATCATCATTCATCAAAGCCCTATTGAGCATGTTGAGTCCAGTGCCTGGACTCACAGGACCTAAAGTCTGGCTGAGATCGTGGAACATGATCTCCCTAGAGAGAGCTACATACAGGAGGATTCAACATCAAATGTGTATATCATTAGGCCACACATTCTTTTTGTTTTTTGGTGGTTTTTTTGTCTTATTTATTTTTTTATTTTTAGGCCACACATTTTAAGTGGAAAGGTTGGAAGAACACACAGGGACTTCTCAATTCTAATTTAAGGGCAAGAAGTTTGAGGGAGGAATGGGCATAGAGAGGTCGTAAGCTTCCAGTATCAATATGGTGAGGCCAGGTGCTAGTTAAAAGGCATTTATTGGCTGGGCGCGGTGGCTCATGCCTGTAATCCCAGCACTTTGGGAGGCCGAGGCGGGCAGATCACGAGGTCAGGAGATCGAGATCATCCTGGTTAACACGGTGAAACCCCATCTCTACTAAAAATATAAAAAACTAGCTGGGCGTGGTGGCAGGTGCCTGTAGTCCCAGCTGCTTGGGAGGCTGAGGCAGGAGAATGGCGTCAACCTGGGAGGCGGAGCTTGCAGTGAGCCAAGATCTCCCCAGTGCACTCCAGCCTGGGCGACAGAGTGAGACTCCATCTCAAAAAAAAAAAAAAAAAAAAAGGCATTTATTGAGTGTTAGGTATACTTCATGAGGAGTCTGAGAGAACAGTACATAAATAACACAGTGCCAGCCTTTAGAGAAATCGTCTACCAATGTCACGTGAAGTTTAATCCAGCTTGGAACATGGCTCCTGAGGCAGCTCTCTGAGACCCAGGACTATAAGAAATTGTTGTTGTTGTTGTTTTTAGAGACAGGGTATCACTGTGTCACCCAGGCCTCAATGCAGTGGCTGGATCATAGGTCACTGCAGTCTTCAACTTCTGAGCTCAAGGGGTCCTACCACCTTAGCCTCCTGAGTAGCTAGGACTACAAATGCATGCCACCACAGCCAGCTAATTATTTTCTGTGGAGACGGAGTCTCGCTTTGTTGCCCACGCTGGTCATGAACTCCTGGGCTCAAGTGATCCTCCTGCCTCAGCTCCCAAAGTGCTAGGATTATAGGTGTGAGCCGCCATATCTGGCTCGCTCTTTCTTTCTTTCTTTAGTAGCAGCGATCTGTAGGCTAGGGAAATTAAGTGACTTGCCAAATGTCCTCTAGCTGGTAGCCAAACTAGAAATAGAGTCTCTGTCTCCTGACACCCAGTCTAGTATTCCTTCTTCATCATGCTGCTTCTTCTAATGTAATCCTATTCTGGAGCAAAATGGCAGAATGATATCCCAGTACATCTGGGAAAAGACACATGAAACAAGAATAAGAATGTTTACAGATAATACGACAGCATGGCCAGCTCCCACAGCATGTCCTCTGTAAAGGCTTTCTTCCATCAGAATGAACCCACACTGCCACAGTGCTGGGTCTCTACCTCTAGTTTGCACTTCTTCATCTTGCCTCATACCATGCTTTACCATCAGCTGGTGGTCAATCTATCTCCCCTCTTAGGATTTTAGATTCCTTATTAATTACAAATTTAAGTCAGGATTTGTCTTATTCACTATTGTTATCCTCATCCCTAGCACTTAGCACACTGCTTTATTATTTATGCACTGTAGGAACTAATTGCTTACATAAAAATGAGTACGTTCTGGAAACTAGGGCCGAAATAGGGTAAGGAGTTTATTCCAGTGAGGAAGGGTCACTAGCAAGCAAGCCTGAGAAAACGGCGTGGATGGATCCCTACCTGCCTCTCCGCCCTGGCTCCTGCCTGTCACTGGAAACATCCCGTTCCCACATGGTCACTTGAGGTCTCTGGGTGTCTAGCCGCCTCTCTGAGACATCTTGATGGCCTGGGGGTTGGACCAGGGGAATGTCTGAGAGCCAGGTGGGAGCCATTCTTGGCAGAGTTGAAAGGGGCCGAGCTTGAAAGTGGGAGGGGGGAATCAGCCCAGTGGAACCTGAAGAATTACAAAAACAAAGATGGTCAGTTTCCCAGGCAGAGACAACCACCACTCCCCTTGTCTGGTCCCACTGACCTGAAGGTGGAAACATCTCCACATTATTTGAAGGCTCTAGATTCTGTCTCCAGCCATCTATGTTCCCCTGGACAAGAGGAGAAACAAAGACACTCCAATTCAATTTTCAGGCCACCTTCCAAAGAGAAAGCCCCTACAATAACAAAGTCATAATCCTTGAATTATAGCCAGGTCCACCCGATGCTTAGCTCTTTTCCTACTTCCCCAAAGTAGGAGATACCCCAAATTCACTTGCTTGTCTCAACCTGGTTCCTCATGGAACCCAAGCAACTAACTATCAAGTGGAGAGAATTTACTGAAAGAGACAGACTGAGAGGGGCTCTGAGGCTTTACTCATACTTTCAGGATTCTGGGCAGTGCCTCTACCCTCCTCCTTAAGTTTCTATGGTCCCTGCTGCTCCTGGCCAGAGGTGAGAAAGGAGGTACACAGTGCAGGGGTCTTGAGCGCCATCTCCAGAGTTCTCTCCATGGCTCAGCAAGGCCTGAGGGAAGCCCATCCAGACACCAGCAGGCCATGACTCTTGGGTCCTTCCCTGTTAAAGTGCTGGCCCAAGGCCTGGCCCCAGCTGAATGTGGCCACATGCAGGGCTAGACCCTCCCCAAGACCTTGGGAATCCAGGCCGCCTAGATCCCCAGGCAGAAAAGCCAGCGTCCTGACATCTTATTCAAATCTTTCCTGCGGCTGTTCTCTCAGCTTCTCTCTACTATCCCCTTAGCTTCCATGCCTGCTGCCCGCCTCCTCTTTCTCGAGTCCTAACACATAGTGGGCACTTTAAGATCTTCCTCCCACCCTCCCACCCTCATTAATCTATTTTTTACCCGAATCTGGGATCCCTACTCCCGTCCCTTTTTACAACCTAATCTACCTTTTTCTGAAGGAATTATTCTGGTCCTGACCCTCACCCCCATCTCTCAATAGCCTGCCCTCGCCCCCTGTACGCTAGCCGGCTCTACTCTCCCACCACTGCTCCCCTAGATACCCGAGGCTTCACCCAGTTAGCCCGTGAGCTCTAAGGCTGTTCTGATCGCTTCATCTGTCCCTTCACCTGGCCCCTGTACCCCCTTCCCCTTTGGACCCCTTGAACCCTCCCAGGACCCCCGCTCAGCCCCTTCCCGCCCCCAACCGACTCTTCCCGAACGTCCCTTACCAACCGCGAGAGCCCCCTACTGCGCTTTGGCCACACCCCCTACGCCTCGCTCCCGGCCCCGCCTCTGCCCCTGACCGCGCCTGCGCAAGGCGGGCGCCCTAAAGTCCTATTTCACTCTGTTGGGAGGAGGGGGAAAGGTGTACGCAGGCGCAGTGGCGTCTAAATTTGGGCCCACTAAATGCGTCGGAGCATCTCCGCGCCCAGGCGGCTCCTCCTCACTGCGGCAACCCGGGAAAACTTGTGAACTAATCAGAAAAAGTGGAAGGCGGGAGATCTTGGGGCGCTGCCCAATGGCGCGGAAGAGAACACATGAGCTGGCCAATCGGGAACGGCACGGGGGCGGGCTCGCTCGGCGCGAAGTTCGGGCCCGGGAATTCCGAAGGAGGGGTAGGCGCTGCCCGCGCGCAGAGGCCGCGCCCCTCCTGGCCCCGGCTTCTTGGCTGTCAAACAGATGCAGCAACGTCGGCTCCTGCCGAGGAGCCCAAGGGGTCCCGGGATCCGCCGCACAGGCTGGCACTGCTTGAAGAGGAGGCTACTCGGAGACTGCGCCGCGCGGGTAGATCCGAAACGGGGCTGGGGCGGAGTGGGAAAAGGCCGGGTATGCCTTGCATGATCGCGGGGAGCTCCTTCCTGTTTTTATCCCACCTAGAGAAGCCGGGAAGTAGGGGTTTAGGTCCAATTTGTTGGAGTACTTAAGGACTCGTTTGCACTTTCTTTTGGGGGATGACAGTGGATTCATTGCCCTCGGAGGTTCAACCAGTTATGAGTGAGGGATTGGCCAGAAGATCGGGGCGCAGGCAAGCAGGAGTGCTCTATTAGGATAAGCAAGTTTGACAGGAAGAAGCTACTCTTCTCCGAATTACACAGAGGTGATGTGTTCGTATTGCACGTAGACGTGTGTATAACAGGACCTCCTTCCCCGCGCCCCGCCACCCCGACACACACAGGAGCTGCCTAAAGTATCCTTGCCTTGCAGATTGGAGGCTCCCCAAATATTTTGCGATCTGAGGATCCAGCTCAAGTGAGGTGCCATAGGACGTGTTCCTGAGTTTGCATTGCACGGAGACCTTCCTGGAATTTTTCATTTGCAAGTCGGCTTAACCAATTTTGCATTGAGTCCTAGGCTGCTTGCACTCTGAATTTGGGCTATTCAGGTAGTGTGCTCAAAGTTGAAACCGCATACAGCACAACTCAAGTTTGCATCAGACTGGGAAGCGAACTTAAGCCAGCGGTGCGTGGCCCAGGAGTGGGAAAGGAAATGGATGCCTGAAGTGGAAGAGGTGGTGCAGAGGGGGCACCGCCCATGCTGCCCTGCTTCCAACTGCTGCGCATAGGGGGCGGCAGGGGCGGTGATCTCTACACCTTCCACCCCCCCGCCGGGGCTGGCTGCACCTATCGCTTGGGCCACAGGGCCGACCTGTGTGATGTGGCCCTGCGGCCCCAGCAGGAGCCTGGCCTCATCTCTGGGATCCACGCCGAACTGCATGCCGAGCCCCGGGGTGATGACTGGAGGGTCAGCCTGGAAGACCACAGCAGCCAAGGTGAGCATTAAGCAGGGCAGCTTTGCCCCTGGGTGGTTGAAGCGCCAGGCTGGAATGAGTAAGGTCTCCACAAGACCCTGCTGCCTGCCTCCCATACTCCCATCAGATTGGATGGATGGTCGTGGTCCAGACCTTCATCTTCCCACCAGAAGTGTGCACAGTCAGAAGCTCTCTGCCAGACTGACCCTTTTTGGTCCCGTTTAGCTCATACAGGACCTGGGATATCATCAGAAAGATATCACAGTGGGGATGTTCTGAGGCCACTAGAGGCCAAGTTTAGACTTGATTCAGTTTCCAGCTTTGCTGAGGCACTCTGTTCCTGGGTTAGGGCAGTTCTATGTTGAATAATGTTTTTAATAATCTGGGCATGTCTTTCTCCGTGACTTGAGGCAGTTAGCCTCAGAAAGCCTAGATTCACATTTGAGTTTTGCCACTGCCTCTTGGTAAAGTCAGCTGTAGGAGTGTTATGGTTATTAGACTATAGTAGCCAACATTCATCTAGTGCTTACTGTTATGAGCCAGGCCCTATTTTAAGTGTATTGAATGTAGGTGGTACTAATATTATCCTCATTTACAGTAAAGGAAAATGAGGCACAAAGAGGTTAAGGAACTTGTCCAGGGCTGGGCATGGTGGTTTACACCTATAATCCAGCACTTTGGGAGGCTAAGGCAGGGTGGATCACTTGAGCTCAGGAGTTCGAGACCAGCCTGGGCAACATGGTGAAAACCTGTCTCTACCAAAAAATTAATTAATTTTTTTAAAAAAGCCTGGGCGCGGTGGCTCACGCCTGTAATCCCAGCACTTTGGGAGGCCGAGATGGGCAGATCACGAGGTCAGGAGTTCGAGACCATCCTGACCAACATGTTGAAACCCCATCTGTGCTGAAAAAAAAATACAAAAATTAGCCAGGTGTGGTGGCGTGCACTTGTAACCCCAGCTACTCAGGAGGCTGAAGCAGCAGAATCACTTGAACCCGGGAGGCGGAGGTTGCAGTGAGCTGAGATCGCACCACTGCACTCCAGCTTGGGCGACAGAGCGAGACTCCATCTCAAACAAACAAACAAACCAAAAGCTTGCCCAGGGTCACATAACTGGTAAGTGGTAGAGCTAGGATCTGAACGAGCTGGAGCTGGGGGAGAGTGAGCATGTTTGAAAACTGGACCTTAGGGCGGGGCACGGTGGCTCACACCTGTAATCCCAGCACTTTGGGAGGCTGAGGCGGGCAGATCAGGAGGTCAGGAGTATGAGACCAGCCTGGCCAACATGGTAAAACCCTGTCTCTGCTAAAAATAAAAAAATTAGCCAGACGTGGTGGCACATGCCTGTAATCCCAGCTACTCAGGAGGCTGAGGCAGGAGAATTGCTTGAACCTGGGAGGCGGAGTGCAGTGAGCTGAGATTGCACTACTGCACTCCAGCTTGGGCAATAGAGCAAAACTCCATCTCAAAAAAAAAAAAAAAGAAAGAAAGAAAAAAAAAGAAGAAAGAAAGAAAATTGGACCTTAGGACAGTGAGGGCAGGGATCCTTTGTAGGAAAGCACAAGAAACACAGACTTGTTCCTAGCTGACAAGGAGTGTACTGCCTGGTACCTGTCACCTGCTGAGGGGCTTAGGATGTGAGGGAGAATCTGACTACAGTTTCATATTCTTCCCCAGAAATCATACAGATTTCTCCACTCCTGACTCTGGTCATTTCTGTTTTTGTCCTCCATATTTGCCTGGTGCCCCACCATCAACAGGTACTTTGGTCAATAATGTCCGACTCCCAAGAGGTCACAGGCTGGAATTGAGTGATGGAGACCTCCTGACCTTTGGCCCTGAAGGGCCCCCAGGAACCAGCCCCTCGGAGTTCTACTTCATGTTCCAACAAGTACGAGTCAAGCCTCAGGACTTTGCTGCCATTACCATCCCACGGTCTAGGGGAGAAGCCCGGGTTGGGGCTGGTTTCCGGCCTATGCTGCCCTCCCAGGGGGCTCCACAGCGGCCTCTCAGCACCTTCTCCCCTGCCCCCAAGGCCACACTGATCCTAAACTCCATAGGCAGCCTCAGCAAGCTCCGGCCCCAGCCCCTCACCTTCTCCCCTAGTTGGGGTGGACCAAAGAGCCTGCCTGTTCCCGCCCCACCTGGGGAAGTGGGGACCACGCCTTCTGCTCCACCCCAACGCAATCGGAGGAAATCTGTTCACCGAGTGTTGGCGGAACTGGATGATGAGAGTGAGCCTCCTGAGAACCCGCCACCGGTCCTTATGGAGCCCAGGAAGAAACTCCGTGTAGACAAAGCCCCACTGACTCCCACTGGGTAAGTGGAGTCCTCACTTGGCCCTCTCAGTGTTTTACTGCTTTTCGATTCCTTGTATCCCTAGGCTGTGAGGAGGTCCCCCTGCCTGGGGGGATGGGCACGGGAGGTGGAATAGATGGAATGGCAAGACCTGGGTTAGCTCTGATAGGAAAAGAAAAATATGTGCAGGAGAACATGAGAGGTGGGGTGGGGCAGTGCTTATAAAACAACCGGAGTGAGCATGTCCTGCTTTTTACGTTCATATGGCTTTAACCCCATTCTTCTAGTGCCTAAGGATGGGGAACTTTCAGGCTCACACTAGAGGTTTTTAGGCCCACCCTATGTGTTTTTAAGGACAGAGTCCAGGCTCACCTTAGTTCTCAGACCACTGTGCCTCTGTGGCCTCACCCTATGACCAGCCATAGGGTGGCAAGGTCTAGGCCTTCTCCTACAGGTTTCCGGTGACCCTTGTGTCTGTGTCACTTCCTTCAGAAATCGACGTGGCCGTCCTCGGAAGTACCCAGTGAGCGCTCCCATGGCTCCCCCTGCAGTTGGGGGCGGGGAGCCCTGTGCAGCTCCTTGTTGCTGCCTGCCCCAGGAAGAGACAGTGGCCTGGGTTCAGTGTGATGGCTGTGACGTCTGGTTCCATGTGGCCTGTGTTGGCTGCAGCATCCAGGCTGCCAGGGAGGCCGACTTCCGATGCCCAGGGTGCCGGGCTGGCATTCAGACCTAAGGTCCACCGCCAAGGCACCATCGGACACACCTGCCCATGAGTAGACACAGCAGCGAGCAAATAGGTCTGATAAATACCCCCCTTCCCTTCCCTCCCCAGGAGGGAATGACTACAGGGAAGAAGGATGGATTGATGTGGACTCATTCAGGGCCTGGAGCAGACCCTGGTGGCCAAGACAGAAGAGATGGTTTCCTGCCAAAGATATTGCCACCTCCAGGAAATTGCCAGTGAGCTGGAAGTTCCCACTATTACAAGCCATAAGGCCATGTTGCCATGGACACCAGAATATCTGTAGTCAGAGCACCTATCAGTTGCAAAAGCCATGCTTGCAACCGATGGAAAATGTAAGAGGGAGTTCTTAAGGTTCTTGGTGGCATCACCCAAGGCATTCTGGGAAAACCTAGGGCCTGGCCCCAAAACTTCCCTACTCTGTGGCTAGTCCTGCTGCCAACAAAATCGTAGCGACCTGGCTTTTCACAGCTTTGCTTTTATTTCCAAGTCAAGGACAAGCCGCTTCATTCACTCCTGGGCATTTACTCTTCTTGTGGGTCTGTGATATTCCTTGCTTTCCAGGGAGAATGTGCTTGGCAAGGTCTGGAGAACTAATTCAGAATCTTAGGGGAAGGGGAGAGATGGAAATACAAACCTGCTTACTGGAAAGGTGCAAATATATGGGTTGAGCTGGAGGTAGGAATACAGGTAATTAAGGTTTCTAGTTTAAGGGAAAACAGATCTATTGCCATTTAAATAAGGTAACTGGGATTTGGTTAAGTTCACAAAGATAGCAGAAGATTTATTTACAGGCTTCACCTGTACTGTCAGGGCAAGAGAAAGCCTGGTAAACCAGCTACAGCAGTTTACCAGTGTGATGGCTGTGACACAGCTCCACTCCACGGGTGGACACAGCAGAGGGCAACTGGGCTGGCCTGGTTCAGTGTGAATCAAACCGCTTAACCCACACATGGTACATGTGATTTTCTTTTGTGAGCCTTACACCAAGCCAAACTATTGTCAAAGCATCATTTCTATAGAAATAAAGCCTTATCTTGACCTGTTCTATTAAAACCTGCCACATCCGCCCTTTCCTACCTAGATTTAATGAGCCCAAGTTTTTTTACATGGAAGAAATGACTCTGGGGCAAAGACCCCTAATGAACTAGTGGCAGAGCCAGGAATAAAACTTGAGTAACTAATGAGTCACTTATGGGCAGAGTATGCAAAAACCTTAAGTGGAAACCAAATAGACCCTGGTATCAAGAAAGCACAAAGTATTAATAGAAGTTTCTGGTTGGGGTGATCTAGGTTCAACAGAAATAAGATGATTTCTAAGTATAAAGCCATTTAAGAATTCCAGAGTAGGGTGGGAAAGCAAAAAGCCAGCTCTGAACAGGTAACAGCTACATGGTGACTGAGTCTATGGGCAAAAGTTCTTGCATCACAGGCTTTTGGGAACTAGCCTATCACAGGGCCCTGTACAAATAAACTTGGCTGCAATCCCAGCTCTCCCTCTGATGTTGTGTGACCTTAAGGAGTGTAAATGGCACCTTAGTTTCAGGGTCACTTGGGTATGAGCATTGGATATTCCCATCCCCACCTCAGTAACTGAAGGACAAACCAAGATAAGTGTGTCTATCTACTGTGTCCCAGGCTTCTTTATTTAAGAAAAAAGTGATACATGATGTGGGATTAAAATCAAGAGCATCATTGAACTTCACCTTCCCTCCAACCAGTTGCCCCAAACTCCCCTGCCCCCACCCTTTGTGTTCCCAATTCCTTCCTTAGTGAATGAAGAACTTAATCCCAAAAACCCTGGCACAAACTCCAGGTTTTCTTTCCCTAGCTCCTCCCCTCCCCCTGTCCCCCATTCCTAGAAGGGCAGGCACCTCAGTTTGAATGCATGGGAGAGCCCAGAGTGGTGACAGAGACAGGGGGAAAGGCTTCCCCCTCAGGGAAAGGGACCGAGGAGTACAGTGCAGTGAAGTGAGGGCTCCCATAGCCTGGGGTACCAAAATGGGGCCCTGGGGCCAGAGGAAAGGACACTGGTCCCCCTGAGAAAGGAGACCCAGCAGCCTCAAAATCCTCTCGTTGTGCATAGTCGCTGCTTGATCGCTTGCCCTTCTGGCGCCGGTTACAGAACCACACTCGGACCACCTGCCAGTGAATGACAGAAAGGAGAATGACATTAGACAATGAGCTGAGAGACGGGCCTGACTCTGCTTGGACATTCTATCCAAAGCCAACAGCCCTAGAGCAGTTAGAGGAGGACATTAGAGAATGAGCTGAGACAGGCCTGACTGCTTGGACATTCTGTCCAAAGCCAACAGCCCTAGAGCAGTTGGAGGAGCCAGAGCTAGGGAAAGCGAGGTGGTGACAGGGGAAAGAGATGGAGCCTGCAGAGAGACATGGCACTCACATCCTTCTCGAGCCCAAGCTGCTGGGCGATGTGGCTGATCTGCTGCAGTGTGGGTTTCGGGCACTGCAGGAACAAATTCTCCAGGTTGCCTCTCACTCGGTTCTCGATACTGGTTCGCTTTCTCTTTCGGGCCTGCACGAGGGTTTCTGCTTTGCATATCTGTGCAGGTGGGAAGGGGGTGACAAGGGCAAGCTTTGGACTTGCTGAGTAACAGCATCACAGGGGTCTGTGACTAGATGTGTCAGCAGAGCCAGGTGGTGGTGTGAAAAGGCAGGATCCTGGAAGGGTTGGCTCTGGACCTTATCCCAGCAGAACTGAGGAATTTCACTCCATCCCACTGAGAACCACTGCACCAAAGACGGAGAGCTACGAGCCAGTGATGGAAGCAATGGAAATTAGGCCAAGAAAGGGAAGGTCCCCGGGTATCCCCCTCCCACCCTTACCTCCTGAAGATTTTCATTGTTGTCAGCTTCCTCCACCCACTTCTGCAGCAAGGGCCGCAGCTTACACATGTTCTTGAAGCTAAGCTGCAGAGCCTCAAAGCGGCAGATGGTCGTTTGGCTGAATACCTTCCCTGGGGGAGGCCAGTCAAAAGAGAAGCAAAATGAGGGAGCACGCAGGGCCCTTGTGACCCTGAGATCCAAGCTTACCACCTCTTCCCAGAGGGAGCTCAAAGCCCAAGCATCTTCTCCCTCTCCCTACTCCTCTTCATGGGTGAGGGTAGAGTCTGCCCCTGCCCCTCCCCACTAGGTTCAGGGATACTCCTTAGAGGGGAGATGCGGTCAGAATCTGCAGAGGGGAACCCACCAAATAGAACCCCCAGGGTGAGCCCCACATCGGCCTGTGTATATCCCAGGGTGATCCTCTTCTGCTTCAGGAGCTTGGCAAATTGCTCGAGTTCTTTCTGCAGAGCTTTGATGTCCTGGGACTGGATTTTAAAAGGCAGAAGACTTGTAAGAACATAAACACACCAGTTATCAATCTCCCCTTTCCATTCGGGATTCAAGAACCTACGTGTGGCCCCAAGGAATAGTCTGTAGAAGTGCATCTGCCTTCCAAGCTGCCCACCTAACTTCTAGAAATAACCTACCCACAAATGTCATTCACCCATTCCCTGTTCACTGACTCATGCATGTAACAAAGGACTACTCTTCCCCCAGAAACTGGCACATCCAAGGGATGCAGAGCATCGTGAAAGGACAGAAAGAGAGACCCTGGCCTCGAGGAGAACACCTGTCAGGTTATGAAGGTTAGAAGTTCTTTGCTGGGCGCGGTGGCTCACGCCTATAATTCCAGCACTTTGGGAGGCCGAGGTGGGCAGATCACGAGGTCAGGAGTTCAAGACCAGCATGGCCAACATGGTGAAACCCCGTCTCTACTAAAAACACAAAAATTAGCTGGGCACGGTGGCACGCACCTGTAATCCCAGCTACTCAGGAGGCTGAGGCAGGAGAATCACTTGAACCCGGGAGGCGGAGGTTGCAGTGAGCTGAGATCACGCCACTGCACTCCAGCCTGGGTGACAGAGCAAGACTCTGTCTCAAAGAAAAAAAAAAAGAAGATAGTTCATTTAATACCTGCAAAATTCTCTCACTCAAGTATCACCCCCAGTTTAAGGATGTTTTGAGATTAGAGAAATAGATAAGCTGCTAAGTTCTGGGTTAATTAAAAAGGAAGAGCATCATGTCTCAGAAGCTAAATTCAATATATACTCTCCCCAGCTTGCTTTGAGGGTCCCACAAACTATAACATGGCATGCATACACACAAACACAGCAAAAAAGTAACAGGTGTCATAAGAATGGATAAAGTGCTTTGTGTGTACTTACTCCTCATTTTTTAAATTGATTATCCCTCATCTTTACTGTATCTTTTTCACTATAGAGGCATCCTAATTGATTTTTAAATTCAAGAGATTTATCGAGCACCTTCTATAAGCCAGCGGCTATACAAAGTGGACAAAGAGCCCTGACATCCAGCATGACAGAAGTGCTATTCGGCACTTGTTCTTCAAGTTGCCCACTTGGATCTCTTCCAAGTGCACTTTCCTTTTTTCCCTGCCCTATAACTTTTTAATAATAAACTTCCACTCCTGCTCTGAAAAATAAAAAAGTAAATAAAATAAAAAATGGCCAGGCACAGTGGCTCATGTCTGTAAATCCTAGCACTTTGGGAGGCCAAGGTGGGCAGACTGCTTGAGCCCAAGAGTTAGAAAGCAGCCTGGGTAACATAGTGAGACCCGTGCTGCCCCTTCTCCCACCCCTGCTGCCTCTATTTAAAAAATATATATATATTATGGAAAAAAGTAAAGCAGTCCGGGCGCAGTGGTCATGCCTGTAATCCCTTCACTTTGGGAGGCCAAGGTGGGTAGATCACTTGAGGTCAGGAGTTCAAGACTAGCCTGGTCAACATAGTGAGACTCTGTCTCTACTAAAAATACAAAAATTAGCTGGGCATCATGGCGCTCCCCTATAATCCCAGCTACTCAGGAGGCTGAGGCAGGAGAATTGCTTGAACCTAGGAGGTGGAGTTTGCAGTGAGCCAAGATCGCACCACTGCACTCCAGCCTGAGGGACAGAGTGAGACTCCATCTCAAAAATTAAAAAAAAAAATAAAGCAGTCTATAGGAGTAGGGTAAAGGAGGGAAGGAGATTATGGAGGAGGGTGACACTTTTAAAGACAGAGAAGGTGATTGTTTGAGCAAAGGACAAGAGTCTAATGTGGCAAGGCCCTGAAGTGGGCCTTCCAGAGCCCAAAGCTGGTCTGGTGGCTAGGTAGATCCTGTTGCAGACATAGTGACTTTGTTTTAGTCCAAGTGAAATGATCTCTCACCCTTTTTCTCCCCCCCAAGACGGAATCTCGTTCTATCGCCCAGGCTGGAGTGCTGTGGCGTGATCTTGGCTCACTGCAATCTCCGCCTTCTGGGTTCAAGCTATTCTGCCTCAGCCGCCTGAGTAGCTGGGACTACAGGCACCCACCACCATGCCCGGCTAATTTTTGTATTTTTAGTAGATATGGGGTTTCACCATGTTGGCCAGGCTGGTCAGGAGACCTCAAGTGATCTGTCCACCTTGGCCTCCCAAAGTGCTGGGATTACAGGTGTGAACCACCGCACCTAGCCTCACCTTTTTTTTTTTTTTTTTTTGAGAGTTTCGCTTTTGTTGCCTAGGCTGGAGTGCACTGGCGCGATCTCGGCTCACCGCAACCTACATCTCCCAGGTTCAAGCGATTCTCCTGCCTCAGCTTCCTGAGTAGCTGAGATTACAGGCATGCGTCACCACGCCCAGCTAATTTTGTATTTTTAGTAGAGATGGGGTTTCGCCATGTTGGTCAGGCTGGACTCGAACTCCCAACCTCAGGTGATTCGCCTGCCTCGGCCTCCCAAAGTGCCTGGCCACACCTTTTAAAACACTGACTCTAGTTGACGTGTTGGCCACAGACAGTAGGGAGGAAGCAGTATAATTTGAGAAGCTACTGCGGTAATCCCAGCAGAGATGATGGTGGCTGAGGCCAGGGTTAGGTTGTGATTGATTCAGGATGTTTCTTAAGGATAGGATGTAGGACGTGAAAGAAACTGAGGATGACTGGGTTTGGCCTTGAGCAACTGGGTGATCAGGGTGGAGCAGTTCAGGGAGCCATCACAAGAGACAGAAAACGCGGTAGTCATCTGGTGTCTAAATGGCATTTAGGCCTTGAGGGTGGGTGAGAGGAAGGAAGGGTAGATAGAGCAGAGGTTGAAGGACTGAGCCCTGGGGCATGCCATATGAGGCTGCCGGCGGACAGAGGTGCACAGCTAGTGAGAAAAAAACAAGGCCTTTTTGTAGTCCTGAAGCCTCAAGGAAGTGTTTCAATGGTGCTTGATCATATCAATTTCAAATAGGCTGTTTTCATCCCCAACTTCTGCTCAGCCAATAACTCAAACTGATAAATGCCCTCTGCTATCCTGGATTTTCCAAATTCTGTTTTGGGGTTTTGGAATAAACACTGGTCCAAATCCTCGCTTCATCATTTAGCAGTTAAAACCCGTTAAATAGGATAATAATACCTCCCCCTAGGAGATTTTGTGCTGGTTAATGAGATAATGATGTATAAACGGAGCACACAGCCAGGCACTTAGGAAGTGGACCACAATTGCCAGCCATTATCATTCAAGGCTCAGCAGTGACCTCCTGCGAAGAGGTTGGGGCTTCTCGGTCACTCCAGAAACCAGTCACACCTTTCTGTGAGGTCTCAAGGCTTAGTATTTAATCTCTAATTGCTTACACTTGTCGCCTTGGAGGACTGGAAGATACATCTTTAATAGTCCTCAGCAGGGCTGGATGCCTTCAATCCCGCAGCAGCTCTATATTTGCAAATGGCCTGGAGAAATCTCTCACCATTTTTCTTGTTTACAACTTTGGAACTGAGGCTGAAGTCAATCAAAATCCAGCTTTCTACAAGGGGTGCCAGGGTGTGCACCTTAACACAGTGGCCAGTCATTGGCCTGAGGCAGAGATCCGGGGAAGACAAGCCCTATACTTGACTGGAGGTAAACCCAGCTCACAACGCGCACACACACAGCCCAAACAGGAGATCCTATCAGAAACGAGTCACACCCTAGACTTTCAGGAACAATAATCCTGGAATGAGCACTGTTTTTACCCTCAGGCTATGCTTAACCCTAAGGCCAAAATCTTGGGTCTGATAAGGGTCAAATTTTCAAGCAGGACTAAGGGTGGGAAAAGGGGCTCAAACCAACCCCAACCTGGGTCTGGTGCTGGGCCAGTAATGAGTGACCAGACCCTGGGCAGGCCTAGGAGATGTGAGAGACCCTGACAAGGGCTGGGCCAGAGCAAAGGCCAGCCTGGGCCAGCTTCTGACTCTCCCAGGCCGCTCTGCCCTCACCGGCAGTTGTCTCTTCGAAATCCAGCTTCCAGTTCCCACCTGGCCCCTGCCTGCCAGGGCTGCCTGCAGTTGATACACACCCCTCCCTGGCCAGGGCAGCTGACCCTGCCTGCTCCTCTCCTGGGTGCCAGGTCTGGGCAGCTGCAGGTGACCACTTCCCCATCAGGCTGCCCTGTCATGACCACCTCCCCACACCCCAACCCCGTCGAAGCTCACTTGCCTCCTCCGGGTTTTGCTCCAGCTTCTCCTTCTCCAGCTTCACGGCACCAGGGGTGACGGTGCAGGGCTCCGGGGAGGCCCCATCGGAGTTGCTCTCCACCCCGACTCCTGCTTCGCCCTCAGGCTGAGAGGTCTCCAAGCCGCCTTGGGGCACTAGCCCCACTCCAACCTGGGGCCCACAGTACGCCATCCCCCCACAGAACTCATACGGCGGGGGGCATGGGGGAATCCCCCACACCTCAGAGCCTGGCCCAACCCCCGGCCCGATTCCTGGCCCTCCAGGAGGGCCTTGGAAGCTTAGCCAGGTCCGAGGATCAACCCAGCCCGGCTCCGGCCCCCCTGGCCCATCACCTCCACCACCTGGAGGGGGCGAGAAGGCGAAATCCGAAGCCAGGTGTCCCGCCATGGGGAAGGAAGGCGCCCCAAGCCGGGGGCCTGGTGAAATGAGGGCTTGCGAAGGGACTACTCAACCCCTCTCTCCCTCCCCAGTCCCACCCACTAGCCTTGACCTCTGGCCCCGCCCCCTGGATGGGTGGAGGAGAGGGAGGTGGGGGGAGAAACTGAGGCGAAGGATGTTTGCCTAATGGTGGTGGCAATGGTGTCTGTGGAAGGGGAAAACCGGGAGACACAACTGGCGCCCCTCCAGGACCTCAGTGCAGGTCCCCCACAGAAACTTTTTTTATTTTTATTTTTTAAGACAGGGTCTCACTTTGTTGCCCAGACTGGAGTGCAGTGGAGTACAATGATGGCTCAATGTAGCCTCGATCTACTGGGCCAAAGCAATCCTTCTGCTCCAGCCTCCTAATTGGCTGGGACTACAGGCTTGGACCACTGTGCCCTGTTAGTTTTTTTATTTTTAGTAGAGATGGGGCCTTGCTATGTTACCCAGGCTGGTCTTGAATTCCTGTCCTCAAGAAATCCTCCCACCTCTGCCGCCCAGTGTCATGATTAAAGGCGTGAGCCACCACACCCAACTTTCAACTCCCAACCCGCTCCCTGGCACTCTCTCAGGCTCTGCACATCCCAGCTGTCTGGAATCACTCCCACAACTCCATGTTCTTCAGGAACCCAGGTGCTTGACCCCCTCTCCACAGACCTCTGGCACTGTGCCTTCAGGGGCCAGTCACCCTCTCAGCTCCTCAAATTTATTGAATGTGTGTGTGGCGCTATCCCTCAATGCATCAACAGCCATAAGCACAATGGCCAGCTGCTCCCTTATGCCTTCCCCCGATCCATCCAGAATCCTAGGCATTCCCATCCCGATACTGGCCAAATCCAGCCACCCCGCAGCCTGGGTGCCTGGCACCATCTGCCCAGCCTGCCAAATTTCACCCCATCTTCAAGAGTAGACTGCCAGACAAGGCCTCCGTGCTATATCCCCCCACCCCCCCATCCCCCCACCCCTCCGTCTTCCAGAATCAGACTCCAGACTCTCCTCATCTAACAGACTAAGGGGTTGGTCCCTACTTCCCCTTCAAGGGACCAGACTTTGGACTGACTGGGCCTCAGTTTCCCAACCTTTGCTGAAACAGAGTGATAAGACACCCGCTTTGGGCCCCCTCCACTATGGAACCTGCACATCAGGTTCCTTGCTCCCCTCTCAACCAAAACTCAGACATCTAATACCACGGTAGGCCCCGTTCTCCCTCCCCCACCTCCCTGGCCCAGGCCTCCAGCCCTAGGCCCTGGGTGGGGAAAACCAGGGGGTGGGGGGTGTGGAGAAAAAATATCTGACTTCAGGTTCAAAGAAGCCTGGGAGGGACTGGGGGAAGGGGGCAGGACAATGGCCTTGGCTGGACAATCCCGGTCCCCAGAGGGGGCAGCTCTAACCCTAAACAAGTGCTCAACCCTTGAATGGGCCTGGATGGCTCCCCTGGGGACTGCTTCCTGCTCCCCAACCCCCCAGTCCCAATCCCCTCACACAGAATCCCCTTCAGAGACGCTAAAAGGAGCTCCAGCAACCCCCCTCTGCAATCCCCTCAAAGACTGAGCCTCAGACGGGCACCAAGGGCCCCCCACAGGGACCTAGGTATCTAGTTCCTCCTTCCTCTGGGGGACTCAGGCGTCCAGCTTCATCGTGCGTCCCTCCCCGAGCCTGGCAGATTGAGGGATGTGCTTTGTTTAGTGGGGCTGGCTGGCAGAAAGACGCAGAGGAGGTGGAGAGTGATTTGTGGAGGCGTGCAGGAAGGCTGCCCTAAGCTCCCCTTCAGGGTCTGTTTTTCTGGGCCTGGCCTGAGTATCCTGAGGCTCATGCTGCTGGTCTAGTGCTTGATTCTGTTTGCAAGAGAATAGCCAACGGAATGCCTGTCTGTGAGGGATGATGTTTGTCTGTCTGCTCCCAAAACTTGATCTCAGTGGAGGGCCTGGGGTAAGTCTGGGGGCTCCAGAGGGGGCTCTGGGCCAGGGCTCCCCACAGCTTCGAAGGCCAGAAGGCCAGGTCTGGACTGGGCACGCTGACCTCTGTCGACTTAAGTAAGGCTTCTCATTGCAGGCTCCAGGCTCAGCCCTGCCTGGGCTTGTCTGCTGAGGTCAGTGGCTCTATCTGCCTTCTAAGGGGATGGGTGTCCCGTGGCCAGCTGTCTTCATCTTGGTGGCATCCGTGAGTCTTTTGAGACTTTTCCCCCACTCTTATGTTGCCTCTGTTCGTGTGCCCATCTCCTGTCTGTGTAGACTTTTTGAGCCTAATTGTATGCGTGCATTTCAATACCTGCCACAGGTCTGCCGGAAGGTCTACAAGGCAGTGGGGTTGCAGCTGTGTTCACTTCTCGGCCTTTAACTGCCCAAAAGGCAGGTAGATTATGGGGCCTGGTGGGGGTAGGAGGAACATGCTTCGGAACAGGAGGAGGCCCCTCCCCAGCCATCTCAATCCCCAGGACAGAACCATCACGGCACCTTTGTCATGCATCTCTCTGCTGTCTGCCAAGAAGACGGCCTCTCAGAGGAGGGGGAGGGGCAGGCCTGGGATTTGGCTGGAATCTCCACACCAGTGTTTCTCAGCTTGCCATCCTCCAGGTTCCCCAAAAGCGCTCTTCCCAAGCCAGTCCAGAGAGTCCCTGCTGCCCATTTTCCTAGTGGCTCCTAAAACACCTTCCCCAATTTCCCCACTCAACACCACCCTCTTGTTTTTAGATTATAATTTGTACTGTAGGTGGTGTATTTCTGGCCTGGGCAAGAGGCCCATTCCCGAGAGGGACGCAGACAAGGGGTGGGTGCCTGGGTCCCTGGCTGCCTTGTGGCTGGATATGAGCCCAGTCAGGGGTCAGCCTCCTGCATGCCTAGACTCCTAGCCGGCCCCCTTCTGGGGTGCTCAGGGCTGATGGGAGGTTGAGGCAGGCTTTCCTTCCTTCTCACTGTCCTGTTATGCCTGAAGGGTAGGTGGCTTCACTTCAGCCAAGGCCAGCTCTCCCAGGCCCCAACCAGTGCTGGGGGCCACCGTTGGGCCTGGAGGAGACTGGAAGCCAGGCTGAGTCATCAGAACTGGTCCCATGATTCCCTGGGTTTTAGAAAGTCACCATAAAAAGATACTTCACACACACCTTTATTATTACAGTGCAATGTCAAGACCCTTCACAGAGCACTGCCAGGGGACCCAGGTGAGGCCCACCTCTCCCCACCAGGTGTGGCGGCTGGCATGGCTGGGTGGGGAGAGGTGAGATGAGCAGCCTTGCTGCTCTCAGCCCAGCCTTCCCTTCCCCTCACTGGGAGATGAGGTGCTGTTTGGTTGAAAAACCAGCTGAAAAAACTCAGTTGGGACCAATAGAGACTTGCTCTCGACCCGGTCTAGGAAACCACTTATTTTGACTTCCGAGGCCTGTCAATCTGAAGGCAAAAGAAAGGGAAGAAATGGAGGGCTGAGGGTTCAGGCTTGGCCCACCTTGGGAGATGATCTCCCTTAATAGCAATTTAGACAAATTCCTTTGCTCACTGTGGACCAAGTCCCCTCTTCTCAACAAAGGACCCTCTGATCTCCCCCATGAGACCTGCAAACTGAGGTCACCTTATCCCAAATCCAGACACTCTTACCTCAAATAGAGGAGTCAACTCTCTAGCTGTAGCCTGTAGGGAGTCAGAGGTGAGAGCAAAAGGAGTGGGTGAGCTGGGAGGATTGGTCAGGAACAAACTAGGAGGCATGGACCAGGTTCTAAGTCCTGGCTCTGACTCCCTGGCTAATGGCACCTCCCCCTCCTGTGCCTCAGTTTCCTCACCTAGTAAAGAGGATTTGGACTCAATGAACTCTAAACTTCCTTCCAACTAAGACATAAAATTGCTGCCCCGCTCTCATATGCCCTCCCATCTACCCACCCCCCTTACTTGACATGGGAATGTAGACTTCTCTGCACACCTGTGAAGAGAAATGGGGGTAGGAAAGCTGGGAGTGGTGTTCAATGAGAAGTTGGCATAGGCCTCCCTGTACCCTGCCACCTACCTCCAAGCATCCTTCCTGGGGAATCTGGCAGGTTTTCCCCTGAAGTTTGATCAAGAGATATAGGAGGAGGCCGGGAGCGGTGGCTCATGCCTATAATCCCAGCACTTTAGGAGGCTGAGGCGGGCGGATCACTTCAGATCAGCAGTTCGAGACCAGCCTGGCCAACATGGTGAAACCCTGTCTCTACTAAAAATACCAAAAGGTGGTTTTTTTGTTTGTTTGTTTTGTTTTTTTTGCATGTGGTGGTGCATGCCTGTAATCCCAGCTACTCAGGAGGCTGAGAAACAAAAATCGCTTGAACTCAGGCAGCAGAGGGTGCAGTGAGCTGAGATCGAGCCACTGCACTCGGCAACTGCATTGCTACATGCCTCCAAACCCCAGCTGCTCATCTGAGGTTGCACAGAGACTCAGCATCAGCCTGGTGCATCACCAGACAGGAGAGCCTATGCTCACGTCAAAGGGATCACAGCAGACTGCTGGCTCTGGGCATCTGAGCAGCGCCATGCAAGGGGGCAAGTGGCTTAGGGTTCCAGGGACTCAGGGGCTGGGGCAGCCCATCCCTCAGCTAAGTTAGCTGGACACTGGAGGATAGAAGTCAAGGGCCTAGCATGTTGGGATGGCTCCTCTCCAGGGGCTTTGCAGAGAGTCCCATGCACCAAGGGGGCTAGCGGGACAGGGAAAAGTGGTGGCAAAGACCTCCCAGACAAACTGGCTGCCTCTGGTCCTATCAAGCTGCCGTACATCCTCCACACCAGGGCTTTAGGCACCATTCCACTGTGTTCCATGGTGACTGTAGGTGATGCCCCACCTTGAGAGCCCTTGGGTGCTCAGCCCTGGGTCAGAACTTGAACACCAAGTGGGAAAAGGGCTGACCAAGCACGGGAGAGGGAAGGAAAGCAGAGTGGCTAGGACGGTCAGCAACAGAGCTGTGTTCATTTAGGACATGGGTATTGAAATGGAGTTTTGAAGGCTGGCTGAGGGGCCTGCACTCCATCCCTCCCACAGTGCCCTCAGCTCCTCCACCTTCCCCACATGAACCAGTCCGCACCTATCACACCTACGGTGGGCCGTGGTCCCACCCCAGCTTTCAGGTGTTTCCGGAGAGGGTAGACGCAGCTCTAGGTCAGGAAGGATTGTTTCCTTCCCTTCTCTCCTTCTGCAGCTATGCTTGGTTCTGGCTGGCTTTTGCTGGAGTTGAAAGACTCAAGTGTGCTAAGAAGGGAGTCCTGGCCATCACAGTTGTAGTGCCAGTGTCCCCAGCTGCTCCGGTTCCCCAGCAACTCACAGACAACCGTGGTCTGGAGGGTGTGTGACTCTGAAAAGCCAAAACCCCAGAACTCCAAAGTTACAAGAGGTCAAAACAGTGGCTCTCTCCACCTCCGCTCCTACCTCCTCCCAAAATGCATGAAATTCCCTTCCTCTGACTGATAAACCCTCACTCATTCTCCAAGACATATCTTCTCTGTCAACCACATCCCCACCAAAGTCACACTGCACCCGCTCTCCCTCCCCTGCAGCATGTGGCTCCCTCCCATGTACCCAGCATGCACTGTTCAGCCACATATACTCACCCACCCTCCTGAAGGCCCAGCACAGACAGCATTGTGTTTAAATCCCTGATCTACACATCAGCTACTGGCTATATGCCCACGGCAAATGTAATGGAACCTCTCCAAGCCTTGCTTTCCTCATTTGGCAACTGGACACAATTATAGTCTCTACCACACAAGTAAAGATAACATGAGATAATCCTTGCCAGTGTTAATGTAGGACCTACCAAGAAGAATTCAAGAACTAGTAGCTGCTATTGTAAGGTGTATTATTGGTAACAGCAAAATGAACAGCACTTACTAGGCTTAAATGTTTGCTAGATGAAAAAAAATGATATTGGTTAGAAATATATTTTGCTCAGGTCACCAGGTTTCTTATTAACTACTGGTAGTGACGAGAGAGGTGAATGTCAGAAAAAGGCCAGTTTTTCCCATTTCCTGGATTTGAGAAAGTTGGATAAATTTTTTTCACCTGGCCGGGTGCGGTGGCTCACGCCTGTAATCCTAGCACTTTGGGAGGCCCAGGCAGGTGGATCACGAGGTCAGGAGTTTGAGACCAGCCTGGCCAACATGGTGAAACCCCATCTCTACTAAAAATATAAAAATTAGCCAGGTGTGGTGGCAGGCGCCTGTAATCCCAGCTACTCAGGAGGCTGAGGCAGGGGAATCGCTTGAACCTGGGAGGCGGAGTTTGCAGTGGGCTGAGATCGGGCCATTGCACTCCAGCCTGGGCAACAAGAGCAAAAAAAAAACAGACTTTTTTCACCTGAAGGGAAGGCTTGGGAGCTTAAGGACAATGGCTTCTTTCTTAGAGACCTAGTCCTTGACTGAGGGAAAGGGTGAGGGTCTTATACTTCTTTTTTTTTTTTTTTTTATTGAGACAGAGTCTTGCTCTGTCACCCAGGCTGGAGTGCAGTGGCACGATCTCGGCTCACTGCAAGCTCCACCTCGCGGGTTCATGCCATTCTCCTGCCTCAGCCTCCCGAGTAGCTGGGACTACAGGTGCCTGCCAGCGCACCCGGCTAATTTTTTTTGTATTTTTAGTAGAGACAGGGTTTCACTGTGTTAGCTAGGATGGTCTCGATCTCCTGACCTTGTGATCCACCTGCCTCGGCCTCCCAAACTGCTGGGATTACAGGCATGAGCCACCGCGCCCAGCCAGAGGGTCTTATACTTCTGTCCTACTCTTGCTAATACCTAAGACCCAGTCCTTTTGGCACCACTGGGTACATAAAACAAGGTTTGAGTCAGGGATGAACTCCCCCAGGCAGGAGGAGATAGCATCAGGATCTCAGTGAAGTGGGATGGTATCTGAGTGCCTAGCACAGTGCCCCACGCAGAGCTCAATGCATCTTAGCTGAACAATAACGAATGCAGCTGCACATCTTCAGGCCCATATTGAGCTCTTCTCTCTTTTCTGCCTCCTCCTGAGCCCCCAAGCCCAATCACCTTGGCTCTGGTTGTTGTGTGCCATGATGCTCCCCGGGATGGTGACAAGGTGCTGGGCTCTGGCCTTCAGTCTGAGAACCAGCTTCTCCCAAGCTCTTGGGTCCCTGGCCTGAGCCCAGGATGCACGGGGCTCTGCCCACCTGCCCTCCTTGCAGCATCATAAGAAAGGGTGGTCATCCAGGTAGCCTGAGACTTCGTAAGGGGCTTGCCCAGGGCTGGGCTGGGAAAGAGTAATGAAGTCATAGCACAGAGAGTGGGTTGCTGAGGAAAAGAGAATGATGGGAAAGGGTTATTTTCCAACAGGAGTCTTACCTGGGAGACACTGCACAAGGTGCCTGTGTGGTGAGGCTGTGTGACTATTTTTGAGGGCACCAAAGGAGTGGGTAAGGGGAATGCAGACTGAACAATGGGAAGGGAATCTCTTGTTTCCCTGCAGGGCCTCATCTAGGCTCATTGTTTTAAATAGTAATGACTCCCAAATCTCTTCATCCCTGTTCTTCACATCGGTATATCCAACTACCTACCTGTTGGTCATCTGGACCTAAGGTTCCATATGGCCTTAAATCTGACACATCCAAAACTGAGTATTTCCTCTTGGCCCTGGCCATGGAACAACCTGCCTCTCATCCTATATTCCTGGTGAGTGGCATCATCCTCTCACCTGCCTGCTTACTCAAGCCAGAACTGGGTTGAGGTGTGGGCAACTACCGGATGTCATGTAGCCTCCTGGCACAATAGCATGAAGTGAGCTGAGAGGTCATGGAACAAAAAGGCTCACAGACCAAATGTAAATGCTCAAATAACATCGTTTATTAAATAAATGTAAAACACATTCTGAGAAGCAGGAGGCAGGTGCTGGGGTGGGTCAACACACGGGAGAGGGGGCAAGTTGGGTGGAATGATCACACCAGCTGAACTGTGGGTCATGCAGTGTGCATCCATCCTGTCAAATTGAAACCTCCTGCATCCTGAGTGCCTCATGTCTCACGTATTTAGGGTACCGTGAATATTTAGTGCCTCCTTGGTCTTTCTGTCCCTTTTGATCTCTGTACACACGAATATGTTGTACTATCTACAGATGACTAATTTAGTTATCTATGTGTAACACTTCTTTTGAGTTTATTGTTTTCCTGTCTTCTACAGCAGAATTGGATATTCCCAAACAATCGGCAAGTCTGGTGTTTATCCTAGAGTGCTGCCTCCCTTCACACCCCCTAGTTTCAAACAGTCAGCAAGCCCTGCCCATTTTTAACTTCCTGTTTCTCCAATCTGGACATTCCTCTACCTCCACCAAACCAGCCCATAGTATGGCTTGCTTGGATTATAGCCAGAGTCTTTCTAACTGGTCTCTCTCCCTCCAGTCTTAAGCATATAAAATCTGTCCTCCTTGATATAATCAGAGTGATCTATCCAGAAATACATATCAGACCACATACCTCTCTGCTCTTCCTCTAAGGATTCCCCTTTTGTCCTCGGGATGGTTTCCAAGCTCCTTAGCAAGCTAAACAAGGCCCCTTGAAGGCTGCCGTCTCCACCCTCATCTCCCACCACACCCTGCCTTCACCTGACCCACTTGGAACAGGAAGGTTGGAGCACCTCCATACTCCTGCAGTTCCACCTCCCAGTGCCTTCCTGAGATGGTCCCCTGAAGGGAAGACCCATCCTTCCCTTCTCCAAACACCACTTAAACCACTTAAACCCTTTCATTAAACCCTTACCCTGGCCTCAAACCATCTACCACGCTGCTGTACCCCTTTATTTCAGAGACGGCTCTGACTTTCACTCAGAGGTGACACTCACCCTACCACTTGTCTATGGCTGTGCATCCCTCTTGGGGCCATCTCTTGTGGACAAGAATATGAGCCACATTCTTCATATATGAGAAAATTACACCAATCTCAGAGGATTAGAGGTCATGCCAAAAAACACACCTGGTAGTTATGTTTAAATATATTTTTAAGGCTGGGTTAAAAACCACGATGAGGCGAAACCCCATCTCTACTAAAAAAATACAAAAATTAGCTGGGCCTGGTGGTGCACGCCTGTAATCCCAGCTACTCGGGAGGCTGAGACAGGAGAATCCCTAGAACCCAGGAGGCAGAGGTTGTAGTGAGCCGAGATTGCACCACTGCACTCCAGCCTGGGCGACTGAGTGATTCTCCGTCTCCAAATATATATATACACACACACACATATACGTATATATATGTGTATATACGTATATATATATATATTTTTTTAACAAACATAGCTGCTATCATTGGCTCCTTTTCTTTTTTTCGAGACGGTCTCACTCTGTCACCCACATTGAAGTGCAGTGGCACAATCATGAGGCCCACCCCAACCTCTGCCTCCCAGGCTCAAGCGATCCTCCCACCTCAGCCTCCAGAGTAACTGGGACTACAGGCGTGCACCACCACGCCTGGCTAATGTTTTTGTATTTTCTGTATTGACAGGTTTTCCTCATGTTCCCTGGGCTGGTCTCAAACTCCTGTGTCCAAGCAATCCTCCGCCCAGCTCGGCCTCCCAAAGTCCTGGGATTACAGGCATAAGGACCTCCTACGGCCAAGTTTAAGCTTCAAGTGGGAGACATGGGACAATTACTTACCAGATACAACCAGTTTCAGAGGAAGCCCTACCTACCCTCTAAGCCTGACCTTATCTTGCAACCTCCATCGCCCCAGACCTCCCCCGGCTCCAAAAAGCACTCCCAAGAGGCCTCATAAAGGCCACAGTTTGGGGAAGGTTATGGCTCAGGGGAAGGGGAGAGGTGCTAAATAATTAAGCCCCCCTACTACTCAGCACCCGCGTGAGGCATCGTCAGGCATCGTCAGGCCTCCAGTGGTGGTGGTGGCACCGGGCCTCAACCTCCCCGGAGGGCTGGACTCTCGCTGCCAGGCTGTGGGGATCAGGCGTTGTGGGGGAGGGGGACACTTAACAGGTATGGAGGGCGGAGCAGAGCCCCGCAGTCACTGGCCTGACTTCCGGAACGAACCGTCGCCAGCAAGCACAGCAGTAGGACCAGGGGGATGCAAGAGCGGGGGCGGCCGGGGATCGTGCTTCTCGCTCAGGTCCAGATTCCCGGCAACCAGGCCGGCGGAATCACGTGCCATGCTCCAGGCCAGCGTAGTCCCGCCCATCTTCCAGCTGAGCGTACCGGGAGGCTCCCATTGGACTGGAGCTGCTACGGAGGCGGGACTTTCCCTTTTTCTTGAACCCCATTGGGTTAAGTCCAGTCCGAGACAAGCGTCTCTCCTCAGCAGTGGGAGGGGTGATTTGGCTCATCCATACTTAGGAATTTGGGGTTTGAGGCCGGGTGCGGTGGCTCACGCCTGTAATCCCAGCACTTTGGGGGGCCGAGGCGGGCGGATCACAAGGTCAGGAGATCGAGACCATCCTGGCTAACACTATGAAACCCCGTCTCTACTAAAAAAATACAAAAAAATTAGCCGGGTGTGGTGGCGGGCACCTGTAGTCCCAGCTACTCGGGAGGCTGAGGCAGGAGAATGGCGTGAACGCTGGAGGCAGAGCTTGCAGTGAGCAGAGATCGCGCCACTGCACTCCAGCCTGGGCGACAGAGCAAGACTCCGTCCCCCCAAAAAAATAATTTGGGGTTTGAGACCCGGTGCGGTGGCTCACGCCTGTAATCCCAGCATAATCCCAGCACTTTGTGGGGGGCCGAAGCGGGCGGATCACCTGAGGTCAGGAGTTGGAGACCAGCCTGGCCAACATAGCGAAACCCTGGCGCGCACTTGTAAACCCAGCTTCTCGGGAGACTGAGGAAGGAGAATCGCTTGAATCCGGGAGGCGGAGGTTGCAGTGAGCCGATATAGCTAGCGCCACTGCACTCCAGCCTGGGCGACAGAGTGAGACTCCGTCTCAAAAAAAGAGAGAGAATTTGAGGTTTAAGTTGTCTCTCCTTGGTCGCTGTGCAGTCGAGTGTTTTTATGTTCAGACCTCTTCCTGCCCATTTTATTTATTTAATTTATTATTTATTTATTTATTTATATTTTTTGATATGGAGTTTCACTCTTGTTGCACAGGCTGGAGTGCAATGGCGCGATCTCGGCTCACTACAACCTCCGCCTCCCAGGTTCAAGCGATTCTCCTGACTCAGCCTCCCTAGTAGCTGGGATTACAGGTGCCTGCCACCATACCCCACTAATTTTTTGTATTTTTAGTAGAGATGGGGTGTGTGTATACATATATATATATATATATAGCAAGTAGTCAAGAGCTAGTCTATTTTGATAGATAGCATTTCTCATCAGAGTCTCTTGCCGGGCAAGAACAGTCAAGGTTTGACGGGTTTTATTAGTAATAATTTCTAAACAGCTTGCAACCATATGATTCGGTTGAGCATGTAGATGGGGGTTCGATATCCTCATGAGCCATCTTGTGTCTAAGTGGCAGGCCTATAGTATTATATAATTTTTTTAGGAGGTCATTTATCATCTTTCCAATTACCTATGGCTATGCTTCGTTTTTCGCAGGAAGCATAGACTGGGAAGCCCAGAAGTTTACCTGTTTTTATGGGCAGTAAGAAGAAAGATGGCTTAATGGTGCCAATTACACAGCTACCTGTCCACTGATCAGGGAGCTTAGCATAAGCTCTGCGTATAACCCGGTGGGGGCTGTCCAGTCCCGGTGGAGTTCTGGGTGGGCCCAAACAGTCTGCAACTTTGGAAATTTACTGAATGGATTTCTTTCTGTGTAATTGGAACTCCACCATGTAACTTTTTGTGGTACCATTATACAGTTTTTGCCCAAGACAACTAAGCCGCCAAACAGGATCTTTTTTATCTTCTTTTTAAGTAGCCCAAATGACACAAGACCAGTATTGACACATCTCACATAAATACAATTCTTGACAGATACACTTATTTTTTTTTTACTGTGTCACTTTTTTTTTCCAATTTAGAGAACCGCATCCTATTCCATGCTGCTTACTATCAATAGCGGCACAAGCACCAAATTTTAAGGTTACATTTTTGGGGGCCCCTCTTTTTTCCGTTCTAGCTATTACCTTACTTGTGTCACCTAGAAAAGGACCAGTCCTTAATTTTATTTTAAAAACTGTGATCACGGGAGGCTTAAAATGGGTCATAACACACATCAGGTTGGTTATTCCCTGGGCTACATACCTTGGATAGCATTATACAAACAAGTTTCTTTTAGAGTCCTGGTACACTTATAATAACCATAAAATAATAGGACTGTAGCAATTTTTGTCCTACCTCAGTGACTTGATGTATATACTGGAAACAGTTCTCAATCTGAGGAAGGTCAGTTGAAGTCCTTACTGTACAAGTCCAAATTTTAAGGAAAATGAGTCCCGCAATGAGTTTCCTCATGCTTCGCCTGTGCGTGGACCAGTCAGCTTCTGGGTGTGACTGGAGCAGGGCTTGTCTCCTTCTTCAGAGTCACTTTGCAGGGGTTGGCAAAGCCGCTCCCATCCACGTACAGCTCCCAGTCTACTGATGTTTAAGGGTGGTCTCGGAGGTTAGGCCTACTAGAATAAACTGAGTCCAGCACCTCTAAACAGTTATGTTTAACTGGGCTCTCTGTTACCAGGAGTAAGGTGGCTGGGTTAGGGTGTTGGAAACTTCAATGGTTTTGTGGGGATTTTCACAGAGCAAGGTTTGGTATCTAGTTAGTCTAGCATTTATTAGCTAATGATGTCCTTTGGTATTTATTAAAGTCACCACAGCATGGGGAGACTTTCTGTTTAGGTTTTGCCTAAGAGTTAGCTCATCTGCTTCTTGTGCTAACAGGGCAGTTGCTGCCAGGGCCCTTGGACATGGGGGCCAGCCTTTGGAAACCCCGTCTAGTTGTTTTGAGAGATAGGCCCCTGGCCTTGACCAGGGCCCTACAGTCTGGGTTAAAACTCCAACTGTCATTTTTTCTCTTTCTGACACACAGAGTGTAAAGAGTTTTGTCAGGTCAGGTAGCCTCAGGGCTGGGGCCGACATGAGTTTTTCTTTTTAACTAATGAAAAGCTCTTTGCTGTTGGTTGTAATAGATGTAGTTTATCTAATCTACATTTTTGTTGACTGTCATCTACTAAAATATTGACTTAAATCCTGTAACTATTTGATTTCAAGCTTTAAATTGATCTGGTATTCCTTGTGGGGCTCCAATTGCATTTAAGTAGATGTGAGAATTGAAAGACCTATAAGGGGCTTCTCTCGTTTTATGATGTCTTACTTTTTTTTTCCTCTGGTTGATGAAATGCCAGGGTGAAAGGGATAGCCAAATGGACTAAAGCACAAGTGCCACTCTAGTTATTCAGCAGAGTGCCCAGTAAAGGTCCACCCCGATACCACCATACATCCTCTCGGGGATGAACAAGGGCTGACTGATTGATAAGCTCTTGGAAACTCTTAAGCTCACTGCATCCCTTCAGGTCTCCAAGGAATGCTAAATCTCCTCCCTGCCGTGAGAGACAAGAAGTGAACTTAGTGTTGGGAGATGGAAGCTGGATGGCCCTCGGGGGCTGACCCACAGAGACTTCGGGATATAGCAGAGAGAGCTTGGCATGACTTATTACTCCAGGCTGTAGAATCCTGGAAAAGAGCTACCATGCAGCCCACACCTGGTCGACTGGAGGACCACCTTAGTGGAAGAGGGACAATCAGGGCCTCTGGCCTGCCATGTGCACAAGCATAACAATTGATTTTGTTTAACGTGCAGATGGAATATTTAATCCATTCCAACCAGGCATTTGCATCTTGGTATGCTGTCTTAACTGCCAAAGTTTGTTTTAAGTCTTTAACTTCTATGATCCTCTAGTAAAATGAATGTTTCCTTTAGCATCTATTTTTATTAGTTTTTAGACCAAAGAAAGCTAAACACCATTTTATATTTAATAATGCTTCTTGTATGATTTTTATACCAGGTAAGCTAAATTTTACCTTTATATTAGTGTGTTATTAATGTTAAACTTAATTTTAATAAAACTTTGTAGACATATTTATCCAATTTTTCATGTTTGACCATAAGGTAAGGTTTTATAGACTCTTTTTAACCTTTTATAATTTTTGTTAAAGAGCAGGTTGATGCTTTAAGAAAAACCTGTCACATTTTTACTTTAATGTCCAGTTCACAGAAAAACTGGACGATACCTTTTTAACTTTAGCCAATATGTTTACACACAGAATTTTCTTTACAATTAACATTTTAAAATTTGCTTACACTTTCAAAACAATAATTTTTTTAACCTTTTAATGTAGGTAAAAATCCACATTCTTATGCCTCCTTATAATCTTTTTACCAAAGGTATATTTTACTTTTCTTATACACCTTGCACATAAACTGTTTTTTTTTTTAAATAGTACTCAGGAGGCCTTATTACTTTTAAATTACACAATATTTTTTGCATAAATTTTTTTATAACATTTTTTCTTTCACGACTTTCGCCGACAATTCTTCAACATGTCTCAACTTTCTGACTTATTACAAACATTTTTTTTTCTTTAAACAACCAGTTAATTTATTTCAGGACAAGAATTTACCATATAACACTCTTTTTACATAAATTCTGCCTCCCCCGCTTTTTTTTTTTTAAAGTGAACTTTTTTTTTGTCTTTGGACTAGACTGTCTAAGGCCACAAGATTAGAAGTTACCATAATACATGTTATACTGTTAATTTTTAGCAAACTTCACTTTTGTTGAAAACCTTGTAAGTTTGGGATTTCAATTATCCTTTGCTATTAATAAGACCTTGTTTAGTCTAAATTAACTTAGAATTGGTATAGATGGCCTTTTTTTCTCTCTGCTGGTCTTTCCTTGCCTCTGCCAGATGCTTATGCTACTGTTCTCTTAACTACTGTAGGGGGAAGGGGGTCTAAAACCAGCTGTAACTGTCTATGTACAGAAACTGGTCTGGATGCCTTGGCTTACAGGTTACTTTGTGTCATACCTTTGAAACAAGGGACCTGTCCAGGCTTCCTTCTGATGGCCAACCCACCTCTAATGCTGGCCAGTCTATTTCACAAGTTCTAAGTTTTCCTGGTGTCACAGTAACATCGTAATCTCCCTTAAATTCTTTCTTGAAAAAAAATTTTTTTTAACATAGTTCCTAGTGGGGTGGGCTTATTTGTGCCTGACCCATGCTTCTTCGAGACAAAACACCACGCTCACACCACACGTGCACTACAAAACAAAAAAACAGGGCACACACACTTTTGCAGTTTACACCAAACCAAAATCAGAGTATCCAAAAACCCAAGCCAGGTCAAAACCAAAACCAAAACCAAAGTATCACACAATCTAAGTCAAGTCAAAACCAGAATAAAAGTGCCAGTACAGGCACACCATGGGTGATCAGGCCATGCTTCCACTCAGATGGAGTGGGGCAAGTTCCAAAGACTAGTCTTACCAAGTTTCAGATGTCCGGACTCCAAGTGCCAGTTCCTTCCCAGTGTTCAGCCAGTGTGTTAATCCTCCTTGGGGGCCTGCTACGTGCTGCTCTGGCGAGGCGTTCCACCCGGGGAATTTCCTACCCGGGAGCGCTCTTTGGATCGCGTCACTCAGGCTGGCCAGAGTCCACCGCAGGGATGCTCCACAGGGCAGGCCTAAGCCACCCAAGGGGCTGCCTTGGCCGTCCGTCAGTTACCTCGCTTCCTGTTCAGGGAACCAAGAAATGTAGCAGGACGAGCCCCAGACAAAACCTTTCAGACACCGAGTTGTAGAAGGAAGGGCTTTATTCAGCTGCGAGCATCGGCAAGCTACTGCCTTAAAATCCAAACTCCCTGAATGCACAATTTCTGTCCCTTTTAAGGTCTCACAACACTAAAGATTTCACATGAAAGTGTCGTGATTGATTTGAGTACGCAGGTGGTACGTGACAGGGGCTGCATGCACTGGTGGTCAGAGAGAAACAGAACAGGGCAGGGAGTGTCACAATGTTCTTCTATACAATGTCTGGAATCTAGGAATAACATCGCGTTCTAAGTCATGGGTTGATTTTTAACTACTGGGTTTAGGCCAGGCAGGCCCAGGCCTGGTTTCGGGCCTGGCGCCAGGCTGCCTGTCTTTGGTTTTACTTCCTTGTTTTTTCTTAAAACAGGTACTGAGTATAAAGCAATATAAAACAATACGAAAGGGTCTCTCTCTTCCCTCAAAGGGAATAGGCTGCTGTGGAGAAAGGTAAATAAATGGTGGAAAGAATTACATGGGGGATTAACTAATCTGTATACCAAATCCCCATGACAGGCAATTTACTTCTATAACAAACCTGCTCATGTAAAAGGTTTTTGGCCGGGCATGGTGGCTCACGCCTGTAATCCCAGCACTTTGGGAGGCTGAGGTGGGTGGATCACTTGAGGTCAGTAGTTTAAGACAAGCCTGGCCAACATGGTGAAACTCCATCTCTACTAAAAATACGAAAATTAGCCGGGCATGGTTGCACGCACCCGTAGTCCCAGCTACTCGGGAGGCTGAGGAAAGGGAATGGCTTGAACCTGGGAGGGGGAGGTTGCAGTGAGTCGAGATCATGCCACTGCACTCCAGGCTGGGTGACAGAGTGAGACTGTGTCTCAAAAAAAAAAAAAAGCAAAAAGTTTTTAAAAGAAAATAGTGGAAAGACAGAGACCCTAGAAGAGGGAGAAGGCCTAAGGCAATTTCTTCTTCCTCTCTTCCCCATCATTCTTTCAGCCACTGTGGAGAGAGGGAGAGTACGGGGTGCAGGGTAGATGAGAGTAGACAATTCTGATTATTTGAGGAGGGTTTGTGGTTTAGGAAGTGAGCTTCTCACTGATTTTATTTATTTATTTTGAGACGGAGTCTCACTCTGTCACCCAGGCTGGAGTGAGATCTCAGCTCACTGCAACCTCCACCTCCCGGGTTCAAGTGATTCTCCTGCCTCAGCCTCACGAGTAGCTGGGACTACAGGCATGCACCACCATGCCTGGCTAATTTTTTGTATTTTTAGTAGAGATGGGGATTTCACCATGTTGGCCAGGCTGGTCTCAAATTTCTGACCTCAGGTGATCTGCCCACCTCGGCCTCCCAGAGTGCTGGGATTACAGGCGTGAGCCCCGCACCTGGCCTAAAAACTTTTATATTAAGTTCAGGGGTATATGAGCAGGTTTGTTATAGAGATAAATTGCCTGTCACGGGGGTTTAGTGTACAGATTAGTTAATTCCCCTTGTAATTTTTTCCATCATTTATTTACCTTTCTCCACAGCAGCCTATTCACCTAACAATAAACTGAGTGCCCATTATGTACCAAGAACTGAAGATAAGGATATGAGTAAGGAATCTTACTTATCTCCAGTTCTTATAGCATATACTCATTCTGTTTCTCTTTCCTTTGGCCTAGTTTGAGTGCCCAGCAGGTGTTTCAAGTCACTGATTACGTATCTACTCTGCGAAAGTTGTTTGTGCAGCCTGTTTATCCTCTCCTTTGGAACTTCAGTACTCTTTTTTTTTTTGAGACGGAGTCTTGCTCTGTTGCCCAGGCTAGAGTTCAGTGGTGTGATCTCGGCTCACTGCAAGCTCTGCTTCCCGGGTTCATGCCATTCTCCTGCCTCAGCCTCCCGAGTAGCTGGGATTATGGGTGCCTGCCACCACGCCTGGCTAATTTTTTTGTATTTTTAGTAGAGACGGGGTTTCACCATGTTAGCCAGGATGGTCTCGATCTCCTGACCTCGTGATCCGCCTGCCTCAGCCTCCCAAAGTGCTGGGATTACAGGTGTGAGCCACCGTGCCCGGTGTGCCCTGCTAATTTTTTGTATTTTTTTTTTTTTGAGATGGAGTCTTGCTCTGTCGCCCAGGCTGGAGTGCAATGGTGTGATCTGGCTCACTGCAATCTCCACCTCTCGGGTTCAAGTGATTCTCCTGCCTCAGCCTCCCAGGTAGCTGGGACTACAGGCATGTGCCACTACGCCCAGCTAATTTCTTGTATTTTTAGTAGAGATGGGGTTTTACTGTGTTAGCCAGGATAGTCTCAATCTCCTGACCTCGTGGTCCACTGGTCCACCTGCCTTGGCCTCCCAAAGTACAGGAATTACAAGCGTGAGTCACCACACCCAGCCAATTTTTTGTATTTTTAATAGAGATGAGGTTGCACCATGTTGGCCAGGCTGGTCTTGAACTCCTGACCTCAGGTGATCCTTCCACCTCGGCCTCCTAAAATGCTGAGATTACAGGTGTGAGCCACCACACCTGGCCCAATTATCTTATTTATTATCATTATTATTTTTGAGACGGAGTTTTGTTCTTGTTGCCCAGGCTGGAGTGCAATGGCACAATCTCAGCTCACCGCAACCTCTGCCTCCTGGGTTCAAGTGATTTTTCTGCCTCAGCCTCCTGAGTAGCTGGGATCACAAACCCCTGCCACCACCCTCGGCTAATTTTGTATTTTTGGTAGAGACAGGGTTTCTCCATGTGGGCCAGGCTAGTCTCAAACTCCTGACCTCAGGTGATCCGCCCACCTCGGCCTCCCAAAGTGCTGGGATTACAGGCATGAGCCACAGCCCCCGGCTACTTTTTATTATTAACATTAAAATATTTTTGTTTAATTAATTTATTTATTTTTAAAATTATTATTATTACTTTGTTTACTTTAAGTTCCAGGATACATGTGCAGAATGTGCAGGTTTGTTACATAAGTATACATGTGCCATGGTGATTTCTGCACCTATCAACCTGTCATCCAGGTTTTAAGCCCCGCCTGCATTGGGTATTTGTCCTAATGCTCTCCCTCCCTTTGTCCCCAACCCTATTTTATTTTTTTGAGACAGAGTCTCCCTCTATTGCTCAGGCTGGAGTGCAGTGGTGTGATCTCAGCTCACTGCAACTTCCACCTCCCAGGGTCAAGCGATTTTCCTCTCTCAGCCTCCTGAGTAGCTGGGACTACAGGTACACACCACACACCTGGATGATTTTTGTATTTGCTTGCAGAGACAGGGTTTCGCCAGGCTGGTCTCAAATTCCTGACCTCAAGTGATCCACCCACTTTGGCCTCCCAAAATGCTGGGATTACAGGCGTGAGACACCGTGCCCAGCAAAAATATTTTTATTTTAAAATTTATTAAATTTATTAAAATTTTATTTTAAAATTTCACCATTTACAAAAAGTGAAATGATCAGATCTTTAGCAAATCCATCAATGAATTTTGACAAGTACATGTCACCCACACCCCTGTCAAGATATAGAAAGTTCTCTTTGCCCTCTTTGATTCTGCCCTACCCCTGAGTAGCCATGGATCTGATGACTATCACTATAGAGCAGTTTTTCCTAATTTTTTTTTTTTTTTTGAGATGGAGTCTTACTCTGCCACCCAGGCTGGAGTGCAATGGCACGATCTCGGCTCACTGCAACCTCTGCCTCCTGGGTTCAAGAGATTCTCCTGCCTCAGCCTCCTGAGTAGCTGGGAGTACAGGTGTGAGCCACCATGACTGGCTAATTTTGTACTTCCAGTAGAGATGGGGTTTCGCTATGTTCACCAGGCTGGTCTCAAACTCCTGACCTCAGGTGATCCACCCGCCTCGGCCTCCCAAAGTGCTGGGATTACAGGTGTGAGCCACTGTGCTGGGCTGCCTGTTTTAAAACTTCCTATAAATGCATGCATAGGTATGGCCTCTTTTGTGTCTGGCTTTTTGTATTTGGCATAATATCTATGTAATCCATCCATGTTGTTGCACCTATAAGTAGTTCATTCTTTCTTTAAAAAAAAATTTTTTTTTTAAATTTTGAGAGAGTCTCACTGTCTTAGGCTGCAGTGCAGTGGTGAGATCTCAGGTCACTGCAACCTCCACCTCCCAGGTACAAGCATTTCTTCTGCCTCAGCCCCCTGAGTAGCTGGAACTACAGGTGTGTGCACCACCACGCCTGGCTAATTTTTGTATTTTTAGTACAGATGGGATTTCCCAGCTACTCCAGAGGCTGAGGCAGGAGAATCACTTGAACCCAGAAGGCAGAGGTTGCAGTAAGCCGAGATCGCACCATTGCACTCTAGCCTGGGCGGCAAGAGTGAAACTCTGTCTCAAAAAAAAGCCAGGTGTTGTGGCTCACACCTGTGGTCCCAGCTGGTGGGGAGCCCAAGAGTTCAAGCCTTCAGTGAGTGGTAGTCATACTAGTATACCCCAGCCTGGGTGACAGAGTGAAACCTTGTCTCAGAAAGAAAAAAAAAAACAAGATGAAGGAAAGCATATGTAGTTTGCTAAAATTTATGTGGAAAGAGGGAAATTATATGTATATACACACACACTTATATTTGCTTGCATATGCATAAAACGTCTAAGTTTGTTTGTTTTTTTTGGGACAGAATCTGACTGTCACCCAGGCTGGAGTGCAATGGTGCAATCTCAGCTCACTGCAACCTCCGCCTCCCGGGTTCAAGTGATTCTCCTGCCTCAGCCTCCCAAGTAGCTGGATTACAGCCTTCTGCCACCATGCCCACTAATGTTTTGTATTTTTAGTAGAGACAGGGTTTTGCCATGTTTTCCAGGCTAGTCTCGAACTCCTTACCTCAGGTGATCCGCCCGCCTCGGCCTCCCAAAGTGCTGGAATTACAGGCGTGGGCCACCAAGCCCGAACAAATGTCTTAAGTTTGTTTTCTTTCTTTCTTTAATTAATTAATTTATTTATTTATTTTTCGAGACGGAGTCTTGCTCTTGTCGCCCAGGCTGGAGTGCAATGGCAAGATCTCGGCTCACTGCAACCTCTGCCTCCCGGGTTCAAGTGATTCTCCTGCCTCAGCCTCCCAAGTAGCTGGGATTACAGATGCCCACCACCACACCCGACTAATTTTTGTATTTTTAGTAGAGACGGGGGTTTCATCATGTTGGCCAGGCTGGCCTCGAACTCTTGACCTTGTAATCCACCTGCTTCGGCCTCCCAAAGTGCTGGGATCACAGGCTTGAGCCACTGCACCCGGCCAAGACAGAGACTTTTTGCCTTTTGAACCTTTTGAATTTTTAACCAAGTGAAAACACAAAAGGTAATTCCAAGGAGGAAAAAAACCCAAAAAACTCACAGTGAAAATTTAAGAAAAAAACTCAGCCTGATAGAATTCTCTTACCTTCATTAAGAGAAAACAAAAATTGTAGCTGGGGCCAGGCGCGGTGGCTCACGCCTGTAATCCCAGCACTTTGCGAGGCAGAGGCAAGCGGATCACGAGGTCAGGAGATGGAGACCATCCTGGCTAACACGGTGAAACCCTGTCTCTACTAAAAATACAAAAAATTAGCCGGGTGTGGTGGCGGGCACCTATAGTCCCAGCTACTCAGGAGGCTGAGGCAGGAGAATGGCGTGAACCCGGGAGGCAGAGCTTGCAGTGAGCCAAGATCATGCCACTGCACTCCAGCCTGGGTGACAGAGCGAGACTCCATCTCAAAAAAAAAAAAAATTGTCTAAAAATTATATCACTCCTTTTTTTTTTTTTTTTTTTGAGTTGGAGTCTTGCTGTGTTGGCCAGGCTGGAGTGCAGTGATGCAATCTTGGCTCACTGCAACCTCTGCCTTAAGAGCTCAAGCAATTCTCTTGCCTCCTGAGTAGCAGGGACTACAGTTGCATGCCACCATGCCCAGCTAATTTTTGTATTTCTAGTAGAGATGGGGTTGCACCATGTTGACTAGGCTGGTCTTGAACTCCTGACCTCAAGCGATCCACCGTGGCCCACCCTCAGCCTTTCAAATTTCTGGCATTACAGGCATGAGCCACTGCTCCCAGCCAAACTGCAGTCTTTACAAGGGATTCTTTTTTTTTTTTTTTTCTGATGGAGTTTTGCTGTTGTTGCCCAGGCTGGAGTGCAAGGATGCAATCTTGGCTCACTGCAACCTCTGCCTTCCATGTTCAAGTGATTCTCCTGCTTCAGCCTCCCCAGTAGCTGAGATTACTGGTGCATGCTACCACACCCGGCTAATTTTTAGTAGAGATGGGGTTTCACCATGTTGGCCCGGCTGGTCTCGAACTCCTGACCTCAGATGATCCACCCTCCGCGGTCTCCCAAAGTGCTGTGATTACAGGTGTGAGCCACCATGCCTGGCCTTTACAAGGGATTCTAATGGTCTAATGCGACAGTTGTGGCTTCAGTGAGCTCAGGGTGCCCTCTGGTGTCCATGTGGGCCCAAGGATGTGATATTTAGAAAAAACACTTGTAATTCTGGGGGACATGTAATTGAAGCCACTTGCCAACTTTTCAAGATTCTTATTTTTTTTTTTTTTTTGGAGACAGAGTCTCGCTCTGTTGCCCCATCTGGAGTGCAGTGGTGCAATCTTCTCGGTTCACTACAACCTCCGCCTCCCTGGTTCAAGCGATTCTCTGCCTCAGCCTCTGGAGTAGCTGGGACTACAGGTGCATGCCACCATGCCTGGCTACTTTTTGTATTTTTTGCAGAGACAGGGTTTCACCATGTTGGCCAAGGTGGTCTGGAACTCCTGGCCTCAAGTGATCCATTGGCCTTGGTCTCCCAAAGTGCTGGGATTACAGGTGTGAGCCACCATGCCCGGCCTTTTTATTTTATTTTTTTTGAAACAGAGTCTCACTTTTTTGCCCAGGCTGGAATGTTGGTGGCCTGATCTCTGCTCACTGTAACCTCCACCTCCCGGGCTCCAGCGATCCTCCCACCTCAGCCTCCCAAGTGGCTGGGATTACAGGCGTGCGCAACCAAAGATTCTCATTCTTAGCCCATTCTGTTATCCCTATGAGTCTGCTAATAGTTGTCATACTAGGTCACCCTGTATTTGGATCAGAAGGTACGGTAGGAGCGCCTAGCGTCATATCCCAGGCCCAAACAGCTGAGGGCAGTAGAGTAAGGCCTGCAGGTCAATGCTTCGAGGAGGGGTGGGAAGGATTGAGGGTTTGGGGGCCAGACTGTGTAGTGGCAGGAACCCCAGGTGCTGTGTGAAGCAGAGAGCATGCATCACCCTCTGACCCACATTCAGTTTCTTCCTGGGTGTCTGCAATTCCCGGGACTCCCAAGGAATTCAAATGCTGCAGCCTTGGGCTTGCGAATTCTCCAGGATGGGCAGAGTATGGTCTTATTTATCCTACACTTCTGCCTCATAGTGCTCTCCCAGTCCTCTTCTGTTATTAGAGATCAAACCAGGTTGCTTTAGGGCAGTGATTCTCAAAGTGTAGTCCTGGGACAAACAGCACTGGCATCACCTGGAAACTTGTTAGAAATGCAATTCTCAGCTGGGCGCAGTGGCTCACGCCTGTAATCCCAGCACTTTGGGAGGCTGAGGCGGGCGGATCACCTGAGGTCAGGAGTTCGAGACCAGCCTGGCCAACATGGTGAAACCCTGTCTCTACTAAAAATACAAAAAATTAGCCGAGCGTGGTGGCAGGCGTCTGTAATCCCAGCTACCTGGGAGGCTGAGACAGGAGAATCACTTGAACCCGGGAGGCGGAGGTTGCAGTGAGCCAAGATTGCGCCATCGCACTCCAGCCTGGGGGACAATAGCAAGACTTCGTCTCAAAATAAATAAATAAATAAATAAATAAGGAAATGCAATTCTCTGGCCTGGCCCACACATATTATATCAGAAACTGCAGTTTAACCTCCCCCCACCCCTGGAGAATTCTGCTTTTCGAATCAGGCCTTTCTCTTTTTCTGTCTGTCTTAAGTCTCAACATTGAGTAGCTGTGATTTTGGAATAGTCAGATGTGGGACACCCTTTCTTGCCAGGAAGCATCTGGCTCCTCAGTCAGCTTAGTCTGATTCTTGGCCTGGCCCAGGGAAAGAAATTCATGTTCTGAATTCTGAGCAATGCTCTCTTGTCCCAGGTGCCTGTTGGGCTCCTACTTACACCTCAAAACATAGCTTGAACATTGTCTCTTTTGTGAACTTTCTGTGACTCCTAGGTCAGAGAAGATGGTCTACTTGTGAGTTTGCAAAGCATGTGTACATGTCCTGCCAACCATTAGTGTTACAATTTCCTGACTGATCTCTGCCTGAGCAAGACTGGGACAACCTTGAGCGCAAGGGGGGTTTGGTTCCTCTTACCTCAGCCCCAGCTCCTTAAACACAATGCCTGGCACGTGGTAGGTATTTGATAAATATTTATTCAATGAAGGAACTGCCTGCAATGGCCTGGTAGACAGGAAAGCGGAATGAAAGCAGGCCAAAAGTGGCTGGGAGAAGATTTTCTAAATCCCGATGTTGGGCACAGGGACCCCTGAAGTTTTCTTTTGGAACCTTCCTATCTGTCTTGTTCTCCTCTCACCAGGCACATCCCTGCCCTCCAGAGCCCACTTAGTCACACACTACCTTTCAGGACTACCTTCCACATCAGCCAGGTGCAAACCCCACAATGACTTCTGCCATGGCTCCCAATGCTTGGCTGCAACTCTGAGGCCAATTTCAGTGAGAGTAAGGAGCTTATCCAATGGAAGTGTCACTAGGAGTGACAATGGCTGGCTTGAAGATTAGGGAAATAGTGTTTACATTTCAAAAGAGAAGACTGCTCCACAAGGAATGTACAGTTTTGATATGTGCAGGGCTCAGGTCTTCAGGGGATAAATAAGTTCCTAAATGCGCCATCAACAGGAATTTCCTTCAGGATAAGTAGGAAAAGAACATTTAGGCTTTTTAATTAAAATTTTATTTTACATGTTTTTAAAATTCACAATAGATATTTTATCCTAAAATAAAGTAAAACCGAGAGGTGACAGCGTGCTGGCAGTCCTCACAGCCCTCGCTTGCTCTCCGCGCCTCCTCTGCCTGGGCTCCTACTTCGGCGGCACTTGAGGAGCCCTTCAGCCCACCGCTGCACTGTGGGAGCCCCTTTCTGGGCTGGCCAAGGCCGGAGCCCTCTCCTTCAGCTTGCGGGGAGGTGTGGAGGGAGAGGCGCGAGCGGGAACCGGGGCTGTGTGCCGCGCTTGCCGGCCAGCTGGAGTTCCGGGTGGGCGTGGGCTTGGCGGGCCCCGCACTCGGAGCAGCCGGCCAGCCCTGCTGGCCCCTGGCAATGAGGGACTTAGCACCCGGGCCAGCAGCTGCGGAGGGTGTACTGGGTCCCCCAGCAGTGCCAGCCCACCAGCGCTGCGCTCGATTTCTCACCGAGCCTTAGCTGCCTTCCCGCGGGGCAGGGCTGGGGACCTGCAGCCCGCCATGCCTAAGCCTCCCACCCACTCCAAGGGCTCCTGTGCGGCCCGAGCCTCCTCGACGAGCACCACCCCCTGCTCCACGGCGCCCAGTCCCATCGACCACCCAAGGGCTGAGGAATGCAAGCGCACCATGCGGGACTGGTAGGCAGCTCCACCTGCAGCCCCTGTGCGGGATCCACTAAGTGAAGCCAGCTGGGCTCCTGAGTCTGGTGGGGACGTGGAGAGTCTTTATGTCTAGCTCAGGGATTGTAAACACACCAATCAGCACCTTGTGCCTAGCTCAGGGTTTGTGAGTGCACCAATCCACACTCTATCTAGCTGCTCTGGTGGGGCCTTGGAGAACCTTTATGTCTAGCTCAGGGATTGTAAATACACCAATCGGCACTCTGTATCTAGCTCAAGGTTTGTAAACACACCAATCAGCACCCTGTGTTTAGCTCAAGGTTTGTGAATGCACCAATCTACACTCTGTATCTAGCTGCTCTGGTGGGGCCTTGGAGAACCTTTTTGTCCATACTGTGTATCTAACTAATCTGATGGGGACTTGGAGAACCTTTGTGTCTAGCTCAGGGATTGCAAACGCACCAATCAGCACCCTGTCAAAACAGACCACTCGGCTCTACCAATCAGCAGGATGTGGGTGGGGCCAGATAAGAGAATAAAAGCAGGCTGCCCGAGCCAGCAGTGGCAACCCAGTCGGGTTCTCTTCCACACTGCTAAAGCTTTGTTCTTTCGCTCTGCAATAAATCTTGCTACTGCTCACTCTTTGGGTCCATAGTGCTTTTATGAGCTATAACACTCACTGTGAAGGTCTACAGCTTCACTCCTGAAGCCAGCAAGACCAAAAGCCCACCAGGAGAAACAACTCCAGACGTGCCGCCTTAAGAGCTATAACACTGACCGTAAAGCTCTGTAGCTTCACTCCTGAGCCAGCGAGACCACGAACCCACCAGAAGGAAAAAACTCCGGACACGTCCGAACATCAGAAGGAACAAACTCCAGACGCGCCACCTTAAGAGCTGTAACACTCACCGCGAGGGTCCGCAGTTTCATTCTTGAAGTCAGTGAGATCAAGAACCCACCAATTCCGGACACAAAACTTGCTTAATTACAGAAAATATGAAAAGTATATAAAAGCAGGGTCTCACTCTGTCGTCCAGGCTGGAGTGCAGTGGTGTGATCACGGCTCACTGCAACCTCAAACTCCTGGTCTCACACGATCCTCCTGCCTCGCCTCCGAAAACTCTAGTTTTACAGATATGAACCATAGCGCCAGCTCTTACTGTCTTTCTTCAACACGTCCTCCCATCCTTCCCTCCTTTATCCACTCTGCATTTGACCCCAGTGTATTCCAGCCTCCAGGCCAACACACGTGACCACGTCTGCCTGGGGCAGGTGAAGTAAAGGACGCGAGGCGGCGCTGTCACCGCATTCTGTGAACCGCAGCGCTCTGGGTCCCTCCCGCTGGTCTAGTATCATTTCAGTGAACGTCACTCTACATTTTTTTTGTGTGTGTGTGAGATGGAGTCTCTGTCGCCCAGGCTGGAGTGCAGTGGCGCGATCTCGGCTCCCTGCAAGCTCCGCCCCCCGCGTTCACGCCATTTTTCTGCCTCAGCCTCCGAGTAGCTGGGACTACAGGCGCCTACCACCACACCCGGCTAATTTTTGTATTTTTAGTAGAGAAGGGGCTTCACCATGTTGGCCAAGCTGGTCTTGAACTCCTGACCTCAAGTGATCCGCCCGCCATGGTCTCCCAAAGTGCCGGAATTACAGGCGTGAGCCACCGCGCTCGGCTGTCACTGCAGACTTTGATGGGGGCCACACTCGGGGTATAAATTAGGATCCTCACTGAAAGCGGGGGACCATGGAGGCTTTTTCTTGGCCCCTTAGTTGTGGGTTTTCCTCTGGGCGGCGAAGCCAGTTTCCATCAGAACGGCCCAGAGGCGGGCGCTGCCTTCCTGGGGTGACGCAGCAGCAGGAAGAGTTTCCGGATCCTGGAATCCGTGGGCGGCCCGTGGGAGGGACTGAGGCTCATTTCTCTACTCACCTGTCTCCGAATCCGCCGTGGTGTTTCAAGCGAGTCAAGATTCCAGACGCGCCCCAGGCTGGACTCGGAATTACTGCCCCGCGGGTCTGCATTTTCACAGCGGCAGGTGTGAGTTCCCCGCCGCTGGAGACCAGAAGCCTGAAGGCAGCTCCGCCCACCCCAGCCCACAGCGCCGTTATTCCGTTTCTATATCAGTAAACACTTGTCATTTTCCGTAGACCAGGGCGGGGTGACGGGTGATCCCAGTCCTCGCAGTGAACTCTGGGGCGCAGAATTCAAAACGCCTGCGGTCGCCGAGCGCAGCCCCGCCCTGGGTTATGTAAGTGACAGCGCTGGGCCGTTTCTCTTTTTTTTCCGGACCCCGCAGTGGCGCCTAAAGTCTGCAAGGAGGAGGTCGCCTCTGTGCTGTGAGTCCAGGAATCTAAGGCGAGTGCTGAGGGAGAAAATGTAGTTGATGGGGCAGAGCAGAAGGGGCTGTAGGTGGGTTGGAGGGGGAGGGGAACGGGCAGCCAGGCCTGGACCCTGGGGAGTGACTCACCCGGAGCCGAAGACCATCTCAGCTTTCCCTAGCCCAGAAAGGGTGGGACTGGCTTTATTTCTGCCTGCCATCACCTCAAAATGCCGTGGGACAAATCTTACATATTATTATTGTTATTTATTTATGTATTTTATTTTTTTTTTGAGACAGTCTTGGTCTGTCACCCAGACTGGAGTGCAGTGGCGCCATCTGGGCTCACTGCAACCCCCGCCCCCCCCGGGTTCAAGCAATTCTTCCTGCCTCAGCCTCCCAAGTAGCTGCGATTACAGGCACCCCCCACCACGCCCGGCTAATTTTTATATTTTTAGTAGAGACGGGGTTTTGCCATGTTGTCCAGGCTAGTCTCGAACTCCTGACCTTAGGTGATCCACCCGCCTCGGCCTCCCAAAGTGCTGGGATTACAGGTGTAAGCCACCGCGCCTGGCCGGGAAATATCTCTTACAGAAATAAAGACAGTTGGCTGGGTGTGGTGGCTCACCTGTAATCCTAGCACTTTGGGAGGGTGAGGCAGACAGATGGTTTGAGCCTAGGAGTTTAACACCAGCCTGGGCAAAATGGTGAAACCCCTTCTCCACCAGAAATACAAAAAATTAGCCAGGTGAGGTGGCTCATGCCTGTAGTCCCAGCTACTCCGGAAGCTGAGGTGGGAGGATCACCTGAGCCTGGGGAGGTCGCGGCTGCAGTGAGCCATGATTAACCCACAACTGCACTCCGCCTGGGTGACAGAGTGAGGCCCTGTGTCAAAAAATAAGAAAGAAAGAAGAGAGAGAGAGAGGAAGGGAGGGAGGGAGGGAGGGAGTTGAGGTTCAGAATATGTAACAGTGTTTATTGCTATACTCCATTCAATGGACTATGGACTATTATGCAGTGATTTAAAAGTAGGAGTTTGGGCTCACACCTGTAATCTCAGCATTTGGGAGGCTGAGGTGGGCGGATCACTTGAGGTCAGGAGTTCGAAACCAGCCTGGTCAACATGGTGAAACCTCGTTTCTACTAAAAATACAAAAATTACCCTGGCATGGTGGCACACGCCTGTAATCTCAGTTACTTGGGAGGCTGAGGCAGGAGAATCACTTGAACTTGGGAGGTGGAGGTTGCAGTGAGCTGAGATTGCATCACTGCACTCCAGCCTGGGGGACAAGAGCAAAACTCCGTCTCAAAAAAAAAAAAGATATTTCCCACCTTGGATTGCTGGGTCGGGGGGTGGTGGGTATTTTCATTCATAATTGTCAGATTACTTTCATAAACAATGGAAACAGTTTCAGGCTCCTCAGCTTCTCACCTCCAAAATGGGCCTTTTCCTGTATCATTAACAGTCCTCAATGTTCTGGCTAATCAACTGAGCGACTGTTTATAGATTTGCAGGCCATTTGGATTTACAATTAATCTTATTAATGAGGCTGAAATGTGAAGTTTATCTCAGCCTCAAGGAAGTAATTCAGCAAGGATCAGTGGTTTCACTTAACAGTCTGGCTCTGAGGCTGGCTGTGGCCCTGTTATCCATGGTGAGCACCATGGGAATGCAGGCAAGGGCTGTGAGAGGCTTGGAACAAGGCTCCACCCAGGAGAGATCTGGGTGGGCGTTGGTGACCAGTAGAACCTAGGTGTCCTGGGCCAGTGCCCTTGGAGACTAGTCTTCTTTACCCCAGGCATCTTCTTTATTCTGGAATGAGCCTGTCCATCCCTCAGGAAGACTGAAAGGAATTCGGTCAGAAGAATATTATTGACTTTTGTCCAGACTTGATTTCAGTAGAGTTCTGGGACCTGCCATATCCTATGGGTGAGCTCTATCCAGGTCCCCTTCCCTGAATTACCTGTCCTCTCCCCACTGACTGGGATGACACCTAATTTTACAACCTGCTGTAGCATCTTTGCTCCCACTGTGACAGTAAACTCCTTGAGACTGGTGGCCATCTTGGGAAGTGATTAGATTCAGAAGAGGTTGAGAGGTTGGGGCCCCCATGATGGGATTAGTGTCCTTTTAAGAAAAAGAAGAGACTGGAGCTCCCACTCTCTTCACCACGTGAGGATATGGCAAGAAGGCAGCTGTCTGCCAGGCAGGAAGAGGGCCCTCACCAGGAACTGAATCTGCTGGTTCCCTAACCTCAGATTTCCAGGGTCCAGAATTGTGAGAAAGAAATGTCTGTTGTTAACCAATCCATCTGTGGTGTTTTGTTATGGCAGCACAAGCTGACTAAACAAGTGCCAAAACCAAACCAGTAACTCCCACTTTCTAGTCTCGGACCCAGTATTAAGGAATTCTGGTCACATAGTTTATTCATCCATTTAACAAATATTTAGTAAATGCTTCTGTGCCAGGCATTTTTCTAGGCCTGGTGATCATTTAATCAAAAGAGACTAACACCTGCTCCCTGATGCTTACAATCTGAAAGACAATAAAGAAAAATATAATAACAGTAGTGAATTATATGGATGTGTTCCAGCAATTGATTGCTGAGCAAAAAATAATCTTAACGCATACAAACGCTGGGCATGGTGGCTCACGCCTGTAATTCCAGCACTTTGGGAGGCTGAGGTGGGTAGATCACAAGGTCAAGAGTTCGAGACCAGCCTGGCCAGCATGATGAAACCCCGTTTCTACTAAAAATACAAAAATTAGCTGGGCGTGGTGGTAGGTGCCTGTAATCCCAGCTGCTTGGGAGGCTGAGGCAGGAGAATCGCTTGAAACCAGAAGGTGGAGGTTGCAGTGAGCCAAGATTGTGCCACTGCACTCCAGCCTGGGTGACAGAGTGAGACTCCATCCCCCCCAAAAAAAAAAAAATATATATATATATATATATAATAAACAACCTTTATATTATCTCTCATTCTGTGGGCTGATTGGGCTCAGCTGGGCAGCTCTTCCGCTCCATACAACATGGGCTGGGCCACCATCATCTGGAGCCCAGCTGGTCCAACACATTCAAGAGGCTCCTGCACAGGGCTGCAGTTGGTGCTGGCTTGTTGGCTGGGAACTCACTGAGGCTGTGAACCAGGTGACTTGGTTTCTCCTCCACCTGCTCCTCCACGTGCCCTGGCTGCTTCTGGCTCTGCACCTGGGGTCCGGGTGTTTCAAGTGGCCAAGTCAGAACCACAAGGCATCTTATGCTGGAACCTCAGAAGTCAGGCAGCATCACGTTCCTCATGTTCTAGTCACCAAAGCAAGTCCCAGATCCAAAAAGAGGGGGATTAGCATCAGCTCTTGATAGAGGATGGCAAGGTCACATTGCTAAAGAGCATGTGGGATGGGAGATATTGTTGAGGCCATCTTTGGAAAAGGACTTTTATGTTTACAAAGTGATAGGTGATAAAAAGAAAAAATAGGCCAGGTGCGGTGGCTCACGCCTGTAACCCCAGCACTTTGGGAGACCGAGATGGGTGGATCACGAGGTCAAGAGATCGAGACCATCCTGGCCAACATGGTGAAACTCTGTCTCTACTTAAAAATACAAAAATTAGCTGGGTGTGGTGGCGTGCACCTGTAGTCCCAGCTACACTGGAGGCTGAGGCAGGAGAATCGCTTGAACCCAGGAGGTGAAGGTTGCAGTGAGCCAATATCGCACCACTGCCCTCCAGCCTGGTGACAGAGCAAGACTCCACCTCAAAAAAAAAAAAAAAAGTAAAAAAAAAAATGCAAAGTTGACAATCAATGCAAAGTAATAGAGGTGGCATTTTAAGTAGGGTGGTCAGGGTGGGCCTCATGAAGGTGCCATTTGAGCAGACTTGAAGAGGAGAGAAACTGAGACACGCAGGTATGTGCAAAGGAAGAACCTTCCAGAATCACCCTCATGTACACCTATGCTCTGTACATACCCAGGGCTCTGCACTGAGGCAGACCCTAAAGCTGCAGTGGGGATGGAGGTGGACACACTTATGGAAAGACTTCTTCAAAGAATGTTGGGGACCCAGGTCTACCCTTCCTGCTGTGGCTCTTATACGACCTGGAGTTGGGGAGGGAAAGGCACTGGCATGTGGAGGAAGACTAGGAGAGGAGGGGAGGCGTGTCCCACCCTCACTCCACCTCTCTGCTCTCTCTCTCCTACAACGAGTGCCTCCTTCCCCAGGGCTTGTGGTCCCTGACAAGGAGGACCCTGAGGGCAACCACACCTTGCCATGCAGAGCACCTGGCTTCTCATCTGCCAAGCTCACTCTGACCCGGCTGCAGGAAGGGAAGGAGCCAACCCCGGACTCAAGACTCAAGGGGACCAGAACCAGGGAGATGAGACATACCAGGGCTGGGCAGCTGTGGGGGTCCTTCCAGAGAGGAGCTGAGATACGCCTACCTGGAGGGGCCCCTGGGCCTGGAGGGGCTCCTCAGTGTGACTGGGTGAAGTGTTTTCAGAGGACCAGGGTTGAGGTTGGGGGCATCTCATCCAGACCCTGCCGGCATCTGCCCCAGAACCCAAGGGCCCCTCCTTCCTCCCTCCTCGATGGAAATGCTGGGGATGTCCTCAGTCACCCTCTGAGCACTCACACATCACCCCTTATTTGGAAATTTTTCTCACTCTAACCTTCCTTCCTGCTGCACCTTCTGCCCCATCCCCAGGCTCTGGCCTCTCTCTCTCCTCTTCTACCCTTTAGCAGGTAATGACTCAGTTCCCACTGAGGAGCCAGCTGTAGGTGAGAGTCTGGGCTCTCGGTGAGGTTGGGAGAAGGAAAAGGCTTATGGGCCAGGGGGTGGGAGGGAGAATGGGCACAGCCAGAGCAGAGTGGAAGGGTGGGGGGAGGCGATAAAGACAGATGTTTCCGTATTACCATTTTTCTTTCATGGTCCGAGGGAGCTGCCCTTCCCCCAAGCCCAGGAAAGTGAAAAGAGAAGCAGGAACAGTAAAATACTCCACAGGAAAGAAAAATCTTAGTGATCCCTCCTGCTGTCTCTTTCCTTTTGCCTATTCTGGCAAATTTTGTAAGTGAAATTTGTTACCAAGATGTGAAAATCTTATAAGAAAGTCTCTAAATATTTGAGAATAAAATTATCAATGTCTCAGCTCTGCAGGCTGAAAAAACGGAGGCTTTACAAAATAAAATCATGCTTGGAAAACTTCTCCTCTGAGGGATGTCAAAGGCTGCACTGAATAAGCTGTAAGGTGGTGCTGAAATGAGTCATTTATTTGCCTGTGTAAGCTCAGGCAGGTGTTGGAATTGAGGAAGTATAGGTAATGAAAAAAGTAACCATGTCCTCGGGACATAGCGACTGGTGATGACCACACAATCAACACAATAAACTCTAGCATTCACATTGTAGTCCAGCTCATTCAAGCAAAGCTATCTCCAATAGGGAGTTTACCCTGTACAGAACACGTGCATTTCCACCTGTTCTCAGACTGACCCTTTGCTCATCACAATAGTGAAAAAAAACACAGCCCTGGGTGGAGATTTAAGATGCTAATGAGTCATGAGACGTATGAACAAGCATGTACAGCTACTGCACACGTGCACCCAGAAGACCGCCCAGAACATGCTTGCTAGTAACACCTCTTCCCACCCACCTCCTGTAAATAATCATGTAAGACTCCCATAAAGGGAGTTTCTCCAGCAGTGATCAATGCTGTCTCATCCTTAGGAGCAGCCCACCCTGAATCCTCTCAGGGTGTACAGTTTATTTTGCACTTAACTTTCAAAATAATATTTTTCCTTTGTAATAAATTGCTTTGTACTTCATCTCCTTTGCTGCGTGTTTCTTGTTTAAATTCTTTTAAATGAAGAAGTCAAGAACCAAGGTATTACAACAGCCGTCAACATTTCTGGTGCCATGACTCAGAGGTTTGTCTGCTTCGTTGGTTTCAGTTTCCCTTCACTACTGGTGAGTACTATGGCAGCCAGAGACCCCTGATTGACTATCACTGCTTTCCCCAGATCTATTCTATTAAGGTTTTGGGGGAGGACCTTTTAACTCACTCACATTCTTTGAGCAACTAATTGTGATTGCTTTCCATTTGGCTGCTGCTTTTACAGTGTTTACAATTACCTTATTTGGATGGAACGCCCTGATTATTCAGCCTTGGGACTTTTGCTGCTTCTGTTTCACTTTTTGTTTTGCTGTTCCTCCCAGGACTGCACCTGATCTGTACTTACTGGCTATTGTAACTTTTTTTTTTTTTTTTTTTGAGACAAGAGTCTCACTCTGTCACCCAGACTGGAGTGCAGTGGCTCTATCTCGGCTCACTGCAACCTCCACCTCCTGGGCTCAAGCGATTCTCCTGCCTCAGCCTCCCAAGTAGCTGGGATTACAGGCGTGCACCATCACGCCCGGCTAATTTTTGTATTTTTAATAGAGTCGGGGTCTCACCATACTGGCTCAGCTGGTCTCGAACTCCTGACCTTATGATCAGCCCACCTTGGCCTCCCAAAGTGCTGGGATTACAGACATGAGCCACCGCGCCCAGCACTTGTTTGTTAATCAAGTAATCTCTTCAAAGATTTTTGTTCACCTTGAGGGACACATTAGATCTACTTTTGCCAACAGTCCCCATTCCTCCAGGCTCTGTGTGTTCTGAGACTCCTCTGAGTCTCAGAGGAGTGTGTTCTGAACGTCTCCTCTGAGAACAGGAGACGTTCCAAGAGGCCATCCATATTGAGTGCAGGATGTGTGGCCACATGGATGTGTAGTCATGGGGACTATAACCAGGCATTCCAAGCATGATGACTGGACATTAAAAATGGCAGATCAGTGAAATAAGGAAGGGCTTGTTGGTGAGACATCCAGGCTCCCCGGCTGGCAGCAGAGATCACTTCAGTTCAGCTTGGAGACGTCCAGCACCAGTGAGACCTAGAATGGTGCATGGCAAATGCCCATGACCTCCTAGGGCCTCAGTTTCATGGGGATTCAAGGGAACACCCTGGACTCCATCGTCCAGCTTAGCTCACAGGGATGCCGATGACCTCCTGGATTTTGGTACATGTTTCTGTGGTTGCAGGATTCTCTTGTTACCTAGAAAGCCACCTCCTCTACTGTCACTGAAACACCTCTAGGGTATATACTAAACATTGGAATATTTTGAAACTGTATAAATTGAAAGATAATAGGTGGGTGCGATGGCTTACACCTGTAATCTCAGCACTTTGCGAGGCCGAGGTGGGCAGATCACCTGAGGTTGGGATTTTGAGACCAGCCTGACCAACATGGAGAAACCCCATCTCTACTAAAAATACAAAATTAGCTGGGCATGGCGGCACATTCCTGTAATCCCAGCTACTCGGGAGGCTGAGGCAGGAGAATTGCTTGAACCAGGAGGCGGAGGTTGCAGTAAGCCGAGATTATGCCATTGCACTCCAGCCTGGGCAACAAGAGCAAAACTCCGTCTCAAAAAAAAATTTTTTTTTAAATAAATATAATAAACAATTGCCAAAGAATAAAACTATTGATACAATCCTCACCACTTTAAGGCTTAAGGTTTTCTTTTCCATCACTGAGTCTCTCCCTTTCCTCTCATTCTTCCACTTACAAATCTCCAAAACAATTCTCACGCACTGTGACTTTGCTCCCTTCAGCTGATTTATCAGTTCATCCTGATAGCCTGATAGGTGACAAGCAGAGGTGAGGACTTCAAAGTTCACACCAAGTAGATCTAGTTCACTGTGGCCCTCCCTGACAGGAGGTTTGTGAAGCTGGCAGGGCTTCCGTCCAGGCTGTGCACTGTCTGGGAATCCTCATTTGCAATGTCTGGAGATCTTCATTTTTCTTACTACTAACAATCATCTTGTTATGTTTGCACTTCTTTGCATTTCACCCCTTTTGAATTCTGTCCTTCCATGAAAATTTATTGTCCTTTTTGATCCATCTGTATTCACAGACTTTCATTTGCTTTCTTTTTCTCTCTAACCCATAAGACTGATAAAAATTGTCCTAAAGGTTCTTCCTTTCTGCTTTGTGTGTCAGGGCTCCTCTGCCTTTGGTGAGAGCAAAGAGAGTTTTATCTTTACCGGAAGAAAACTTTTTTTTTTTTTTTTGAGACGAAATCTCACTCTGTCACCCAGGCTGGAGTGCAGTGGCCCGATCTCAGCTCACTGCAACCTCCACCTCCCTGGTTCGAGCAATTCCCCTGCCTCAGCCTCCCGAGTAGCTGGGACTACAGGTGTGTGCCACCACGCCTGGCTAATTTTTTTGTATTTTTAGTAGAGATGGGGTTTCACCATATTGGCCAGACTGCTCTGGAACTCCTGACCTCAGGCAATCTGCCTGCCTCAGCCTCCCAAAATGCTGTGATTACAGGTGTGAGCCACAGTGCCCAGCCCTGGAAGAAAACTAATTGCTGGGTGAAATATATTTTCTACCAAATTCCCCTTACGAGACCTAGAAAGCCTGATGAACATAGCTACTTACATGTCCTAAGCTGTTATTTTAAGGCCAAAATTAAAACATTAAGGGCACATATAAGGTTGGCCATTACTAACCTGAAAAAAAAGATAAATAAATTTCCATGATTAGGTCTTTTCAACACTGCATGGTCCCAAACAATACTGTTTTACAATTAGAGTTTTTGTTGTTGTTGCTGTTTTTAAATAAAAAGAAAGGAAGTTTGGGTGCAGTGGCTCATGCCTGTAATCCCAGCACTTTGGGAGGCCAAGGCGGGCAGATCACGAGGTCAGGAATTTGAGACCAGCCTGGCCAATATGGTGAAACCCCGTCTCTACTAAAAATACAAAAATTAGCTGGGCATGGTGGCACGTGCCTGTAGTCCCAGCTACTCGGGAGGCTGAGGCAGGAGAATCACTTGAACCTGGGAGGCAGAGGTTGCAGTGAGACAAGATTCAGCCACTGCACTCTAGCCTGGGTGACAGAGAGAGACGCCATCTCAAAAAAAAAAAAAAAAAAAAAAAAAAAAAAAAAAAGAAAGGAGGATGATCAGGGATTTCCCAAGGGCCCAGGGGAACCTGACATTATTTCCCCCTACTAACCAGACAGCTCTATACTAAGACCAGTCCCTTAGAGACTGATACCAAATCTATTATGCTCATGTTATTCAAAAGAATTCGGGAGGCCGGGCGCAGTGGCTCACGCCTGTAATCCCGGCACTTTGGGAGGCCGAGGCAGGTGGATCATGAGGTCAGGAGTTTGAGACCAGCCTGACCAACATGGTGAAACCCCATCTCTACTAAAAATACAAAAATTAGCCAGGCGTGGTGGCTTGCACCTGTAATCCCAGCTACTCAGGAGGCTGAGGCAAGATAATCACTTGAACGTGGGAGGCGGAGGTTGCAGTGAGCCGAGATTGCACCACTGCACTCCATCCTGGGTGACAGAGCGAGACTCTGTCTCAAAAAAGAATTTGGGGAAATCTAACATAATTAATGACTCTATAATAAGAAATATACCAGCTGGGTGCAACAGTGGCCCTTTGGGAGGCCAAGGTGGGTGGATCACTTGAGGTTAGGAGTTCGAGACCAGCCTGGCCAACATGGTGAAACCCTGTCTCTACTAAAAATAAAAAAATTAGTCGGGTGTGGTGGCGCAGGCCTGTAATCCCAGCTACTTAGGAGGCTGAGGCAGGAGAATCACTTGAGTCCAGGAGGCGGAGGTTGCAGCGAGCTGAGATCACACCACTGCACTCCTGCCTGGGTGATGAGTGAGACTCTGTCTCAAAAAAAAAAAGAAAAGAAAGAAAGAAAAATACCTCCTACCAACAACTTTCCTCCCTTACAATCTAGTCCAGGGTTACTCTTCAAACCTCTTAAGCTTCTACTCCTGTAGTCCTTCCTCACTTGACACACAGTCTTCTGCACCCCGTCCTTATCAGCTTGTTCACCAAACACTCCCTAAAGAGCCCAGTCCTGCTGGGACAACTCATAGCAGAGTATCCTATTGCCCCCCTAAAACAAAAAGCAACCTACTCTCACTCTCTGTCTGTATCTCCCTCTCTCAGGTAACACACAGAAAAACAACCAAATCCTCTTAGAGACCTACTTCATGAGTCAGTCTGTCCCAGATATCAGGAAAAAGTCACAAAACTAGTCATAAATCCCCAAGTCCCAATAAATGAACTGCTAAACCTAACTTTTGGTGTCTTTAATTACCAAGACAGAGTGGAAAAGGCACATAGAGATCAAAGGGAAGAAAAGAGAGACAAAAGATAGTCCCAATTTTTGGCCTTCACTCACTATGCGAAAACTCCCACCTCCAGGTCATCCTGAGTGGAACCCAAGGGCTATTCCTGCATTTATAAAAAGCCTGGACACTGGAGCTAAGTAAGTAACAAAGGCCTTCAGGCTTGCAAACCCTCTGGAGCCTGTCATCAATGTGACAAAGAAGGGCAATGGAAGAAGGACTGTCTCCAACTCTGAAGGGAGGAGGGACTCCTAATTCCTTATTGTCCCTGGCTAAAGACTAAAGAGACCAAAGGCAAAAAACAGCTCCTATGTGGCAATCAGCCCCAGTCACAGCAATGGAGCCTCGGATGACCCTGGACATGACAGGCAAAAATATCAATATCCTTTTAAAGACAGAGGCTGGCCTGTCAGTTCTCACTGTCTGCCCTGGGCCTCTGTCTACCAAACACGACACTGTCATTGGTGTTAATAGCAAACTCCAGACTAGGATTTTCACTCTACCATGCAGCTGACCAACTTCTGCTGCAGTAAAACTTAGGGGTGTAGGCCTTTGGTGTGTTTATCAAAAATAAAAAATGATTCCTTTTAAGTCATCACAGAAACTTGAAACAAAGACTCCAAGCTATTCCTATGAAGCACTGGAGGATCTAAGGCTCCTGTCCAAAAACAGCCAAGACCCAAAACATCAGGCAATTAATGTTGCCTCAGCATAAGCTTCTATTCAAGAAAACAACTCACAGTGAAATGTGATGTTTTTATTTTTTTCTTATTTATTTACTGTATTTTAGGCGCTTTTAGTAAAACGACCTTACCTGCTAAAGAAATAATAAACCATACTACTAATTTATAAAAATTAACTCAGTCTTGCTGGCTTTGCATGACTACCAAAATTTAAAAATGTGCAAAACCTGTTTCTCGGGAAGAATGGGCCAACATTCCTATACACCTCCTGGAACAAACTTTGGACCATAATGTGGGAATATCTGACTAAACAAACAATACAAAGAGAGTTCCTTGGACCTGGCCACTGCCAGTTCAAACTTCCATTTTTATCTATGAATAATAGCTTCACTCTGCCAAGGGGAAAATTGCTTTCTTACCTTGCTTTTTACCCAGAGCAATTCCCCTTCTGCCTTTACAGCAACCATGCCAGTTTCACTCCTTTTATAGAAAAACTCCACAAGAGAGTCAGTATATCTAAACCTTTCTCACAGAATCATTTATACACCTCATGATAGAACCCTAAAGGGGGAACCTTATTTCAAAAAGCTTATTAACACCACTCAACTCTACCATCCTCTAATTAGTCCAGTGACCACCAAATTTCCATTACTTTTACCACCTCGATGCAAAATGCTTTTGCAGCACAAATTTCACCATCACATAGAATTTGCTTGTGTTGGCCGGGCGCAGTGGCTCACGCCTGTAATCCCAGCACTTTGGGAGGCTGAGGCGGGTGGATCACGAGGTCAGGAAATTGAGACAATCCTGGCCAACATGGTGAAACCCTGTCTCTACTAAAAATACAAAAATTAGCTAGATATGGTGGCATGTGCCTGTAATCCCAGCTACTCAGGAGGCTGAGGCAGGAGAATCGCTTGAACCAGGGAGTCGGAGGTTGCAATGAGCTGAGATCGCACTACTGTACTCCAGCCTGGCGACAGAGTGAGACTGTCTCAAAAAAAAAAAAAAAAAAAAAAGAATTTGTTGGTATTTGTGGATCTTCAGCACGTCTACAACTCCCTCCACAATGGAAGGGACGATGTCCCATAGTTTACATTTCCCCTTATCTACCTTTTGCATTGGCTAACAAATCTCTCCCTTTCCCCATGTACCAACATCACAAGATCCACCGCTGAGCAGGATTTCTTCTTCCCATGGGATTAGTGCTATCCTCTCTATCGGGACTAGCAGAGCCAGCCACAGAGACAGAGCCTTGGGAACCCAGCATAAACTGTCTCAGGAGACCACAGTGGCCCTCTGACAAACAGCAGAGAGCCTCACTAGACTTCAGCAACAGCTGGACTTCCTGGCAGTCCTACAAAACCGAAGAGCCTTAGACCTTCTCACAGTTGGACAACGAGGAACATGTTTGTATCTAGAAGAAGAATGTTGTTTTTGCATCAATCAAATTACAAATATATATTAATAGCATTTTCTTGGAATAAGAAAATCATTACCCAGGCAGACAAAATTGAATATTTAGGAGCGTCCATGGGAACTTGGAAGCAATGGCTGTTTTCTGCCTTGCTCCCTTTAACAGTGCCAGTCATTACCATATGTTTAGCTCTAACTTTTGGTCCAACTTTGTTTAAAATGCTGATTTCCCAGCCTGGCCAACATGTCGAAACACTGTCTCTACTAAAAATACAAAAAATTAGCCAGGTGTGGTGGCAGGCGTCTGTAATCTCAGCTACTTGGGAGGCTGAAGCAGGAGAATTACTTGAACCTGGGAGGCAGAGGTTGCAGTGAGCTGAGAGCTGAGATCACTCCATTGCAATCCAGCCTGGGCGTCAGAGCCAGACTGTCTCAAAAAAAAAAAAATTGCTGATTTCTTGCTTTGTCACCTACAGCAAATCCCGGTTCATGTGATGGTTTTGCAAGGCTTCCAACCTTTGGCTGCTAATGAGCTATCTCACATCTTGCCCACCAGTCCCCTGAAAGACATGGCTTACACACTGTTAGACTAGGCAGGAAAAGACTTCAGGGCCCAGGTTAGGCAAGGACAATGCCGCACTCAGCAGGAAGCAGCTCTGGAAGAAATGACCTAGCCTCTCATCCTCCCGTATGATTATGGGTCCTAAGATCTTTTAGGGAGGAATTGAGGCAGGATAGGGAGTCAAGGAAGTAACTGTGTCCTTGGGATGCAGCAACAGTGATAACCATACAGTCAACACAATAAGCTCCAGCATTCACATTGTAGACCAGCTCATTCAAGCAAAGCTATCTCCAGTAGGGAATTTACCCTGTAGAGAGCATGCGCATTTTGATTTTACCTACCGTCAAACTGACCCTTAGCTCATTACAATAGTAAGAAACACACCCCTGGGTGGAGATTTAAGATGCTTATGAGACATGAGATGCATGAACAAGCATGTATAGCTACTGCACATGTGCATCCAGAGGACCACCCACCCAGAGGACCACCCAGAACATGCTGACTAGTAACACCTCTTCCCACCTCCTTATGAATAATCATGTAAGACCCCCATAAAGGGAGTTTCTGCAGCAATAATCAATGCTGTCTCATCCTTAGGAGCAGTCCACCCTGAATCCTCTCTCTCAGGGCATACTATCTATTCTGCACTTAACTTTCAAAATATCATTTTTCCTTTGCAATAAATTGCTCTGTACTGCATCTCCTTTGCTGTGTGTGTCTTGTTTACATTCTTTTAAATGAAGAAGACAAAGACAGAGGTATCACAGATGTCATCAACAGAACCTCTATGTCCTCCTTAGGAAAGTGAAATGAGCACCCAATGCCCAGATTTTGGTTATAATACATCAATCTCCAATAGAAGGAACCAGGGCTCCTTAGAAAAATAGCTGATTCTAGGGGTGAAGTAGGAAAAATACAAGATAAGCCTGGAACATCTTGAAATGCTACAAAAGAACTGGGCATGGTGGCTCACGCCTGTAATCCCAGCACTTTGGGAGGCTGAGGCAGGCGAATCACAAGGTCAGGAATTCGAGACCAGCCTGGTCAACATGGTGAAACCCCATCTCTACTAAAAATACAAAAAATTAGCCAGGCGTAGTGGTGGGCACCTGTAATCTCAGCTACTCGGGAGGCTGAGGCAGGAGAATAGCTTGAACCTGGGATGCAAGACCAGGAAGACTCAATATTGTTAATATGTCATTTCTTCCCAACCTGATCTATAGAATCAATGCAATCCCAGTCAAAACCCCAGGACGTTATTTTGTGTATACTCACAAGCTAATTTAAAAATTTATATGGAGAGGCCGGGCACAGTGGCTCATGCCTGTAATCCCAGCACTTTGGGAGGCCGAGGTGGGCAGATGACCTGAGGTCAGGAGTTCAAGACCAGCCTCGCCAACATGGTGAAACCCCGTCTCTACTAAAAATACAAAAATTAGCCGGGTGTGGTGGCGGGTGCCTGTAATCCCAGCTACTTGGGAGGCTGAGGCAGGAGAATCGCTTGAACCCAGGAGGTGGAGGTTGCAGTGAGCTGAGATTGCACTCCAGCCTGGGCAACAGGAGCAAAACTCTGTCTCAAAAAACAAAAAACAAACAAACAAAAAAGGTTTATATGGAGAGGCAAAAGGCCTAGCCAGCACAATATAGGAGGAAAACAAAGTCAAAGTACTGCCACACCTGACTTCAAGACTTTCTATAAAACTGCAGTAATCCAGACAGATAATTGGTATAGTCATTGCTGGAAGGAGTATGAAGGTTCCTCAAAAAATTAAAATATAGTACCATATGATCCAGCAATCCTACCACTGAATATATATTCAAAGGATATAAAATCTGTGTGTCAAAGAGATGTCTGCGCTTCCACGTTCATTGCAGCATTATTCTTTCTTCTTTCTTTAGAGGTAGGGTGTCACTGCATTGCCCAGCTTGGTCTCAGAATCCTGGCCTTAAGTGGTCATCTTGCCTCAGCCTCCTGAGTAGCTGGATTCCATGTGCGAGCCACCACACCTGGCTGCAGTGTTATTCTCAAGAGCCAAGATATGGAATCAACCTAAGTATCCATTAATGGATGAATGTATAAAGAAAATGTGGTATATATACACAGTGGGATACTATTCAGTCAACAACATGAATGAACCTAGAAGACATTATGTTAAGTGAAATAAGCCAGGCGCAAAAAGACAAACATGATCTCACATATATGTGGAATGTAAAAAAAGCCAAACTCATATACATGGTGAGTAAACTGGTAGTTGTCAGAGGCTGGGAGGTGGGAGGATTGGGGAGGGGTAAGCAAATGACACAAAATTTCTTCTCTTTCTTTCTTTTTTTTTTTTTTAAAGACAGAGTCTCGGCTGGGCGCAGTGGCTCAAGCCTGTAATCCTAGCACTTTGGGAGGCCGAGGCAGGCAAATTGCCTCAGCTCAGGAGTTAGAGACTAGCCTGGGCAACATGGTGAAACCCTGTCTCTACTAAAATACAAAAGAAATTAGCTGGGTGTCGTGGCATGCGCCTGTAGTCCCAGCTACTCGGGAGGCTGAGACAGGAGAATTGCTTGAACCCGGGAGGTAGAAGTTGCAGTGAGCTGAGATTGCACCACTGAACCACTGAACTCCAGCCTGGGCAACAGAGAGAGACTCTACCAAAAAAAAAAAAAAAAAAAAAAAAAAGACAAGAGTCTCTCTCTGTCACCCAGTCTGGAGTGCAGTGGCATGATCTTGGCTCATTGCAGTCTCTGAATCACTCGGGTTCAAGTGATTCTTGTGCCTCAACCTCCCAAGTAGCTGGGACTATATGCATGTGACACCACATCCAGCTAATTTTTGTATTTTTAGTTTCACCATGTTGACCAGTCTGGTCTCGAACTCCTGACCTCAAGTGATCCACCCGCCTCGGCCTCCCAAAGTGCTGGGATTACAGGCATGAGCCACCATGCCCGACCAACACAAAATTTCAATTAGATAGGAAGAATAAGTTTAAGAGATCTATTGTACTTTATGGTGATTAAACTTAGTAACCACATATTGTATATTTCAAAATTATAAGATAAATTATTTGAAGCATTATTACCACAAAAAGTATGTGAGGTAATGTATATGTTAATGGCTTGCTTTAGCCATTTTACAATGTATACGTATATGAAAACATGATGCTATACACCCAAATATAACTTTTATTTGTCAACCAAAATAATTTAATTTAAAAAAGACAGTGTTGTATTGGCAAAAGAATAGACAAATAGAACAATGAAACAGAATAGAGAACCAAGAAATAGACCCACATAAATACAGATAAAGGAGCAAAGACAATACAGTGGAGAAAAGACTGTCTTTTCAATAAATGGCACTGGAAAAACTGGACATCCACATGCAAGAAAAGTGAAATGAAAAGAGCTCTCTTGAAAGGTTGTTGTGAAGGTCATCTGTGACAGGAACAAAAAGTGCCCAGCAGGGTCTCTGACAGCAAGCTCCTACATTAATCTAATGGCTGGACTTCAATAGCCTTAGCCCCGTCTCCATAAAACTTTGCTATGAAGGCTACAATGATTCCTGTCAGTCATGCAGTCCTACTAACCTGCTGGGTAGGATACAATATCGAAGGGGCCAGTATACTGCCCTCAGGGGGCTCTGTGGCCTCTTGACCTTGTGGATGATGCTGACCATAATGTTCTGCTTTGTCCCTGGCTGAAGACAGGCCCCTCCTGCAGAGGCCAGGCATGAATGCACATCTGAGTAAGACTCTATTATGACTCAAGAATAACAAACATAAATAAATAAACATGATAACATAACAAACTAGGTTTCATTTTCTGCTGCTGTAACAGAATACCACAGACTGGGCAATTTATTAAAATATGTATTTCTTACAGTTCTGGAGGCTGGGAAGTCCAAGAGCATGGTATCAGCATCTTGTGGGGGCCTTCCTGTAGTGTCATCCCATGGTGAAAGGAGGTAGGGCAAAGGGGCCAAACATACTTTTTATCAGGAGCCCACTCCCACAATAATGACATTAATCTATTCAACCTAATCAACTCTTAAAGGTCTCCCCTCTTAATACTATCAGAATAGCAATTAAATGTCAACATGAGTTTTGGGGGGTCATTCAAACTGTCAGAGGCATGTGAACCAGAGCAACTCCATCTTGAATAGGGGCTGAGTAAAATAAGGCTGAACCCTACTGGGCCACATTCCCAGATGGTTAAGGCATTCTAAGTCATAGGATGAGACAGAAGGTCAGCACAAGATACAGGTCCTAAAGACCTTGCTGATAAAATGGGTTGCAGTAAAGAAGCTAGCCAAAACCCACCAAAACCAAGATGGTGATGAGAGTGACCTCTGGTCGTCCTCACTGCTACACTCCCACCAGCACCATGACAGTTTACAAATGCTGTGGCAACGACAGGAAGTTACTCTATATGGTCTAAAAAGGGAAGGCATAAATAACCCACCCCTTGTTTAGCATATCATCAAGAAATAACCATAAAGATGGGCAACCAGCAGCCCTCAGGGGTGCTCTGTTGATGGAGTAGCCATTCTTTTGTTCTTTTACTTTTCTAATAAACTTGGTTTACTTTACTCTATGGACTTGCCCTGAATTCTTCCTTGTGCAAGATCCAAGAGCCCTCTCTTGGGGTCTGAATCAAGACTCCTTTCCTGTAACAAAACCTTAGCATTAGGTAATCTGTGGTTTACTTTTTTTTTTTTTTTTTGAGACAGAGTTTCTACTCTTGTTGCCCAGGCTAGAGTGCAATGGCACGATCTTGGCTCAACGCAACCTCCACCTCCAGGGTTCAAGCGATTCTCCAGCCTCAGCTTACCGAGTAGCTGGGATTACAGGCATGTGCCACCATGCCTGGCTAATTTTGTATTTTTGGTAGAGATGGGGTTTCTCCATGTTGGTCAGGCTGGTCCCAACCTCAGGTGATCCTCCTGCCTTGGCTTCCCAAAGTGCTGGGATTACAGGAGTCAGCCACCGAGCCTGGCCTGGTTTATGTATATTTATCTTTATTCCTACATTTCCATGATTATGAGATTCACAGTTCATCCAATAGACTTGAACTGACCCAATGCCCAGCACTTTCTTAAGTTCTTACAGATGAACAAAGCTAATATTCACAGATTCTATTTATTTATGGCTTAGGACTACCTACTGTAAATTACTGGGGGCCAGTCCATTTTGGAGTTCATAACCTAAAGCAGAAACTCAGGTGGCTAATATGTTACTTTCATGAAGGATTGTTATGAGTGTATCATTTCAATTGTCTTGCAGAAGCCTCATTTGTTCTGTTAGATACAGTAAGTTCCTCTTCAAAGGTTCAGCTTCTTCAACTTCCTTGTTCTTTGTTTTCTATTTCTAAAACCCAACTTCCTTGTACTCTCTTGTTCCTAGTTACCCACTCTGTAAACACCAACTCCCGCCAGTTCCAATCTGTAACTTGCAGAGGGCTCTTCCTGCCTTTGCCATGCCCTGACATGTTTTGCACAGTAAAGGATGGCCTCTCTCTTCTCGCTGAAACAGCCCTTCCCGCCCTACTTACTCACACTCCTGCTCCATTTGAAATAGCCAATTGGGATCAGCTTAGATTGTGCAGTCTGACTTCAGCAAATGGGGACAGGACGACACAGTAGCAGGGGCTGATTGCGTTAGGGATAAAACCCGCTTCTGTCCATTGTTCGGTGTGCTCTCACAGCAGCCAGAAGTGCAAGCAGCACCCTTCTGCAGAAGTAAACTTGCCTTGCTGAGAAATCCTTTTGTTTGAGTGCTTGTCTTCTTTGCCACTCCAAGCTCTTGTTTTTTTTTTTTTTTCTAAATAGCTGCTATCTTTTTGTTTTTGTTTTTGTTTTTGTTTTTGTTTTTGTTTTTTTTGAGATGGGGTCTCACCTTGTTGCCCAGGCTGGAGTGCAATGGTGTGATCTCAGCTCATTGCAACCTTGGCCTCCTGGGTTCAAGTGATTCTCCTGCCTCAGTCTCCCGAGTAGCTGGGATTACAGGTGTGTGCCACCATGCCTGGCTAATTTTTTGTATCTTTAGTACAGATGGGGTTTCTCCATGTTGGCCAGGCTGGTCTTGAACTCCTGACCTCATGATCTGCCTGCCTTGGCCTCCCAAAGTGCTGCGATTACAGGCATGAGCCAATGTGCCTAGCCTCTTTTTTTTTTTTTTTTTTTTTTGAGACGGAGTTTCACTCTGTTGTCCAGGCTGGAGTGCAGTGGTGTGATCTTGGCTCACTGCAACCTCTGCCTCCTGCCTCAGCCTCCCGAGTAGCTGGGATGACAGGTGCCTGCCACCATGCCTGGCCAATTTTTGTATTTTTAGTAAAGACAGGGTTTTGCCATGTTGGCAAGGCTGGTCTCCTGACCTCAGGTGATTCACCCACCTCGGCCTCCCAAAGTGCTAGGATTACAGGCATGAGCCACTGCACCTGGCCCCTTGTTTTTAATTTACAAATGTAATTAATTTAGCTTTGTAAACCAAAAAGTGACTGAGGCAGATCTCAATCAATTCGGTGTTCATTTTGCCAAGGTTGAAAATATGCTGGGGGAAAAGAAACATAAGCCACAATAGGACCTGTGACCTGTGCTTTTTCCAAGGAGGATTTTGGGACCTTCAATATTTAAAGGAGAAAGGGCAAGCAGGAGAGGAAAGAAAAAAAAAGGAAGGACAGGTAGGCAATGATGCGAGTGGTTACATACTTGTGAGGCTGTGATTAGTCCTTAGTGAATCTACATTTTACATGTGAAAAGAAGGGAGGGAGGAAGAAGTCAGTTATGCATTCACATCATGTTCAGTAAATCTATATTTTACATAAGCTAAAGTAAGCATGTAAAATTACAGTTATATGTTTGGGAACAAAAGGAAGGCAAATTTTGCATGACTCAGTTTCCAAGCTTAACTTTCTTGCATAGCAGTTTGGGGTCCTGAGATTCTATTTTCTTTTCACATTTCTCCCTTGTTATTCAAAATCTTTCAGAGAAAGCATGGTAGAAGAAAATGGGTGTCTGCTCATGGGTTTAGTCTAACCTCTTCTGCTAGAATGATTTATTCCTAGAAGATTAGATCCCATGTTGCTAGGAAGGCTTATTCTTAGGGGCTTGTAAAGTCTCTTGTCCCATGGAGAAAAATAGAGGGAGGAAGAGAGAAAGAAAAAAGGGAAAGAGAGAAAGAAAAAAGGGAAAAAGAGAAACAAAAGGGAGGGACCAAGACCAGATTATAGAAACAAAGGGAATGCAATCCTGGAAAAGTAATTTAGGATATGCTACCGAGAAGTCCTTACTTCAGTAGGTAGGCACAAAGGTGGGGTGTGTGAGGCTCTGATTAGTGCTCAGTCAATCTACATTTTATAGGTGAAAAGAAGGGAGTAGAGAAAAAATCTATTATGCATTTGTCTTGCACTTAGTAAGTCTACATTGTACATAAGAAAAAGTAAGCTTGTGAAAATACAGTTATCTGCAAATGCTACTATTTCTGCTATTATGCTACAAAGTTTAAGTTTTCTAGCTTCAGTTTGCAGGGCTGTAAGAAAAGCACAGTTTTAATTTCTAGTGATTCCAAGTGAGAAAAATGGGAGAAATTTTTCTTTTGAAAATGTTAACTTTGGAGACTTATAGCCAGGAAAGAATTCAGGATCTAGTCTGAATAAATTGTAGACAAATAGTGAAAACTGAAAAACAATGGACAAGGCTAGAATCTTATAATGAGTATACTATAATTTTCTTTGAAATAATTTTTCTCTCTCCAGTCCCCTATTTTTACCAAAATCAAAATCATAGTGGGACCAATGTATCTGCAAAATAAGTTTTAGTCTTATTATACTTGGTCTGATTATTTGCATAAAGCGCAGCAAGACTAATTATTGGCCAATAGGCTCTTTTTTTTTTTTTTGAGACAGAGTTTTCACTCTTGTTGCCCATGCTGAGTGCAATGGTGCAATCTCAGCTCACTGCAACCTCTGCCTCCCGGGTTCAAGCGAGTCTCCTGCCTCAACCTCCCGAGTAGCTGGGATTACAGGCATGCGCCACCAAGCCCAGCTAATTTTGTATTTTTAGTCAGGACGGGGTTACTCCATGTTTGTCAAGCTGGTCTCAAACTCCCAACCTCAGGTGATCCATCCGCCTCAGCTTCCCAAAGTTCTGGGATTACAGGCCTGAGCCACTGTGCATGGCCCTAGGCTCTTTTTGAATTGGTTTTGCTAGAGCTTTTCATAAGGAATCTCAGATTAGAGTTTTTCTTGAGTCCAGCCAAGGATTTATCTGTGCCTGCAGATACTTGTATGAATGAGGTAAATTTCTGTCTTCTCAAGGTCTCAAAATAACGTGTGGTTCCTAGGTCTGTGAGAAAGTGATATTCTTACTTACTACCTGTCAGGAACCCTGTAAAGGAAATGCGTAGACAAAGTATGAGGTCAGTTTTTCCAAGGGTTTTTTTTTTTTTTAATCAGTTCTATAACATCAATCTCAAGTTCTCAAAGCAGTCTGCTTATATCTTAAAATATGGCATTCTAGCCAAAGCCTTGGTAAAATAATCAGTGTCAAAATTATGTCCTGTTAAGAAAGAAAACAGATTTTTATTAAACTCATGCAACTAAGTATATTGCCATAAATCATGAATACTCAGAAATAAGGCCAGGCGTGGTGGCTCATGCCTGTAATCCCAGCACTTTGAGAGGCTGAGGCAGGCAGATCATGAGGTCAGGAGATCGAGACCAGCCTGACCAACATGGTGAAACCCTGTCTCTACTAAAAATACAAAAATTAGCCAGGCGTGGTGGCGGGTGCCCGTAATTCCAGCTACTCAGGAGGCTGAGACAGGAGAATCGCTTGAACCCGGGAAGCAGACATTGCAGTGAGCTGAGATCGCCCCACTGCACTCCAGCCTGGGAGATAGAGCAAGACTCCTTCTCAAAAAACAAACAAACAAACAAAATCTCAGAAATAGTTTCTGAATTCTGGAGAAATCAGGTAGAGAGAAAGAAATATGCCTCAAATTTTGCTTACAAGAGTACGCTTCATTGTGAAAAGCTGTAAATGTTCAAAAGAAAAGTTTTCTTGACTCTGAAAAACAAAGCAAAAAGAATCAGCAATGTTTCCAACAAAAAAAGTTATAAAAGATTATTTTGGCCAGGCGTGGTGGCTCACCTGTAATCCCAGCACTTTGGGAGGCCAAGGCGGGTGGATCAGAAGGTCAGGAGTTTCAGACCAGCTTGGCCAACATGGTGAAACCCCATCTCTACTAAAAATACAAAAAATTAGCTGAGCGTGGTGGTGCACATCTGTAGTCCCAGCTACTTGGGAGGCTGAGGCAGGAGAATCACTTGAACCCAGCAGGTGGAGGTTGATGGTGAGCTGAGATCATGCCACTGCACTCCAGCCTGGGCAACAGAGCGAGACTCCATCTCAAAATAAATAAAATAAAATAAAATAAAATAAAATAAAATAAAATAAACCCCTCTAACTAGGCAGAATTACTTTTCCTTTAACAAAAGCCCTATTTCCATGCCTTCTTATGTTTCTACCAAAAACTACATTCTACTTTTCTTTGCATGTTGCTTGTAGAATTATTTATCTTATATCTAGTAATTTAAATTACATCTATGAATTGTAATGTTAACTCTTAGTAACTCTTATTTTTAGTGAAAAAACTAGGAGGTACGCAATTTTAATTAGTACCTCCTGCAGAACGCAATCTCGGCTCACTGCAACCTCCGCCTCCCAGGTTCAAGCGATTCTCCTGCCTCAGTCTCCCAAGTAGCTGGGACTACAGGTGTGTGCCACTACGCCCGGCTACTTTTTTTTATTTTTAGCAGAGATGGAGTTTCACCATGTTACCCAGGACGGTCTCAATCTCCTGACCTTGTGATCCGCCCGCCTTGGCCTCTGAAAGTGCTGGGATTACAGGCGTGAGCCACCGTGCCCGGTCTATCATAGGATCTTATAAGGAGATCAACTGCATTTAGATAGGTGCTTTTAATTTGGCCTGTATCTTTTAACTGGACCATTGAACTCAGGGTAGAGCCCACACTGAATTTTCAGTGCCCAGAAAGAGAGTAATGCCATGGGGACCTGGCCATACAATATTTTTAGTGTGTTTTGCTACAAAAACTTTCTCTCAAGGCTGGTGGGCAACCCAGTGCCAATCAGCCCACTCTGTGATCAGCCCATTTCCCAGCCATTGTATACGCCAAAGTCAAGTTTTCTCACAATATAAAGTGATTTCTGATCCCATTCAAAGCCAAAATCAGGTCATGCAAGGCAAAGGAACAGAGTTTTTGACCTGAGAGGATTTTGTCCTCTCTTGGATTCCCTCTTGGGATTCCCTGAGGAAAAAACAGCAGTTTCTCACAAAAATGCGTCTGTGGTGCCTTTTGCATTTTTCTTAAGGGATCCCAGGCTATTAGAATTTTATTTAATTTAATTTTTTTCTTATGTGGCACCAAGGTTGGCAAGAGGAAGGAGGGGCTGATAGAAATAAATAGGGGAGGCCGGGCGCAGTGGCTCATGCCTGTAATCCCAGTACTTTGGGGGGCCGAGGTGGGTGGATCACTAGGTCAGGAGTTCGAGATCAGCCTCGCCAATATAGTGAAACCCCGTCTCTACTAAAAATACAAAAATTAGCTGGGTGTGGTGGCAGGCGCCTGCAGTCCCAGCTACTTGGGAGGCTGAGGTGGGAGAATCGCTTGAACCTGGGAGGTGGAGGTTGCAGTGAGCTGAGACCACGCCATTGCACTCCAGCCTGGGTGACAGAGTGAGACTCCGTCTCAAAAAAAAAAAAAAAAAAAAACCAAAAAAAAAAAAAAACAAAGAAATAGGGAAACAGAGGAAGTGCATGTGGCTAGCAGGGGGTTGAAAAAGAGAGACATTTAGTTGACTGAGAAATGTTTACCCAGGGAGAAAAGAGACCTTAAAGCAATATGTACACACTGAAGTCTAAAATATCAGTTTTAATTAAGTCAAATTTTGACTATAGAGCTCTAAAAAAATCCTTTGACATCTCTTATTACCAGATTTTAGCCAGGAGGAACAGTTGATATTCCTGGCTTTTCACCTTCTTTACCAAAAGGTATCCTCCCAAGTGCCTTAACCAAAGTTATGACTATTAGGCCACAAGGTGGGTGGCCCTTAGTTGTTCCCTGATGAGGTGGCAAACCTGAGCCATGGCAGAAGTGTTTAATGTTTTTTTTTTTAGTTTTGCTCTGTTGCCCAGGCTGGAGCACAGTGGTGTGATCTCGGCTCACTGCAGCCTCCGCCTCTCAGGTTCAAGCAATTCTCCTGCCTCAGCCTCCTGAGTAGCTGGGACTACAGGTGCCCACCACCACACCCGACTAATTTTTGTATTTTTAGTAGAGACAGGGTTTCACCATGTTGGCCAGGATGGTCTCAATCTCTTGACCTCGTGATCCGCCCACCTCGGCCTCCCAAAGTGCTGGGATTACAGGCATGAGCCACCGCACCCGGCTGAGAAGTGTTTAATTTTAACTACCAGAAGTGTTTGAAGTGATTTTTTTGCTCTTAATTTAGTCAAGGGAATTTTTGAAGACTAGCCATGACACTACTATGTGTCCTTTTAAGACTTGATGTTTTCATTAATTGTTTAGAATAAGAAATCTCTGAAATCTTTAATAGCCCACAGAGAGAGGCTGGGAAGGTGTTCCTGTTATATAAATGAAACCTCTCAGGTAGTCAAATTTTATCTTTTTTTAACCAGCTGGGGGTTTTACAGGTGCAACCTGACTTTCTGCAGCTGTGGGCTTTCCAGTATAGCTCCTGGGCCAGGGATCTCTATCTGCTCCCCAGAGGCTTGTACCTAAGATACAGAGCTCCCTGGGCTTCTCAGTACAGGTGGACTTAAACTAATGGGCTAGAAACAGAGAAAGGGAGGTAGAATTTCCCACTTACAGCCAGACCCTGCAGCACAGCTTTCCAGAGCCTCAGCCCCCCTGCCCTGGCTGATGCTCCCTCCCTGACTCCCCTCACCAGGGCCCTGGCCCCACCACACAGCTGAGCTGGCCCAAGCCAAAGAGTTGCTGGAGCAGCAGCTGGAGTGGATCAGGCTCTGCTGGAGGGGGTGGGGGGCCCAGGCCCTGATGGTCAAGATCCAGAACCTGAAGAAACAGATAAGGAAGGAGGCACCAAGAGAGCCTGGGAGGAGACACCCAAGCTTCCCACCAGTGCCTGTGGCACCCCTCAGCATTGGAAATACTGTGCACCACCCCCAGGAACCCCAGGATCAGAAATATCCCAGCTGCTCCCAGGCCACTGGGAAAATGGAAGAGACCACAAAAGGCCAGAAGTTAGCAGTGTGATGGTTAATACTGAGTGTCAACTTGGTTGGATTGAAGGACGCAAAGTACTGATCCTGGGCATGTCTGTGAGGGTGTTGCCAAAGGAGATTAACATTTGAGTCAGTGGACTGGGAAAGGCAGACCCACCCTAAATCTGGGTGGGCACCATCTAATCAGCTGCTAGCGTGGCCAGAATATAAAGCAGGGAGAAAAATGTGAAAAGGCTAGACTGGCCTCCCAGCCTACATCTTTCTCCCATACTGGATGCTTCGTGCCCTCGAATATCGAACTCCAAGTTCTTCCGCTTTGGGACTCGGACTGGCTTCCTTGCTCCTCAGCTTGCAGGCGACCTATTGTGGGACCATGTGATCATGCAAGTTAATACTACTTAATAAATCCCCCTTTATATATATATTTATTCTGTTAGTTCTAGAGAACCCTGACTAATACAGGCAGGTAGTGGGGAGCCAGGGCTCTGCAGTCTCAGTCCCATGCCTCCTTTGACCTCACAGCAGTGCACCTCAGCCTTACAGGAATTTACCCTGGATCATGTCCTACAATAACCTCTCCCCAAACACAGTAAGAAGATGTAGCATGCAGATACCACAGACACACATGTGTTCCATTTTTCGTTAGGATTTTTTTTTTTTTTTGAGATGGAGTTTCCCTCTTGTTGACCAGGCTGGAGTGCAAAGGTGCGATCTCGGCTCACTGCAACCTCTGCCTCCTGGGTTCAAGCGATTCTTGAGCCTCAGCCTCTCGAGTAGCTGGGATTACAGGCGCTCGTCATCACGCCCGGTTATTTTTGTATTTGTAGTAGACGCTGGGTTTCTCCATATTGGTCAGGCTGGTCTTGAACTTCCGACTTCAGGTGATCCACCCGCCTCGACCTCCCAAAGTGCAGGGATTATATGCGTGAGCCACCGCGCCCAGCCTAGTTAGGATTTTTAAAATTCTGACAATCAGGAATGGGGGTTCAGGAGTGGTGCTGATGCAGAGGAGGGAAGCCATGGGGTGGGGGCTGTTAGGGGTGGAGGCAGTAGTGTCTCCTTCACCCCCACCCTGGGGTCTTCTCCTGAAGGACAGACTATCACATCCCAGAATTGGTGAGTCCTCTACTGTGTCTGTTCAACTGAAGAGAAAATATGGCACAGTCAGAATAAGGCATGAAAAGGGGAAAGTGAGGCAGGAACACACGGCACACATGCAGATGCTGGTGTACTGTGTGGGTTCAGAGGACGGACGTGGGGGTGAGGGAAGGGATGTAATATGATGAGAGAAGACAGAAACCCCACATAAAGGTCAGGAAAACATCCCAACACAGCATCAAAGGCCAGGGGGCATGAACCAGTCAAGTGTCCATTATGCATCAGATGCCCATGACCTATGTGATGAGATTGAAGAAAAACATACTAAGGTTCAGGGAGGAACTAAGTGTTTCATGAGATCAGCACTCACCGTGGAGGAGACATCTGTCTCATCAGGCAGCTCACTAACACTGACCTTGAAGCGATGCTGCCCATCACACTGGATCCTTGCATGATTCTCATCTGACACAAACGCTGATGGCCAAGCCCTGTTCCCAACCAGCCTGCTCTAGTCACCTGAAAGGAGGCAGAGGGTAGAAACAGAAGACCCAAAGAGGGAAGACACCCAGAGGGAGGGAAGAGGATGTAAGGTGTGAAAAGATAGAAAACATAAGGAATGGGAGAGTAGGTGTCCTTCTGGGTGTGGGGCTCACCTGTCATTGATAAAGGCAATGTTCATCCACTTGATGTCTATGACGTGGCCCGGTAGGTTGGTAACCATAGAACTGGTCATTGAAAATCTTTTGGGGTCATTCTTGGACATGTGCAGAACAGCAAACAATTTTAGTCACCTGATGTGTTTCCTTGGCTTCCTGTTCAGTTTTCCTTAGGCCTCAGCTGCTGCTATTGCTGCTGGCTGCCCTCCACATTCCCCTAAATTCCAGATGGGTGTGAGGAGGTAAGGGCGGGAAGAAATAGTGGATTGTGGATTGAGGTGCGATTTCCCACCACTGGAGGGGACAGATTCATAAGCTGGCATTGAAGAGGTTCCTGCCCTTTGCACAGTGTGTTTGGTCACCCCAGTGCTCAGGCTGAACCCTGAGAAGAAAGAGGAACTTGACTGCCTGAAGGCCCTTGGGTGGTGTTTAAGACCCCTGGCCACTGTGTCCTGGCTGAATGTATACATGCAGATGGAATCTCTTTCTTTCTTTTTTTTTTTGAGACGGAGTCTCGCTCTGTCTCCAAGGCTGGAGTGCAGTGGCGCAATCTTGGCTCACTGCAAGCTCCGCCTCCCGGGTTCACGCCATTCTCCTGCCTCAGCCTCCCGAGTAGCTGGGACTATAGGAGCCCACCACCACGCCCGGCTAATTTTTTTTTTTTATTTTTAGTAGAGACGGGGTTTCACCGTGTTAGCCAGGATGGTCTCGATCTCCTGACCTTGTGATCCACCCGCCTCGGCCTCCCAAAGTGCTGGGATTACAGGCGTGAGCCACCGCGCCCGGCCTTATAAGTACAAGTTCTTAAGCGAGTCTTTGTACACTTATAAGTATGGTACAACAGAGTTCTAGTTATACTGTTCTTTGACTAAGTAGTATGTGTACAGTGGGGACACTTTTCTGTCAGTGTTTCTTCTAGTATGGTTAAGGGGGTAACAACATCAAAACAATGTACAGCATATTTAAATCTAGCAAGGACAAAAGAGGTCTTTATTTGGGGGAGGAGGTTGAGCACAGTGACAGAACAATAGGAAAACAGTTAGTATTACAGGAAAACTACTAGTCTTAAGATTTCTAACTACATTTACTTGCTTGATGAGTCTTTAAGCTTCAGCCGTGCATAGACTAGTCAGCTTCCGGTGTGTGACTAGAGCAAGGCTTGTTGTTTCTTCAAACTTCAGCTGTGCGTAGACTGGTCAGCCTCCGGAGTGACCAGAGCAGGGCTGTCGTCTTCAGCAGCAGCTTGGTCTTGTCTCAGGATCAGCCGGGTTGGATGATCTGGGTGTTGCTGGCTGGTTCACTTGTCCTGAGCTGCCGATTTTAGCCGACTGTGATGGAGTTAAGGCACGATTCTTGCAACTTTAACAGCAGTGGGAGTGGACAAGATTACTCTGTGGGGCTTATCTTACATGGGTCTTAGAGAAGTTGGGTTCTACTTTTTAACTTAAACAAAGCTACTAGGTTTAAAGGGTTTACTGGGTCTGTTAGACTTCTAGGCATTCTTTTATGTACTTAACTATGAACACTTTGCATGGCTGTTTCTAAAGCCTGCATTTGATTTCTTAAGGTTAGTTCTTTTAGTTGTTGGAGATTACTTTTAATTTGACGGTGGCTGATTGAACAAAATCTTATAGGGTAAATACTTTGGTGGGGGTGCGCTTGGCTCAGAGGAGGACTATAGGCAAGACTTGATTCTGTCTCAGATGAGTTTCTTGGCAATATTTCTTCAGTAGCTGCTTGAGTGTCTGGTTCATGCATTCTACAGTAAAATAATCTTTTTTTCTCTTTTTTTCCTTCAACTTTGCTCTAGAAAAAAGAAGTGTCCAAGGCCTATTTTTTTAGCCCTAGCTATTCAGACAGTGTTATCTTATAACTGTCCTTGGGTTGGGCACGGTGGCTCACGCCTGTAATCCCAGCACTTTGGGAGGCCGAGGTGGGCAGATCACGAGGTCAGGAGATCGAGACCATCCTGGCTAACATGGTGAAACCCTGTCTCTACTAAAAATACAAAAAATTACCCAGGTGTGGTGGTGGGTGCCTGTAGTCCCAGCTACTCGGGAGGCTGAGGCGGGAGAATGGCGTGAACCTGGGAGGCGGAGCTTGCAGTGAGCCGAGATTGTGTCATGGCACTCCAGCCTGGGTGACAAAGCGAGACACCATCTAAAAAAAAATATATGTATAAAACTGTCCTTGAGGTAAGCTTGCTAAGCAGAAAAAAACTTGTTCTTTTCTTTTTCTTTTTAACTTTTGCCTTGCCACATTCTAAGCCTTAGCTTTAACTTTTCTTAAAGTAAATGCAATACTTATTATTATTATTATTATTTTTAAATTTCTGCCTCAGAATGAATAAATTACATGTATTTTTTTTTTGAAGCCATGCCTTTGGATTAGGGCAAACTCTAGGATATTTAAGTGAATTCCCTGAGGAATGTGGACACTGTAAGCAGGTGTGTGCATTATTCTCTGCTTCTCTCTCTCCACAGGGCCGTCGTTCACCCTCCTCCACCTTGTCCCCTGCACTGGGAGGCAACCACAACAGGCACGGCCCATGCTCCTGCACCACCTGGCTTCTGCTTGGCTGTGGATGATAACAGGCACCTGCAGGAGATGGGAGCATGCGGGGAGAAGTAACTCAGGGTTTTCATTTCCCTCACTCCCTCTGGACAGCTCTGTGGTTCCGTAATCATTGCCATCCTCTACCTACAGCCACAGGCATGTGGGTCTGCCCCTAGTGAAAGCTACAGATTTCCTTGGGTTCTGGAAACTGCTCCCTTCGTTGCTCTTTCAAGCTTCAAGATGAAAACAGTTTCCTGCCAGGAATAATCCCAGGGAGCTTCAGCGCCCTTTGTGGCTTTCTTGGCCCTGCCGGCACCTGTGTAGAAGGTGCCATCTCAGGCCAGCACGGTGGCTCAAACGTGTAATCTCAGCACCTTGAGAGGCTGAGGCCAGAGGATCACCTGAGGTTGGGAGTTCAAGACCAGCCTGACCAACATGGAGAAACCCTGTCTCTACTAAAAATAAAAAATTAGCTGGGCGTGGTGGCGCATGCCTGTAATCCCAGCTACTCGGGAGGCTGAGGCAGGAGAATTGCTTGAACCCAGGAGGCAGAGGTTGTGGTGAGCCGAGATCACACCATTGCACTCCAGCCTGGGCAACAAGAGTGAAACTCAGTCTCGGAAAAAAAAAAAGGTGCCATCTCTTTCCTGCCAGGTCCCTGACTGACCACAGGGTGCTCCCACAAAAGGAGAAGTGACAAGAATGTATTTAAGACATTGCACTAACACATCTATTCATGATGTTAATTCAAAAAATTGACTTACTACAATAAAAGGGAAAAATAAGAGTATTCTGGAAACAGAGCATGAAGGAAGGCAAAGGTGAAAACAATCAATCTGGGGCATCTGAGAAGCCCCAAGTGCAGAGGCTGCCCTGAGTCTTTAGAGGACAAGAAACAGAACACACGACCCAAAAGTGAGAGACAGAGCCTGGCCGGAGCAGGATGATAACGGCTCTCCTACAGAGTACTATTCCTGTAAATCTCTGACGAGAGGGGTGAGATCAACATGTAAAAATACACACACACAAAGTGGAGCTGAGGGCAGGATGGAGAACTGTCATTCTCAGCCCATGACCTCCATGGACTTGGAGAAAGACTCAGCCTGGAGATGTGTGAGGCCTCCGACCTGGAGCAGCACCCGCCCCTAAAGACCAGGCACAAATCCCAGCACACGGAGGGATCCAGACAAATACACAAGAAATGACCACAGCAGGAACTTTATTGAGCACGGAGCAAGGGTGCACACCACTCAGCACCTGCCCCTCCACCTGTCCTTCTCTCCCCACCTGCCTCTGCCCCAGCACAGCAGGTCCTCAGAATCCAAAAAGAGAACCTAACCTGCATGTTCTCTCTCTCTGTTTCTTTTTTTTTTTTTTTTTGAGACAGAGTTTATCTCTTGTTGCCAGGCTGGAGTGCAATGGCGTGATTTCGGCTCACTGCAACCTCCACCTCCTGGTTCAAGCAATTCTCTTGCCTCAGCATCCCGAGTAGCTGGGATTACAGGCAGCTGCCACCACACCCAGCTAATTTGTGTATTTTTAGAGATGGGGTTTTCACCATGTTAGCCAGGCTGGTCTCGAACTCCTGACCTCAGGTGATCTGCCTGTCTTGGCTTCCCAAAGTGCTGGGATTACAGGCGTGAGCCACCACGCCTAGCCTCCATGTTCTCTTAATAGTTTGTAATATCTTATCACAGCTTCAAAGAAAGGATATGAGAATAATAACTCATAGAGCAAGATATCTATTTAGAGTGAGTGAGTCACAGGGGAGATCTGGGAGGGAAACACTGCAACTCTTTCATTCCCAGAAAAAGAAGGTTGATCCAGGGAAGGGGACACCGGGCCTGGATATTGGGATTATGTGGAAGGGGTTCTGGGACATCAGGGGAATGGGCCCCTCTCCCTATATCCTTCCTGGGCTATGCTTGGGAGGAGACACAGTTTATCAGCTGTGCAGCTGGGGGAAGAGAAGTCAGGGTCCAGAGACAAGGGGAGCTGAGAACAATCTGTGTCTTGCTGGTCTGCAGAAGGCAGCTCTCAAACTGTGGAGAACAGTTTGGGATGATGAAAATGTTCTAAAATTAGATATGGTGATTTAAAAATCCAAATATGTGAAAAACCATTGAATTGTATACTTTAAATGGGTGAATGATATGTGAATTATATCTTAATAAAGTTTAAGGAAAGAAATATAATGATATGTCATGACAAATCCACTAGAATTTCTAAATTAAAATCACTGACTATTCCAAATGTTGGTGCGAATATGGACCATCAAGAGCTGTCACACACTTTGTCTAGCAGTGTGGCATCATCTCTTTGGGTGGGATATCATATACATACACCAGTAATTCCACTCTTAGGCATATAATTTTGAAAGATATATGCTCATTGTGCCAACATACATGTGCAAGAAGGCTTACAACAGCATTGTTTGTAATTTTTAAAACCTGAAAACAAATAAAATGACCACAAACAAAGAAGGATTAATTTAATGTGTGGAATTCTATGAATAATAAACATGAACGCTCTAGAGACACCTATAACAACTTAGCAAACATACATTTGAGCTAAAATAAGGTCTCATAAGAATACACATAGCACGATTCCATTTGTATCAAAAGATTCAAAATCTATATGAAGTTTGAGATAACCTATATTGTTTTAGAGATGTATGCATGGGAGTAAAGCTTTAAAGAAAGGTGTGAACAGGATTACTATGAAATCAGGATGAGGGTGAACTCTCACGACAGCAAAGGGATTGTTATTGCTATCAGGATTGGTATGGAAACTTCTGTGTGTTTTTTTTCCTGACTTTTGTTTCTTTTTCACATGAATTTTCCCTTTAAAACCATTTGTTAAAATGTAAATATAATTCAGGCACTTCACTTTTGGTTGTAACTTACACTGTAAGACTGCTAAAAAAAATAATATTAGCTACTTACGTGTAATTGGAAAAATTAACCTTTATTCACAAAAGAGATGGGCTGCCCCCTACACCACAAATCAGAGAAGAGACCATGAATTGAAATGGGAACTTGGAATTGTCATTATTCCGTAATTATACTCAGGATCCTGTCCATGAAACATTGGAATACCACTGTCCAACCCCCTTCTGCAGTGATGGAGTGTCTATATCTGAGCTATTCATTATGGCACAGATACAGACATTCATATTCTGTGAATTCTGAGTACTTGAAATATATGGCTGGTGCAAATAAGAAACTGGCTTTTAAAATCCATTTAATTTTAATTAATTAAAGTGTAAATAGTGCCATGTGGACAAGGCAGAATTACAGTGCCGAGACCAGCTCAGTCGGGGAGACCCTAACCCAGTGGCGCTAGAGGAATTAAAGACACACACACAGAAATATGGCGTGTGGGGTGGGAAATGAGGAGTCTCACAGCCTTCATTCCAGTAAACAGTCATTGTGACCGGTTGTCCCGCTTTCCTCAGGTTTTCTTCCACCATCTGTGACAGCTTCTTGATCTGTCCCCAGGTGGGTGGCTGTGTTCAATGGGTGTTGCTCGTGACAGTTAGGGTCCTCCTCAGCATCAGTCTCGACATGGCTGCAACCAGGGGGTCCTCGGGATCCTCCTGGAATCTCTTCCTTGGCATCTGGCTCATGATAAGGTTTTAGGTGTCTTGATAGTATCCAAATTGGCTGCTGGTTTTGGCCTGGAGAAACACAAGCATAACCTCTACCCAAGTTATTATTTTACCTATGTCCCAACTTTTTGTTATTGGATCTCTTCACCAAACCAGTTGTTCTGCTCCTGTCTTTGCAGCTGGTTTCTGTAGATGCTGTTCAGCTGCTGATAACATCTGGCCTTTGGGCAGCCTCAAAAAATTTAAAGTTAATAATGCTAGATTCAGTTGTGTATGGGCTGTCTCGTAATCCCTGTTTCTCCCCCTTTTTTGTTTTTGTTATCAGTTGTTCATCTGTATAAATCATAACTGAGCATTTTCAATTAATTGCGTGGAATGAACCATGTATAAAGAATCAGAAATCACATTAACAGGCATATCAAAAGCAGTCAGCACCTCAATTACAGCTACAAGCTCTGCTTTCTGAGCTGAAGTATAGGTTGCCTGGAAAGCTTTACCTTTTGATCCAGAATAAGAAGCTTTACCATTGCTAGACCCATCTGTGAAATAATGAAAATGCTTAGCAGGCTGCAGACTGTTTACCACAGGAATTGTAAATGCAAACCGTTCACTGTCTTGCTTAGCTAAGGGTATAGTAAAGAAAGAGTCCTTCCTGGCTGTAATGCTCCTATAGCTTGTATAACTGAATTAATGGCTCTTAAATCAGTTAACATTCTCCATTTACCTGATTTTTTCTTAATTACAAAAGCTGGAGAATTCCAAGGGGAAAGTATTGTAGCTATGTTCTCATTTTCTAATTGTACATTAACGAAGTTCTCTAAAGTCTCCAGTTTCTCTTTACTTAGCAGCCACTGTTCTATCCAAATTGGCTTATCTGTTAACCATTTTAAAGGTATAGGTTCTGGAGGCTTAACAATGACTGCCATCAAAAATGATACCCTAAACCTTGGCGGGAACTTTGTCTCTCCACTTGAAGCATTTTTTTTCAAACCTTGCAAATTTTTTCCTAGTCCCATACCAGGGACATGCCCCATTTCATGCATCATATGTTGACTTTGAGGGCTATATAATTGCTCTGGAAGTAGAACTTGTGCTCCCCATTGTTGTAATAAATCTCTCCCCCATAAATTTATAGGTACGGAAGTTATAATTGGTTGAATAGTCCCAGGTTGTCCATCGGGACCTTCACAATGCAAAATATAATGGCTTTGATATACTTCAGGGGCTTTACCAACTCCAACTGTTTTAAGTTGAGTGTGTTGAACTGGCCACGCAGACGGCCAGTGCTGTAGAGAAATGATTGAAATGTCCGCTCCTGTATCTACCAAATCTTTACATTTCTTTCCCTGAATAGTTATTTCACAGGTAGGACGTTTATCAGTAATTTGATTCACCCAATAAGCTGCTTTGCCTTGTTTATTTGTGCTTCCAAATCCTCCTGTTTGTTCAATTTCACTTTTCCCATTCCCACATACGGCACAATCAGGAGCTGTGCTATACACTCTCCTGGCTCTGCTTTCCAGGGAACAGAAGTAGATATAACAATTTGAATTTCCCCATTGTAATCTGAATCAATGACCCCTGTATGTATTTGTACTCCTTTTAAACTTAAACTAGACCTTCCTAGAAATAATCCTATCGTTCCCGCTGGCAAGGGTCCACAGACCCCGGTTGGGACCTTTTGCAGGGTTTCCCCAGGCAGAAGGCTCACAGCTTTTGTGCAACATAAATCTACTCTGGTGCTACTGGCTGTGGCGGGGGACAGATATTGTACAAGGATGAGGGAATGGCCTGAGCCAGAAATGCCCCGGTTTGGAATGGGGCCCCGGGATGGGCCCCTCATGGTGTTTCCTGAAATCAGGTTCCCATCTTTATCAAACTTAGAGTGACACTGATTAGCCCAATGTTTTCCTTTTTTGCATTTTGGACATATTTCAGGCTCAGTAGTTTTCTTTTTTTCCCCTATATGGTGGCCTGACTTGCTGATTTTTTCTACATTGTTTTTTAGTGTGATCATGCTTCAAACAGTTAAAACAAGCTCCAGGAAATGGAGTATTTCCTTTATCCACTCTCAGTCCTGCCATTGCCTGTGCCAACAAAGTAGCTTTATGCAGATTACCTCCGATACCGTCACAGGCCTTGATATAATCAACTAAATGTGCTTTCCCTCTAATAGGTCGCAAAGCAGCCTGGCAATCGAGATTAACATTGCCAAAAGCTAATAACTGCAACACTATATTCTGAGCAGCTGAATCTGAAATCACCTTTTTAAGAGACTCCTGTCTTAAGAGATTCCAAGCTATAAAATCTGCATACAGTTCTTTTGGTCCCTGTTTTACAGCACTAAAGGAAGGGTATTGTTCTCCACCTGAAGTGATTTTTTCCCAAGCTCTAATGCACACTCCTCTAAGCTGCTCTACGGCATCATCCTGTATGACCACTTGTGCGTCTAAACCAGCCCAGCAGCCGACCCCCAAAAGTTGGTCCATGTTATATTAATTTGAGTTTCGGCCTGGGCATTGCAAGCAGCCTGAATGGAAGCTTCATCTGCCCACCAAGTTTTAAATTGTAAGAATTGAGCAGGACTTAGACAAGCTCGAATAAGAGTGTCCCCGTCAGTAGGAATCATCCGACTGGAAACAGCAACATTCTTTAACAGTCCCATTACAAAAGGAGAACCTGGTCCATACTGATTAATAGCTTGTTTAAATTATTTGAGTAATTTAAAAGGAAAAGGCTCAAATGTAGCTATAATATTTCCCTGTTGATCAGGTGGTGTATTCTAACAGGGAACTGCCAAGCCTCTATATCACCCTCTCGTCTAGCCTGCTGAACTCCTGCCTGAATAGAACTGACAGCAGTCGCTCGAGGTGCTGCTCAGTCACTGGGGCAACTACTTTTCGCCCAGTGTCCTCCAGAAAAGAAAGATCTGGAGGGTCTGGCCACTCTTTTTCTTCAAAATAATAATGAGGGGGTGCAGAAGGGTAGGGATGAACCTCTTCCTCCTTTGCCGCTTTAGCTTTAGCTGGCAAATAAACCTGCTCTGTAACCTCTTCTGTTACTTCGTCATACTCTCCTTCCTCCTCATCATCAGTGTGAAAAAGTTCCAAGGTGGAACGAACCAGAGCCCACACTTGTCCCATTGTTACCGGATGCTTCCAAGCTCCCCATCTTACTCACTACGAGGATTGCTTAAGAGTACTTGGGTGTCCTCCAGCTTAGTTCCCCATTCTCCAACTGTTGCTCTGGCGACCCTTCAACCTGGATTCGAGCCCCCACGTATGGGTGCTGCTTACTGAGACCAGCTTGGTGGGGGAGACCCTAACCCAGCAGAGCTAGAGGAATTAAAGATACACACACAGAAATATAGAGGTGTGGAGTGGGAAATCAGGGGTTTCACAGCCTTCAGAGCCAAGAGCCTTGAACAGAGATTTACCCATGTATTTATTGACAGCAAGCCAGTGATAAGCATTGTTTCTATAGATTATAGATTAACTAAAAGTATTCCTTACAGGAAACAAAGGGATGGGCTGAAATGAAGGGATGGGCTCTGGCTAGTTATCTGCAGCAGGAGCATGTCCTTAAGGCACAGATTGCTCACGCTACTGTTTGTGGTTTAAGAACACCTTTAAGTGGTTTTCCACTCTGGGTGGGCCAGGTGTTCCTTGCCCCCATTCTGGTAAACCCACAACATTCCAGCGTGGGCATCATGGCCATCACGAACATGTCACAGTGCTGCAGAGATTTTGTTTATGGCCAGTTTTGGGGCCAGTTTATGGCCATATTTTGGGGGGCCCGTTCCCAACATTACAGAAACAAAATGCAGCATCTACTATCACTATCTTTTTGTTCAGTCATCCATTATGTGAATGACAACTTCATTGTTACTAACTTTGGAAAGATCCCATTTCAAAGAAAAATGGGATTTCAGCTTCTTCAGTGGTAGATTTTCTTACACTCAGCAGCTAATAAAATATCTGAACCCCACAAAAAACCCCTGTTTATCTCTGTTATCTCTGGGTATAGAAAAATGCTGAATTCTTATTTGTATGTGAAATAAAGTGGTTTTTCAATAAGAAATTTTGCTATAAGGTAAGAATTTTATTCTAAATATAATTTCTTTCTTTCTTTCTTTCTTTCTTTCTTTCTTTCTTTCTTTCTTTCTTTCCTCCTTCCTTCCTTCCTTGTTTTTTGTTTTTGAGACAGGTTCTCACTCTGTTGCCGTGTCTGGAGTGCAGTGGTGCGATCTTGGCTCACTGCAACCTCTGCCTCCCAGGTTTAAGTGGTTCTCTTGCCTCAGCCTCCCGAGTAGCTGGGATTACAGGTGCCCACCACCATGCCCGGCTAATTTTTGAATTTTTAGTAGAGACGGGGTTTCACCATGTTGGCCAGGCTGGTCTCGAACTCTTGACCTCATTCCTAGAGCATTTTTTCCATTCATCTTTTATTAGTATTCAGATACACCTAGCAGCTGGTATGTTTTGTAGGATAGTTTTTGGTCATTCATTCTACCATGATTTAGCTTAGTATTAAAGGTTTATAGAATTTCCTTTTAGTTTGTAATTTAGAAACAAGATTGACATTTACTTCTTGTTCATATTCTCTAAGTTTTCACAACAGCTTCTCTCAGATAAGATCTCAAGGCCAGACATGGTGGCTCATGCTTGTAATCCCAGCACTTTGGGAGGCCCATATCACCTGGGGTCGGGAGTTCGAGACCAGCCTGGCCAGCATGGTGAAACCCCGTCTCTACTAAAAATACAAAAATTAGCCAGGCATGGTGACAGGTGCCTGTAGTCCCAGCTACTCAGGAGACTGAGGCAGGAGAATCGCTTGAACCCAGGAGGCGAGGTTGCAGTGAGCCGAGATCATGCCATTGCACTCCAGCCTGGCGGCAGAGTGAGACTTTGTCTCAAAAAAAAAAAAAAACAAAAAAAAAAAACTCCAATAATCAGTTCAAGGTTGAACTGCTAACAATAAGATTTGAAGTTAACATTTAATTAATTTATTTATTTTTTAGACTCAGGGCCTCACTCTGTTGCCCAGGCTGGTATGCAGTGGCACCATCAGAGCTTCCTGCAGCCTTGAACTCCTGGGCTTAAGGGATCCTCCCACTCAGCCTCCTGAGTAGCTGGGACTGCAGGTGTGCACCACCATGTCCAGCTTAACATTTTATTTTATCTGATAGTAGAGTGAAGCACTTGCATTACAAAAATAAAATACATACAAATTACAACAACTTTGCCAATCTAACATATGACCTCGAATGATAGTTAAATTAGGAGCCAGTCAGCCACTTTCAAACATGTTTTTCAAAGTGAAATTTTAAAGGCAGTGTCATTGTTTACTTCTACTAATGCTCATAGGTTTAGCTGTGGTCCTGCTATAGAGTTTGTTAAGAAAACTTCCCTGAGTTGTTTTAAATGGTCTTATCAAAGCCAAACACTGAAATCCTATAATCATTGGAATTGGGAACAAAAGATACATTTCTAGGCTTTATTTTATTATAAATTAAAATCTTAGTGATGGTAGGATCATTTTTCCTTATGGATTTTTTCTAATATATTTAAAGCATAGATAATTGTGTTCAATCAGTTGTATTTTATGCTGAATCATTTGACCATGTGAGGAAAGCATATTTTTGGACTCTTATCCCATCTTGACTAGAGGGATCAGTAAAAACCTGGAATGAAGAAGTTCTTCATGTGCACATCTTTTTTTCTTGTGTGCACTGCCCTTCATTCACACTTCTGTGCATTCACACATTTGTGATTGCACGTTTTGGTATTGATTTAGAATCATTTATTAATTCCACAGTCAAGTTAATAAAATGCCATTGGGAATTAAAGATAAATTTTACATGCATTTTCTCAAAATTCATTACTTGATCCATTTATTCATTCTAAACCCATGTCAAATGCCATTCTTTAAACCTCATGTTTTATTAAAGTTGATTTCACTTATTAATTCAATCAAAAGCCATTGAAGTTTATAGCAAGAGGCATCAAAGAAGGCAGAATGTTTCTATCTGTTCTGGGATTAACGGGGGTAGAAAGATGGGAAGGGCAGAGGGACAAGAGGCCTCACAGAGACAGACAAGATATAAAGACACCTGCCTCCCTGGCCAGAAACCAACTTCCAGGATTCAGGATTCAGGAGTAAAGTGTCCCAATAATTAGAAGGTTTCCTGGTCTCTCTCAAATTCAGTGCTCATTTGGCCAGGGATAAGGCCCTCACACCCTTTGCTTTGAGGATCCAAGCTTAGAATGTGGCTGTCTCTGGGACATTTCATGCTAAAGAAAGCCCAGCAAGTGTAGACAAAGAGTCTAGAGGGCACCAGCCACCCTTCCATGGAACTCTGTTCAAGGCAACTCTCTGTGTTCTGTTACTTATATTGGCCGCGTCTTCAGGAATTTAGCGAAATGGCCATGTTGTCTCTGAGTGGAAGTGAGGGGAGGCCACTGGGCAGTCAGAGATTTTGAATCCCTGTTTCCTTTCCCCCCATCTCAACCAGAGGCCACTTGTGAAAGCCCAAGAAAAAAAGACACGAATGTCAGAGGTGAATCCAGGCTCATGAACCCATTGTGGTCACGGGACTGAAGCCACGTGGCCCAACAGTAATGAAGTCTGTGAGGCCTTGGTAACCCCAAAGCTCTCCCCCAATTAGGAGCTGCCTCTCACTGCCATCAGGCACCCCAGGAGCTGGACATGTGGCATTCTTTGTCATGTCTGATGAGGAACTGGAGAGGTCCCAGAGCATATAGACCTTGATCGAATTGGAGCTAGAGTGGAGTCAGGCAAAACTCTGCATTGACTCAGAGGCACCTACATGTGAAATAAAGTCTCCACTCAGAGCTTCCATCAGAGCATCAGGCTCAGTAGCAATTCCTTTCTGCTGTTGCTGTATTTGCCCTGTGACAACTGGTGCTTGAAGGAAGGAGAAATCATTATGTGTGCAGGAAAGCACATGCAATTAGAAAACTGGGACATGATTCATAAGGCAGGAGGGACCCTTTTCTCTTTCGTGGTAGATGTGGGACTCCCTGTCATCTTTGTCCTGATGCCCCAAGTGCACAAGGTGAATTTTCCTGCTCTCAGTTGAGTGACCAACACTGGGAGCTGGAATTCAGAGAAACAGTGGCAGCCTCTCTCTCTCCATCCCCCATCCCAGTAAATCTAAGGCAAGGGCCTAGGGCTCTTGCACTTTATTTTCACCATGCATTTTCCTTCTCTGGTTAAGAAAATAACCAAATGGCCAGGCGTGGTGGCTCACACCTGTAATCCCAGCACTTCGGGAGGCTGAGGTGGGAGGAGCACCTGAGGTCAGGAGTTCGAGACCAGCCTGGCAAACATGATGAAACTCCATCTCTACCAAAAATGCAAAAATTAGCCAGATGTGGTGGCATGCACCTGTAATCCCAGCTACTCAGGAGGCTGAGGCATGAGGATCACTTGAACTCGGAAGGTGGAGGTTGCAGCCAGCTGAGATTGTGCCACTGCACTCCAGCCTGTGATAGAGTGAGACCCTGTCTCGACAACAACAACAACAACAACAACAACAACAACAACAACAAAGGAAATAAAAAAAGAGAAAATAACCAAATGTGTAAAAATCAAGGTTGCAATTCTGCAATTCTTGTGGCACCCAGAATACTGGACTAGACCAAGGGTGCCAGGTGCTTGTCACTGCTCCACCACTCAACGGCTGTGACCTCAGGAGAATCTCTCCAAGTCCTGGTGCTTGTTAATTCATCTGTGAGTCATGGATAAACACATCCATTCTAGTGAGAATAAATGAGAACACATTTCATCCTTACTGAGATGCAGTGAGTGTTGCCCCAGTACTAAGGGGTAAATGCAGAGAGAAACATTAGTTTAGGATTTTTTTTTTTTTTTGAGATGGAGTTTCACTCTTGTTGCCCAGGCTGGAATGCAATTGCACGATCTCTGCTTACTGCAACCTCTCCCCACTGTGTTCAAGCAATTCACCTACCTCAGCCTCCCAAGTAGCTGGAACTATAGGCTTGTGCCACTATGCCCGGCTAATTTTTTTGTATTTTTAGTAGAGTTAGGGTTTCACCATTTTGGCCAGACTGGTCTTCAACTCCTGATCTCAGGTGATCCACCCGCCTCAGCCTCCCAAAGTGCTAGGATTACAGGTGTGAGCCACCGTGCCTGACCATCAGCTCGGGATTTTAAGAAACATGATCCTTAAAAGTAGGAAGAAAGCACATAATACCTGCAAAGCCCTGGGCAAAAATCCTCTTTTACTTCAGTAATGATTACAAAATAATTATTTCTCATAACTTCTAGAAAATTAGAGGAAAACTCATTCCTTCAACATCTCAAGAAACTTAAATACAGATGGTGATTATATATCAGATTGGAACCACAAGCTTTGTTCTGAGTAAAACTGAAAAGAAATGGGGATATCTCCATTTTTGAGTGGTGACCATGGGACCCAAAGTGGTTTGTAAATGACCCTTTATCATCTACACTTGTCAAGTTTCAATTGATTCACTCAGTTCTTAGAAATCCCTGATAATTCATAATCTTGAAAAAATTTCATGTCCAGATACTAGGCAGGGTAATATGTTTGTTTTAATTTGCTAGGGCTGCCATAACAAAGTACCACACACTGGGTGACGTAAAGAACAGAAAAATTATTGTGCCACAGTTCCAGAGGCTGGAAGTCCAAGATCATGGTGTTGGCAGTGCACATTTCTTCTGAGGCTTCTTTCCTTGGCTTGTAGATGTGTTTTCCCTGTGTCTTTACATGGTCATTCCTCTGCATCTGTCTATGTCTAATCTTCTCTTTTTATAAGGACACTAGTCACATTGAATTAAGACCCACTCATATGACCTCATTTTACCTTAATGACCTCCTTAAAGACCTCTCCAAATGCAGTCACTTTCTCAGGTACTGGGGGTTAGGACACCAACATGCCAATTTTTGGAGGGATGCAATTTAGCCCATAACAGTCTGGATTAACCTGGAGACTCCTTTTCCTTCCTTCCTTCCTTCCTTCCTTCCTTCCTTCCTTCCTTCCTTCCTTTTTCTTTCTTTCTTTCTTTTTCTTTCTTCTCTTTCTTTTGTTTTCTTTTCTTTTATTGAGATGGAGCCTTGTTCTGTCACCCAGGCTGGAGTGCAGTGGCACGATCTCGGCTCACCGCAACCTCCGCTTCCCAGGTTCAAGCATTTCTCCTGTCTCAGTTTCCCGAGTAGCTGGGATTACAGATGCCTGCCACCACGCCCAGCTAATTTTTGTATTTTTAGTAGAGATGGGGTTTCACCATGTTGGCCAGGCTGGTCTCGTACTCCTGACCTTAGGTGATCTATTCACCTCGGCCTCCCAAAATGCTGGGATTACAGGCGCCAGCTACCGCTCCTGGCCGAGATTGCGTTTTCTAAAGAGTAAAACAGAGTAAATCTCTTCGGCTTAACTCTGTCTCTTAATACTCTGAAATTTTGTTCTTGCAGTGAGAACAAAAAAAAAAGACAGCCAAAGGTTGGTGTCACGCAGAAGGTGAGCCCTCCCTAACTCTGGCTGCCCCAAGACGCAGTGCTGTGTCATTCCTGAAAGTTTGCTCCATTCTAGTGATTCTGGCTCCAGCTTTTTCATTGGGAAGAGGATTCTCTCCCAGAGGAAAAACTTCTCCTGCTATGCAGGCTTATTTTCTTTATATTTGTAGGACAAAAAAGTTGATGTAATAAAAAGAATATATTTGTGAAATTTTTGTGGTAATCATTTTGATATCCTTATCGATACCCCATATTGTGATGAATATGTTGGCTTCATTTTGGCAGAAGGGACATGACACTGGACATTTTGAGCCACAATTTCTCTGGGCCTTTCCATGGGATTCAGTTTCAGCCCTGGTAGGTGAAGGGAGAGCTCTTGGTGTAGGGTTTGGTCTTTATAATAAACTATGCTTTTGGGGTAGCAGGTTTATCTCTGGAAGCATGAAGCTTAGTCAGGAGTGCGACCCTCCTCCCCATTCAAAAGGTCAAGGTAGAGCAGGTTCTTGTTCAGGGCGCAGTGAGCGAGAGAAGGGAAAGTGACAGAGCATTCTTTCACCTTTTTGTGACATGCATGCATCCAAGTCTCTGGTGTTTTAAATAACTGAAACTGAGACCTAGACCCACTTATCTGTAAAGTAGAACTGTGGAGAAGGAAGCATATCATCCCCGCCACTGGAGAGATCCCTGAAGAGAGATTTGTGAGCCCCCATTTTATCGAAAATGACACAAAATTTCATCAAAATAAAGTGAAATTGTGGCTGTAGATGGGGTTTTATTTAGAGCTTTGACTCCGCATCTGCTTCCTAAGACATGGTCCTTCCCCAGGATACTACAGAATCACAGGGCTTAGACTGGAGGGGTAAGGTGTGATGGTGTTCTTCCTTTCTGGCCGATAGGATGTTTTGGATTGTATGTATTTTCCAAAGACGGCTGCAAAAGTATCTTCCATCACACTTTGTTTTCTTTAGTTTGATCCACCATTCCCTCATCAAGAGGTAAGTTCTCTCCATCCCCTTAAACATGAGCAGATCTGATATCTGCGTTAGCCAATAAAATAGGGCAGAAACGTGGTTGTGTCAGTTCTGGGCACTGCTATTAACCATCCTGCCTGCATCTGGTTCCTTCCACTTCAATGCCTGAACCATGTTAAACTCCAAGGCCATCATCTGAGCCCAGCAAACACATAGAACCCTATGAGAAATCATTAAAAATTCTTAGTTACTATTTTCAGGAATATCCTTTTCCATCCTTTCATTTTCAACTTGTATGTGTCCTTAGATCCAAAGTGAGTATCTTGTAGCCAGCATATGGTTAGAATCTTTTTATTATATCCATTGTGATAATCTCAATTCTGATTGGGGAGTTTAATCCATTTACATTTAAAGTAATTACTGATGAAGAAGGACTTACCTCTGTAATTGTGATGGTTTTATGCATGTCTTATAGCTGTTTCATCCCTTATCTTCCTCATTCCAACCTTCCTTTGTGTTTAGTCGATTTTTTTTCTAGTGATATGTTTTAATTGCCTTCTCACTTTCTTTTGTGTATATTTTATGTATATTTTCTTTGTGATTACTATGGTATTGCACATAACAATACAACTATAACAATTTTGAATTGAAACCAGTATGAAACTCTGCTTCTTTACATCTTTTTCCACCCCTCATTTTACATTATTGATGTCACAAATTACTCCTCTGCAGGCTAGCAGGCTGGAAAGTCACAATGTTGCAGTCTTCAGTCTAAAATTTGTAAACCAGGCTGGCAGATTGGAAATCTAAACTGTAGTTGCTACTGTCATCTTGAGGCAGAATTTTTTCTTCTTTGAGAAGCCTCACATTTTGCCCAAAGGCCTTCAACTGATTCAAAAAGTCCCGCCCACATTTTTGAGGGTAATTTCCTTTTCATAAAATCAACTGACATAAGATTTTAACCACAAGTGCAAAACACCATCATAGCAACATATAAATTAGTGTTTGATTAAATAACTAGACAGTATGGTTTAGTAAAATTGACACATAATACCCACCACCCTAGTCCATGCTTGTGAACTTGGCACCCATTAACGTTTTCTTAAACCATACTTAGTCTCCAAATAAAAACAATTATAAAGTCATACTTTTGCTAAAGATGATACAGCTATCTTGCATCCATCTAAAAACACTAACCATTTCCTCAGAAAAAAATTCAAACTCAATGCATGATAAGCATTTTTCTCTTCGATATACTGTAACCTAAACACCATGTTTAAAAAAAGTTGAACCATCATTAATAAAAGGGAACTATTATTAGCACATTTTATGTTTTATTACAAGATGATAAGGAAAAGATGAAAACAAAGGTATTTGCTTAGTACATGTATGGGTACATACACACAGACATAAATATCATTGTAAAAACATAAGGAAGAAATGCTTATAACATTTACTGTCTTTATTTCTGCAACTGATCACATGGTTACAGCTGGTTATTTATTTATTTATTTATTTATTTATTTACTTATTTATTTGATACAGGGTCTTCTTCTGTTGCCAGCCTGGAGTGCAGTGGCATTACCTTGGCTCACTGCAAACTCCACCTCCTGGGCACAAGTGATCCTTCTACCTCAACCTCCTAAGTAGCTGGGACTGCAAGCACACCACCAAGTCTGACTAATTTTTTGTATGTATTTTCAGTAGAGATGGAATTTCAGCATGTTGCCCGGGTTGGTCTCACATTCCTCGACTTAAGGAATCCACCTGCCTCAGCCTCCCAAAGTGCTGGGGTTATAGGCATGAGCCACTGTGCTGGCCACAACTAGTGTAAATAGCTTTTTTTCACTAACCATCCCATAGTCCCACTGCCTTCAGCAAGTCCGTCAGCTGATCAGGTTTCTTTTCCTGCTTGGGTGACTCATACCTTCATTCCTGAAGGGCATGGGTCATTAGTAGTCCTGCCTGACTTGGGTTGTTGTAGTTTTTATTGACTTTAATTATAGAGCAGAGTATTACTAAGAGATGCTCTAAAAGATCTCCTGTATTTCAAACATAGTCTTATTTACTGCCATTGTGTAGTAGCAGACCAATTTCCCCCTGATGACCAGGACCAATCACCCCAGAAAGTGCAGTAACTCCTTCCTTTGTCTGTTGATTCAGTAACATGAGGAGCTGAAGGGCCCGGGTGGGTGTCTTAGCTTCCAGCTCAATGGAATAATTTCTGTGTCTCCTGAGGGAGTATTCCTCCCTTTGGTAAACCTCTAGATCCTGATCCTATTCCTCGTGACTGTGCAAGACCTCCCAACCAGGGTCTCCAGTACCTCCTACAGGTGTGTTTGGGCTGGCAACAGGTCTGTACTTTCCTGAGACAGAGCTCCCAAAGGAAAAGGCAGACTACCATCTTTGCTGTTATGTAGCTTTCACTGGTGATATCTCCAGTTACTGGAAAATCTGAGGCAACTGGGGACTGGAGCAGGCCCTCAGCAAACTGCAGCAGCCCTACAGAAAAGTGGTCAGACTATTGAAAGAGAAAACAAAAGAAGAGAAAAACAAAACCCATTCATAGATCAGCAACCTCAAAGAATGAAGATAGATAAGCCCACTAAGATGAGAATCAGCACAACAATGCTGAAAACTCAAAAAGCCAGCAAGGGTTTGGAACCAGGCTAAAGCTGAGATGACTGAAAGAGCAGAAGTAGAATTCAGAATATGGAGAGGGAAGAAGTTCACTGTGCTAAAGGAGTACAGTGTGACCCAATCCAAGGAAGCTAAAAATAATGATAAAACATTGCAGGAGCTGACAGACAAAACAGCCAGTATTATAGAAGAATGAAACCAACCTGATAAAGCTGAAAAACACACTAAAAGAATTTCATAGTGCACTCACAAGTATTAACAGCAGAATAGAACAAGTGGAGGAAAGACTCTCAGTGCTTGAAGACTGGCTTTCTAAAATAAGACAGGAAGACAAGAATAGAGAAAACAGAATGAAAAGGAACAAACAAAACCTCTGAGAAACATCAGATTATGTAAAGAAACTGAATCCATGAATTATTGGTATACCTGAAAGAGATGGGAATAATGGAATCAATTTGGAACACACTTCAAGATATCATCCATGAGAACTTTCCCAACCTAGCTAGACAGACCAACATTCAAATTCAGAAATGCAGAGGACACTAGTAAGTTACTCCATGAGAAGATCATCCCCAAGATACAATCATCAGATTCTCCATGGTTGAAATGAAAGAAAGAACGTTAAGGGCAGTCAGAGAGAAAGGCCAGGTCACCTACAAAGGGAAGCCCATTAGACTAACAGTGGACCTCCAAGTGGAAACCCTACACACCAGAAGAGATTGAGGGCCAGTATTGAACATTGTTAAAGAAAAGAATTTCCAACCCACAATTTCATATCCAGCCAAACTAAGCTTCATAAGCAAAAAAGAAATAAAATTCTTTTCAGACAAACAAATGCCAAGGGAATTCATTACCATCAGACCTGCATTACAAGAACTCCTAAAAGAAGCACTAAATATGGAAAGGAAAGACAGTTACCAGCCACTACAAAAACAAGCTGAAGTACATAGACCAGTGACGCAATAAAGCAACCACATAAGCAAGTCTGCAAAGTAACCAGCTAACACCATGATGACAGGATCAAATCCATACATATCAATACTAACCTTAAATGTAAATGGGCTAAATGCCACATTTAAAAGACACAGAAGGGCAAGCTGGATAAAGAACCAAGACCTATCAGTATGCTGCCTACAATACACTCATCTTACATTCAATGACACACATAGGCACAAAATAAAGAGATGGAGGAAAATTTTCCAAGCAAATGGAAAGCGGAAGAAAGCCAGGGTTGCAATCCTAGTTTCTGACAACACAGACTTTAAACCAAGAAAGATAAAAAAAGATAAAGGTGGGCATTACATAATGGTAAAGGGTTCAATTCAATGAAGAGATCTAACTATCCTAAATATGTATGCATCCAATAGAGGAACACCCAGATTTATAAGGCAGGTTCTTAGAGACCGTCAAAGAGATTTAGAACCTCACACAGTAGAAGTGGTGGACTTTAATACCCCACTGACAATATTAGACAGATCATCAAGACAGAAAATTAACAAAGATATTCAGGACCTGAATTCAGCCCTGGAGCAAATGGACCTGATAGATATTTACAGAACTCCGGACCCCAGAACAACAGAATATACATTTTTCTCATTGCCACATGGCGCTTACTCTAAAATCAATCACACAATCAGAAGTAAAACACTCCTCAGCAAATGCAAAAGAACTGAAATCATAACAAATAGTCTCTCAGACTACAGTGCAATCAAATTCAAAATCAAGAATAAGAAATTCACTAAAACCATATAATTACTTAGAAATTAAATAACCTGTTCTTGAATGACTTTTAGTAAATAATGAAATTAAGGTAGAAATCAAGAAGTTCTTTGAAACTAATGAGAAAAAAGATACAATGAACCAGAACCTCTGGGAAACAGCTAAGGCAGTGTTAAGAGGGAAATTTATAGCAGTAAATGCCCACATCAAAAAGTTAGAAAGATCTCAAGTCAACAACCTAAAATCAAACCTAAAAGAACTTAAGAATGAAGAGCAAACATATCCCGAAGCTAGCAGAAGACAAGAAATAACAAAAAAAAATTAACAAAAGTATTGTCTCCTGAAGGAGACAGAGACACAAAAAACCATTTGAAGGATCAATAAATTCAGGAGGTTTTTTAAAAGAAATTAATAAAAATAGACCACTAGCTAAGCTAATAAAGAAGAAAAGAGAGAAAATTCCAATAAACACAATCAGAAACAATAAGAGGAACATTACCTCTGACCCCACAGAAATACAAGCAACCACCAGAAAATATTATGAACACTTCTATGCGCATAAACTAGAAAATCTAGAAGAAATGGATAAATTCCTGGACACATACACCGCCCCCAAGACTGAACCAGGAAGAAATGCAATCTCTGAAAAAATAATGAGTTCTGAACTTGAGGCAGTAATGAAGAGCCTACCAAAAAAAAAAAAAAAAAGTGCAGGACCAGATGATTGACAGGTGAATTCTACTGGATGTACAAAGAAGAGATGGTACCATTCCTATTGAAACTATTCCCAAAAAATGAGGAGGAGAGACTCCTCCCTAACTCATTCTATTAGGCCAGCATCATCCTGATACCAAAATGTGGCAGAGATACAACAACAACAAACAAGAGAAAACATCAGGCCAGTATTCTTGATGAACATTAATGCAAAAATCTCCAACAAAATGCTGGCAAACCGAATCCTGCAGCACATCAAAAACCTTATCCATCACAATCAAGTAGGCTTCATCGCCAGGATGCAAGGTTAGTTCAACATATGCAAATCAATAAATGTGATTCATCACGTAAACAGAACTAAAGACAAAAACTACATGATTGTCTCAGTTGATGAAGAAAAGGCTTTTCATAAAATTCAAACTCTATTCATGTTTTTAAAAAAACTCTCAATAAACTAGGTGTTCAAGGAATATACCTCAAAACAATAAAAGCCATCTATGACAAACCCACAGCCAACTTCATACTGAATGGGCAAAACTAGAAGCATTCTCCTTGAAATCAGCACAAGACAAGGATGCCTTCTCTCACTGCTCCTGTTCAACACAGTATTGGAAATTCTGACCAGGGCAATCAGGCAAGTGAAATTAAAAAAAAAAAAAAAAAAAGAAGGATGTTCAAATAGGAAGAGAGGAATTCAAATGATTCCTGTTTGCAGATGACATGATTCTATAACTAGAAAAACCCATAGCCTCAGTCCAAAAGCTTCTTAAGCTGATAAACAACTTCAGCAAATTCTCAAGATACAAAATCAACGTGCAAAAATTACTAGCATTTCTACACACCGACAACAGGCAAGCCAAGAGCCAAAGCAGGAATGAACTCCCACTCACAATTGCCACAAAAAGAATACAATACCTAGGAATAATGCTAATTTGGGAGGTAAAAGATGTCTGCAAAGAGAACTACTGGTCCCAAAAAGTGTGCATTAATGTTAGCAGTAGCTATGATAGGCTGGGTGGAATGCCCATAGGTGGTGTTTGCAGGTAGGTGACAGCTAAGGTGATAGCACCCAACCTCAGTTACCCAGGAGGAGTTCTCAGGTGTCCACAGTGGTGGATTGGGTTGAGCAATTCCCAGGACCCTGGGCTGTGTTCTCTGTCTCAGTGGAAAAAGGAAATGAAGCTGTCTTTTCATCATTAAATGCTGTGCCAACTAGTCCCTTAATTTTCTTTTTGCCTGAAGGACTGAAAAACATTTATTATAGTTTAGATCTGCTAGTTATAACTTTTTTCACTCCCTATATAACTAAAATCTATTTTTCGATAGCTATATTCATGGTATGTTAATTGGTTAATTAGTTTGATTTAATCATTACACATGGTATACATATATCAGTACATCACACAACATCTCATGAATGTATTATGATTTGTCAATTTAAATTATACATATATATGTTTTAGAAAGGTATTATTTTCTGGGAATAGAATCTAGTTTCACAGTATTTTCCTTTTAGGACTTTAAAGATGTTGCTCATCTGTCTTCTCATTTGCATTGTTTCCAGTGAAATAACGGCTGTCATCTTTATTATTATTCTCATGTCTTTTTTTTTACTTTCTGCTTATTCATTTTTCTCTCCTTCTGTTTTCAACAAATACATGTTTTTTTCACCCACAGTTATAGAATGAACTTGAGCAACAATCTGTAGGAATGGCTTTTTGACTGTTGGTTGAAAATTTTTAGAAACAGTTGTTTGTTCCTTGTTTTATTAGGACAAAGGCTAATTTCCTCAGAATATTCTTAAATTGAAGAATGTCATAATTAATTTTATTTGTCATCTTGGCTGAACCACAATGCCCAGATAGGTGATCAAGCATTATTCTGGATGATTTGTGAGAATGTTTCTTGGATAACATTAATGCAAAATAACTAGACTTTGAGTAAAGTAGATTGATCTCTATAATGTGGGTGGGCTTCATTCAATTCATTGAAGGTGTAAATTAAACAAAACATTGACCTTCTCTGAGCAAGATGGAACTCTGCAGCAGAAAGCGCTGGGATTTGAACTGCAATATCCGTCAACTGATCTCAAACAGCTGGTTGGTTTGTGTACAGCATTTGGAAGATGAATGGACAACATCCTGTTTGGAAGTCCACCGCTTTGATCGAAGAAGATAAAAACAGAACAACTCTTGTGGGCTGAATTGCAGGATGTTTCTCAGCAGTGGTGGAAGAATTGAACAATAATAAAGCTCCTATGTTTTAGTTTTTATTGACTTACAGGCAGTGACTAATGGCCTGGCCATATAATTAATCAGGAAAGCAAAGGAAAACTTGCCGATGAAAAGAGTGCCCAAATGAGACACAGTCCTATGGAAATCACGATGGTAATTTGAGAGGTTCATTAATGTAAGACACGTTGATGCCTGATATAGAGTGGATGTTGTTCTTGCCCGAATCTCATGTTGGATGGAATCCCCAGCATTAGAGGTGGGACCTGCAGGGAGATGATTGGATCACGGGGGCAGTTTCTCATGAATGGTTTAGCACCGTCCCCTCAGTGCCCATCAATGCCCATCAGAATAACTCCCTTCCAGGTTTGGAAGGTGATTGAAATAAACAAGCATTTATCTCCAAGTGTTTGCCAGGTGCACCTGTAATTCCAGCTATGAGAGCAGCTGAGGCAGAAGGATATCTTGAGTCCAGGAGTTAGAGTTTGGCCTGAGCAGCATTTGAGTTCAGCCAGAGAAAGATATCAAGACCACATCTAACAAAAATCCACGTTTGCTTGCGGTGATCACCTAGGTCCATGAAGTAAGTAGACACTGGGGCTGTAGCAATGCAGAGAGAGGTGGAATCAAGGCATATTCCTCTTGCATTCCCCACGTCACAGGCATAAAATACATATAAGTGTTTTCTTTAACAAAAAAAAAAGAGAGAGAGACAGAGATAGCATATGGCTATGTGGCAGATTCTCTTATGGGAAGATCTTGAAAATACAGAGCTGGCAAGTTACACTGATACCAGTAGACCCAGGAAGCAGCAAATGGGTCTTGGCAGCAATAGATATGCACCCTGGAGCTGGGCATTGCTCAGCTGGTGGTAGATGTGCTACCAAACTGAACTGGAGTCCACTCACCTGGGGCAGTAAAAACAAACATCCATACTGAGATTTTGTAGTGAGAGAAAGGAGGGCATTTATTTGTAGGGTGCCAAGCAAGGAGAATCAGCTAGCTTACAGTTAAGACCCAACCTTCTCAATGGCTCACAAGCAAGGTTTCTTAAAGATAGGGGTAAATTTCAGGAAAGCAGAGTTACAGGCAACATCATAAATCAATGCATAGAAGTTACACACTGGTTTGGCCTTAAAAGGAGGAATATCCTGATGAGGGAGCTTACAAGTCGTAGATAGAGATAAAAGATTCTCTGATTTGCGATTCATAAGGAAGCAAAGCTTCCTTACACAGTTGGGGGCAGTAGAGAGGAATGTTCAGGCCTGGCCTGTGGGCTTTACTCTCTCCAGGCCCCTCAGGAAGAAATTTAGAACAAAGAACAGTGGTCAGAGTTCAGTCCTCAGTTTCCCCTTATCTGAGGTCAGTGGATCTATTAGGTGGGAATCCGAGTTTCTGAAAAACAACTCAGGGACATATGTTAAGATGTTCTCTTTAGTTTCCATAGAGAATCCAACATCTTGTGACTCTAACTTCCTTGGCTATCGTTTTAAGCTATCATTACCTTCTTGTTTATAAGGTCACTCACTTAATTTTTAGGGCTGGCTAGGTGCCTGGAATTTCTTTTGAAGGAACTGAAGGTTTTTCTTTATTTCCATGTTGGGAGGCCCTGGCAGGCTTCTAAGAGAGGTCCCTGCTTTATCTCAGATGCAAATGCTTGGAGTGCTACTAAGAGTTTGAATGGGAGGTACTGCAACCATGTGGACCACTGAGTCACATTTCTTTACACCAGAAAATGCGCTTGCTCAAAATGTCAGAAAGACATCCTTCTCAGAGGAAGAGTTCCATAGAGAATTAAAATATTCCATTGAAACATTGGTTGTATAAAGCAAGAGTGGGGAAACAAGCATGAAGGGTGGGCTTACACACCTTCATGAGTGTGCTTACACTTGATATGAAAGTATCCTCTCTTTTCCTTGTGGATCAGGGGAAGGTGCTGGTGTGATCTATATACAATCCTTCCCAAGGTGGGAGGACACTGGAATGATGACTGTACTTTACCTCAACTTGCTTTTCTCATACCTGATGCAGTAGTCTCAGGACTAGGGATGCAAATAAAAGTCCAGAAACAGGAATTATTCCTAAGCAAGAAACTGTAAATATATTTTGTGTCCATTATGTAATGATTCCTAAGGGTCTAGAGAAGTAGGTTGTGCCTTCAGTGCATCTGGCAAAGTTGGGGTTAACACTGAATGCAGCTGTATTGCCTGGGGTCAGCTAGCCAACCAGTTCTCTACTGCATAACCCTACCCTCTATGAACTGGAATGGATGATGCAAGACAATTGCTAGAACAGTATTGGTCCGTGCAGTCTAGGTCAGCACAGCAGCAGAACCTCATGTCCCTTCCATAACTAGAAATGTTTGGTATAAATGAAGAGAAGGAGAAATAGTAGCTGAGGGTAAATGAATGAATAAATGGGTTATGCAATGAGGAAAATCCAATGTTACATGAACTACTCAAAAGAGATATAAGCAAGAGATGATATTGTCTCTTAACTCAATTTTACCAAATGCCTGAACGGGTGCAGCCTTATGTTGCTGAGACTACTTCTGTTTTTGGGCTGCACCGGGATAATTTTTTTTTATTATACTTTAAGTTCTAGGGTACATGTGCACAACATGCAGGTTTGTTACCTATGTGTACATGTGCCATGTTGGTGTGCTGCACCCATTAACTCGTCATTTGCATTAGGTATTTCTCCTAATGCTATCCCTCCCCCCTGTCCCCACCCCATGACAGGCCCTGGTGTGTAATATTCCCCACCCTGAGTTCAAGTGTTCTGATTGTTCAATTCCCACCTATGGGTGAGAACATGCGGTGTTTGGTTTTCTGTCCTTGTGATAGTTTGCTCAGAATGATGGTTTCCAGCTTCATCCACATCCCTGCAAAGGACATGAACTCGTCCTTTTTTATGGCTGCATAGTATTCCATGGTGTATTTGTGACACATTTTCTTTTTTTCTTTTTTCTTTTTGAGATGGAGTCTCGCTCTGTCGCCCAGGCTGGAGTGCAGTGGTGCGATCTCGCTCACTGCAAGCTCTGCCTCCTGGGTTCATGCCATTCTCCTGCCTCAGCCTCCCAAGTAGCTGGGACTATAGGCACCCGCCACCATGACCAGCTAATTTTTTTGTATTTTTAGTACAGATGGGTTTTCACTGTATTAGGCAGGATGGTCTTGATCTCCTGACCTCGTGATCCACCCACCTCAGCCTCCCAAAGTGCTGGGATTACAGGTATGAGCCACTGCACCCGGCTTATGTGCCACATTTTCTTAATCCAGTCTATCACTGATGGACATTTGGGTTGGTTCCAAGTATTTTCTATTGTGAATAGTGCAATAAACATACATGTGCATTTATAGTAGCATGATTTATAATCCTTTGGGTATATACCCAGTAATGGGATGGCTGGGTCAAATGGTATTTCTAGTTCTAGATCCTTGAGGAATTGCCACACTGTCTTCCACAATGGTTGAACTAGCTTACACTCCCACCAACAGTGTAAAAGTGTTCCTATTTCTCCACATGCTCTCCAGCACCTGTGGTTTCCTGACTTTTTAATGATTGCCATTCTAACTGGTGTGAGATAGTATCTCCTTTTGGTTTTGATTTGCATTTCTTTGATGACCAGTGATGATGAGCATTTTTTCATGTGTCTGTTGGCTGCATAGATGTCTTCTTTTGAGAAGTGTCTGTTCATATCCTTTGCCCACTTTTTGATGGGGTTGTTTGATTTTTTCTTGTAAATTTGTTTAAGTTCTTTGTAGATTCTGGATATTAGTCCTTTGTCAGATGGGTAGATTACAAAAATTTTCTCCCATTCTGTAGGTTGCCTGTTCACTCTGATGGTAGTTTCTTTTGCTGTGCAGAAGCTCTTTAGTTTAATTAAATCCCATTTGTCAATTTTGGCTTTTGTTGCTATTGCTTTTGGTGTTTCAGTCATGAAGTCCTTGCCCATGTCTATGTCCTGAATGGTATTGCCTAGGTTTTCTTCTAGGGTTTTTATGATTTTAGGTCGAACATTTAAGTCTTTAATCCATCTTGAATTAATTTTTGTATAAGGTCTAAGGAAGGGATCCAGTTTCAGCTTTCTACTATGGCTAGCCAGTTTTCCCAGCACCATTTATTAAATAGGGAATCCTTTCCCCATTTCTTGTTTTTGTCAGGTTTGTCAAAGATCAGATAGTTGTAGATGTGTGATATTATTTCTGAGGGCTCTGTTCTGTTCCATTGGTCTATATCTCTGTTTTGGTTCCAGTACCATGCTGTTTTTGTTACTGTAGCCTTGTAATATAGTTTGAAGTCAGGTAGCGTGATGCCTCCAGCTTTGTTCTTTTGGCTTAGGATTGTCTTGGCAATGCAGGCTCTTTTTTGGTTCCATATGAACTTTAAAGTAGTTTTTTCCAATTCTGTGAAGAAAGTCATTGGTAGCTTGATGGGGATGGCATTAAATCTATAAATTACCTTGGGCAGTATGGCCATTTTCACGACATTGATTCTTCCTATTCATGAGCATGGAATGTTCTTCCATTTGTTTATGTCCTCTTTTATTTCGTTGAGTAGTGGTTTGTAGTTCTCCTTGAAGAGGTCCTTCACATCCCTTGTAAGTTGGATTCCTAGGTATTTTATTCTCTTTGAAGCAATTGTGAATGGGAGTTCACTCATGATTTGGCTCTCTGTTTGTCTGTTATTGGTGTATAGGAATACTTGTGATTTTTGCACATGGATTTTGTATCCTGAGACTTTGCTGAAGTTGCTTATCAGCTTAAGGAGATTTTGGGCTGAGATGATGGGGTTTTCTAAACATCCAATCATGTCATCTGCAAACAGGGACAATTTGACTTCCTCTTTTCCTAATTGAATACCCTTTATTTCTTTCTCTTGTCTGATTGCCCTGGCCAGAATTTCCAACACTATGTTGAGTAGGAGTGGTGAGAGAGGGCATCCCTGTCTTGTGCCAGTTTTCAAAGGGAATGCTTCCAGTTTTTGCCCATTCAGTATGATATTGGCTGTGGGTTTGTCATAAATAGCTCTTATTATTTTGAGATACGTCCCATCAATACCTAGTTTATTGAGAGTTTTTGGCATGAAGGGCTGTGGAATTTTGTTGAAGGTCTTTTTGGCATCTATTGAAATAATCATGTGGTTTTTGTCTTTGGTTCTGTTTATATGCTGGATTATGTTTATTGATTTGTGTATGTTGAACCAGCCTTGCATCCCAGGGATGAAGCCCACTTGATCATGGTGGATAAGCTTTTTGATGTGCTGCTGGATTCGGTTTGCCAGTGTTTTATTGAGGATTTTTGCATCCATGTTCATCAGGGATATTGGTCTAAAATTCTCTTTTTTTTTGTTGTGTCTCTGCCAGGCTTTGGTATCAGGATGATGCCAACCTCATAAAATAAGTTAGGGAGGATTCCCTCTTTTTCTATTGATTGGAATAATTTCAGAAGGAATGGTACCAGCTCCTCTTTGAACCTCTGTTAGAATTTGGCTGTGAATCCATCTGGTCCTGGACTTTTTTTGGTTGGTAGGCTATTAATTATTGCCTCAATTTCAGAGCCTATTATTGATCTATTCAGGGATTCAACTTCTTCCTGGTTTAGTCTTGGGAGGGTGTATGTGTCCAGGAATTTATCCATTTCTTCTAGATTTTCTAGATTATTTGCATAGAGATGTTTATAGTATTCTCTGATGGTAGTTTGTATTTCTGTGGGATTGGTGGTGATATCCCCTTTATCATTTTTTATTGTGTCTATTTGATTCTTCTCTCTTTTCTTCTTTATTAGTCTTGCTAATGGTCTATCAATTTTGTTGATCTTTACAAAAAAAACAGCTGCTGGATTCATTGATTTTTTGAAGGGTTTTTTGTGTCTCTATCTTCTTCAGTTCTGCTCTAATCTTAGTTATTTCTTGTCTCCTGCTAGCTTTTGAATGTGTTTGCTCTTGCTTCTCCAGTTCTTTTAATTGTGATGTTAGGCTGTCGATTTTAGATCTTTCCTGCTTTTTCTTGCAGGCATTTAGTGCTACAAATTTCCCTCTACACACTGCTTTAAATGTGTCCCAGAGATTCTGGTATGTTGTGTCTTTGTTCTCATTGGTTTCAAAGAACATCTTTATTTCTACCTTCATTTCGTTATGTACCCAGTAGTCATTCAGGAGCAGGTTGTTCAGTTTCCATGTAGTTGAGTGGTTTTGAGTGAGTTTCTTAATCCTGAGTTCTAATTTGATTGCACTGTGGTCTGAGAGACAGTTTGTTATAATTTCTATTCTTTTACATTTGCTGAGGAGTGCTTTACTTCCAACTATGTGGTCAATTTTGGAATAAGTGCGATATGGTGCTGAGAAGAAGGTATTTTCTGTTGATTTGGGGTGGAGAGTTCTGTCGATGTCTATTAAGTCTGCCTGGTGCAGAGCTGAGTTCAAGTCCTGGATATCCTTGTTAACTTTCTGTCTCGTTGATCTGTCTAATGTTGACAGTGGGGTGTTAAAGTCTCCCATTATTATTGTGTGGGAGTCTAAGTCTTTTTGTAGTTCTCTAAGGACTTGCTTTATGAATCTGGGTGCTCCTGTATTGGGTGCATATATATTTAGGATAGTTAGCTCTTCTTGTTGAATTGATTCCTTTACCATTACGTAATGGCCTTCTTTGTCTCTTTTGATCTTTGTTGGTTTAAAGTCTGTTTTATCAGAGACTAGGATTGCAACCCCTGCTTTTTTTGTTTTCCATTTGCCTGGTAGATCTTCCTCCATTCCTTTATTTTGAGCCTATGTGTGTCTCTGCACGTGAGATGGGTTTCCTGAATACAGCACACTGATGGGTCTTGACTCTTTATCCAATTTGCCAGTCTGTGTCTTCTAATTGGGGCATTTAGCCCATTTACATTTAAGGTTAATATTGTTATGTGTGAATTTGACCCTATCGTTATGATGTTAGCTGGTTATTTTGCCCGTTAGTTGCAGTTTCTTCCTAGCATCGATAGTCTTTACAATTTGGCATATTTTTGCAGTGGCTGGTACTGGTTGTTCCTTTCCATGTTAGTGCTTCCTTCAGGAGCTCTTGTAAGGCAGGCCTGGTGGTGACAAAACCTCTCAGCATTTGCTTGTCTGTAAAGGCTCTTATTTCTCCTTCACTTATGAAGCTTAGTTTGGCTGGTTATGAAATTCTGGGTTGAAAATTCTTTTCTTTAAGAATGTTGAATATTGGCCCCCACTCGCTTCTGGCTTGTAGAGTTTCTGCCAAGAGATCCACTGTTAGTCTGATGGGCTTCCCTTTGTGGGTAACCTGATCTTTCTCTCTGGCTGCCCTTAACATTTTTTCCCTCATTTCAACCTTATTGAATCTGACAATTATGTGTCTTTGGGTTGCTCTTCTTGAGGAGTATCTTTGTGGCGTTCTCTGTATTTCACGAATTTGAATGTTGGCCTGCCTTGCTAGGTTGGGGAAGTTCTCCTGGATAATATCCTGAAAAGTGTTTTCCAACTTGGTTCCATTCTCTCTGTCATTTTCAGGTACACCAATCAAATGTAGATTTGGTCTTTTCACATAGTCCCATATTTCTTGGAGGCTTTGTTCATTTCTTTTTACTCTTTTTTCTCTCAACTTCTCTGCTTGCTTCATTTCATTCATTTGATCTTCAATCACCGATACCCTTTCTTCCACTTGATCGAATTGGTTACTGAAGCTTGTGCATGCGTCATGTAGTTCTCATGCCATGGTTTTCAGCTCCATCAGGTCATTTAAGTTCTTCTCTATGCTGTTTATTTTAGCTAACTATTCATCTAATCTTTTTTCAAGGTTTTTAGCTTCCTTGCGATGGGTTCGAACATCCTCCTTTAGCTCAGAGAAGTTTGTTATTACCAATCTTCTGAAGTCTACTTCTGTCAACTTGTCAAAGTCATTCTCCATCCAGCTTTGTTCCCTTGCTAGGGAGGAGTTGCGATCCTTTGGAGGAGAACAGGTGCTCTGATTTTTAGAATTTTTAGCTTTTCTGCTCTGGTTTCTCCCCATCTTTGTGGTTTTATCTACCTTTGGTCTTTGATGATGGTGACCTACAGATGGGGTTTTGGTGTAGATGTCCCTTTTGTTGATGTTATTCCTTCTGTTTGTTAGTTTTCATTCTAACAGTTGGGACCCTCAGCTGCAGGTCTATTGGAGTTTGCTGGAGGTCCACTCCAGACCCTGTTTGCCTGGGTAACACTAGCAGAGGCTTCAGAACAGCAAATATTGCAGAACAGCAAATGTTGCTGCCTGATCCTTCCTCTGGAAGTTTCGTCTCAGAGGGGCACCCAGCCGTATGAGGTGTCATTCGGTCCCTACTGGGAGGTGTCTCCCAGTTAGGCTACTCAGAGGTCAGCGACCCACTTGAGGAGGCACTCTGTCCGTTCTCAGATCTCAAACTCCATGCTGGCAGAACCACTGCTCTCTTCAAAGCTGTCAGACTGGGACATTTAAGTCTGCAGAAGTTTCTGCTGCCTTTTGTTCAGCTATGCCCTGCCCCCAGAGGTGGAGTCTACAGAGGCAGGCAGGCCTTGTTGAGCTGCAGTGGGCTCCACCTAGTTTGAGCTTCCTGCCACTTTGTTTACCTAGTCAAGCCTCAGCAATGGCAGACGCCCCTCCCCCAGCCTCACTGTCACCTCCCAGTTCAATTTTGGACTGCTGTGCTAGCAGTAAGCAATGCTCCATGGGTGTGAGACCCACTGAGCCAGGCATGGGATATAATCTCCTGGTGTGCCATTCACTACAACTGTTGGAAAAGCACAGTATTAGGGTGGGAGTGTCCCGATTTTCCAGGTACCATCTCTCATGGCTTCCCTTGGCTAGGAAAGGGAATTCTCCGAGCCCTTGTGCTTCCCTGGTGAGGCAATGCCTTGCCCTGCTTCAGCTCACATTCTGTGGGCAGCTCCCACTGTGTGACAAGTCCCAATGAGATGAACCCAGTACCTCAGTTGGAAATGCAGAAATCACCCATCTTCTGCACCGCTCACGCTGGGAGCTGTAGACTGGAGCTGTTCCTATTTGGCTATCTTGGAACGATCTCCCCTGGGATAATTTTTCATGACCAAAAAGGATTCTGGTAATGTGCCAGGATCTTCTCACTGTTATGATTCTTCTGGTATAGGAGATCTGTGATTGGCCAGGCACAGTGGCTCAGACTTGTAATTCCATCAGTTTCGGAGGCCATGGTAAGAGGATTGTTTAAGGCCAGGAGTTTGAGACCAACCGGGGCAAAATAGTGAGACCCCATTCCTACAAAATCTTTAAAAAATTAGTTGGGCATGCTGGTGTGTACCTGTAATGCTATTGCTCAGGAGGCTGAGGCAGGAGGATCACTTGAGCTCAGGAATTCAAGGTTACAATGAGCTATGATTGTGCCACTGCATTCTACCCTGGGCAACAGAGCAAGACCTTGTCTCTGAAATAAATAAATATTATAAAAAGAGATAATGTGGTCAAAGACCAGGGTGTGATCTGTGGCCCAATCAAAATATCTGGTCTTTTTCCCTGTTTCCTGACAAGCAGGTTCCAAAACATTTGCAATCTCCTCAGTGATAAGTATGACTTTAATATGCCAATGAGATGACTATGGGGTGAGAGGCTCCTAAATAGCTTCAGGATGGGGGCTGGTTGCCAGAAACACGAAGCTGTGATTAGAGGATTGGAAATTTCAGCACTATCCCTTAACTCTGAGAAGCAAAGGGGGCTGGAAGTTGAGTTCAGTCACCAGTGGCCATTGATTTAATTAATCTTGCCTACACAATGAAACTTCCATAGAAACCTCTAGAGATTGGGTTTTGGAGAGCTTCCCAATTGCTGAGCACATCCATGTGTCCATGTGCTGGGAGGATGGTGAACCTCATCTCCATGGGGACAGAGGCTCCTGTGCTCAGAGCCCTCCCAGACCACACCCTGTGCACCTCTTCATCTGGTTGCTCATTTGTACCCTTTATAACTGCTATGGTTTGAATGTTTCCCTAGAAAAGCATCTCTTGGATAATTTATCCTGAATGCAACATTTTTAAGAGGCGGGACCTTTGGGAGGTGATTGGACCATCAGAGCTCTGCCTCCATTAATGAATTAAGTCTGATCATAAAAGGACCTGAGGCTGTGAGTTTGACCTCTTATTCCCCCTACCTCTCACCCTCTCTTGCCCTTTTGCTTTCTACCAGGTACAGTCCTTGGTCTTGGAATTCCCATCCTCAACAACCATGAACCAAATAAATTTCTGTTCGTTTTAAGTTATCCAGTCTCAGGTGTTCTACTATAGTGGCATAATTTAAACCAAGAGTCCGTAACCCCCGGCTGTGGACTGGTACAGGTTCCTGGCTTGGCAGGAACCAGACCACACAGCAGGAGGTCACTGGTGGGTGAGAGAGCATGAGCATGACCACCTGAGCTCTGCCTCCTGTCAGATCAGTGGCGGAATTAGATTCTCATAAGAGCATGAACCCTATTGTGAACTCTGCATGTGAGGGATCTAGGTTGCATGCTCCATATGAAACAGTAATGCCTGATCATCTGAGGTGGAACAGTTTCATCCTCAATCCATTCCCCTCTATTCCCTGCCACCTCTGCTGGTCCATGGAAAAACTGTCTTCCATGAAATTGGTCCCTGGTGCCAAAAAGTTGGGACCACTGATTTAAGCTATAACAATAATAAACTACAATACTGAGTGTGAAAGAAAAATAAAATTTAGGGACGCCAAATTCACTATACCAAAGGGACAAGTTAAGTTTGGTAACTGAGTGATGGAAAAACCACCTTTCTTTTGTTCCTAAACAAATAACTGCAAAGATAGAGGAACATATATCTCCCCAGGTGGCCTCCCTCACAAATTGCTCACAAGATAATTCCTTGTGGGCCCCAACATCTTTACTCTAAAACAGAGTTTTGTTGAATTTCACCCTAACAATGTAAATTAACAGCTTATCTTCACAGGTGAAGGACAAAGACAAGACCAGAAATCATCCCTCCACTCACCTGGAGACAAATGTGTATTTGACTTCTCTACCCAACATTTACTTTGTCTTATGTAAAATGCAGATTTACTGAGCACTCGATGAAAGCATAGTTGACTGTTCCTTTTTCCTCTCCTGCCTGCTCTTTCTCCTGTAAATATTAAAGTCCTCAAAACCCTGTTAGTAAAAAGCATGGGCCACAGATGCTACAATAATTTGTGTCTCTGTTTCCAAGGTACATCTTCAGCTTGGCAAAATAAACTTCTAAATTGATTGATACCTGTCTCAGATGTTTTTTGGTTTACATGGTTATAGCAACTTCCTGAGTTCTATGAGTTAGTTTAAGAATTCCCAAACCTTGGGAGGTGAGAAACCCCTGACTTTGCAGCCATGATAGACAGAAGTGCAGGTAACCTGGAACCCGATAACTTGTGACTTGCATCTGAAGTGAGGACAGACTTGTGGGACTGAGTCCTTAAACCTGTGGAGTCTGAGGCTAACTCCAGGTAGTTAGTGTCAGAATTGAGTCAAATTCTAGGACTCCCAATTGCTGTTGGAGAATCAGAAAATTATTTGGCTGGAGGAAAACCCCATCACCATCCCACAGAGAGAAACTTACAGTATATTGGGGGAACCCACCCCCAATATTTCAACATAGGTTCTTTCTATTTTCCATAAGTGTCGGCCAGCTGAGAAATAAAGAAAGACAGTACAAAGAGAGGAATTTTACAGCTGGGCCACCAGGGGTGACATCACATATCGGTAGGACCGTGATGTCTGCCTGAGTCTCAGACCAACAAGTTTTTATTAAGGGTTTCAAAAGGGGAGGGGGTGTAAGAACAAGGAGTAGGTAAAAAGTCACATGCTTCTGAGTGCAAAAAGCAGAACTACTAATAAGAGTCTAACAAAGATCACATGCTTCTGAGGGAACAAGACAAAGGGCAAAAGCAGAACCACTGATAAGGGTCTATGTTTAGCAGTGCACGTATTGTCTTGATAAACATCTTAAACAACAGAAAACAGGGTTTGAGAGCAGAGAAGTGGTCAGACCACAAGTTTACCAGGGCAGAGTTTTTCCCCACCCTAGTAAGCCTGAGGGTTCTGCAGGAGACCAGGGCATATCTCAGTCCTTATCTCAACTGCATAAGACAGACATTCCCAGAGCGGCCGTTTATAGACCTCCCCCCAGGAATGAATTCCTTCTCCAGTGTATTAATATTAATATTCCTTGCTAGGAAAAGAATTTAGTGATATCTTTCCTACTTGCACGTCTGTTTATAGGCTCTGCGCAAGAAGAAAAATATGGCTGTTTTTGCCCAACCTCGCAGGCAGTCAGACCTTATGGTTGTCTTCCCTTGTTCCATAAAAATTGCTGTTATTCTATTCTTTTTCAAGGTGCACTGATTTCATATTGTTCAAACACACGTTTTACAATCAAATTGTAACACAATTATCACAGTGGTCCTAAGGTGACGTACATCCTCAGCTTATGAAGATAACAGGATTAAGAGATTAAAGTAAAGACAGGCATAAGAAATTATAAAAGTATTATTTGGGAACTGTTAAATGTCCATATTAAAATGAAATCTTCACAATTTATGTTCCTCTGCCACAGCTCCAGCCAGTCCCTCATTCGGGGTCCTTGACTTCCTGCAACAACAGTAAGAGTAAGCAAGTAAACCTCTACCTTCTTCGGTCCCAGAGGAAAAGATAAAAAAAAATTAAGCATTTATTTCATGTCCCTAAGTCTGCTAAACACAGGTTTCTACCAGCTGTTCATTGTCCAGACATGGAGTGGCCCTACCTCTAATCTAGAAGTTAGGATTTTTTAGGCCTTTGAGGGGGTCACATAAAAACTAATAAGTGTCAGAGATTCTCTCCCCAGAAATATTTCCACACACAAGAAAATATAAATATTAATATAAAACATCAGTGTGCAACCAGATCCTCTGAGATCTTATAAACCTGGGTGTTTTAATCCCAGTAAGAGACAATGCCAAGGGAAGATGTGTGAATAATCATTTCACCATCACACCATGCCACTCCAATAATCTGGAGTATGAACTGGGATAGACAAAAACTTGATGTAATAACTTATTTTCAAGGGAATGGGTGGAAAGATGTTATTTATTAGTCACCAGTTCATTCAGACACTCTGAATCCCTACCAGATACTAGATAAATTTCTTGTCTTGGAGCACTGCTCCAATAATTAAAATTTATCATTCTTTTCCCATCCTTCACACTCCAGCACTTGAACCCTCTTACTACATCAGAATTCCACACTGTCAATGAAAAGAGGCAAACTTCATAAAATATTTGAAGAGATTTATTCTGAGCCAAATACGAGTGACCACAGCCCATGACACGTCCCTCAGGAGACCCTGAGAGCATGTGCTCAATGTGGTTGGGGTATGGGTTGGTTTTATACATTTTAGGAAGATATGAGACACTAATAATATATATTTAAGATATACATTGGTTCAGTCCAGAAAAGCAGAACAATTTGAAGCAAGCAAGGGTTGGGGGTTACTGCTTCTAGGTTATAGGTAGATTTTAAAATGTTCTGATTGGCAATTGGTTGAGTTATTATCAATAAAAAGCAATGTCTGGGTTATGATAAGAGGTTGTGGAGTCCAAAATTTTATCATGCAGTTGAAGCCTCCAGGTGCCAGGCTTCAGAGAGAATAGATTATAATGTTTCTGATCAGACTTAAGGTCTGTGTTGATGTTAATTGCTGGTCAGCTTTTCCTGAATTTCAAAAGGGAAGAGGCCATAATGAGGCATGTTCAACACCTGCTTCCCATGGTGGCCTGAGCCAGTCTTTCAAGTTAATTTTTGAGCGCCCTGGCTGAGGAGGGTGTCCATTAAGATGGTTGGGAGAGGGTGGGTTTGAAGTTTATTTTCGGTTTACAACATGTAAAGTGTTAAGAGGAGATAGAAACCACCCCCATCCCTAGAAGAGCACAACACTCCAGTCACCCCTGCAGTTGATAATGGACATGAGTCTTAAACTCCATCAGTCAGATGACCACCTGCTGAAGCAGCATTGTTGTCTCAGGTAAATACTCAGGGTTCATTGTATCTCACCAAGAAGATTAAGGACAGTGACACACAAGGAGTGAGTTTATTGGCCGGTGCTATGTTGTCTGCTCTTTACTGAACACATGGCTGGCAAAAAGAAGGGAAGATGGAGCCATCATTGTGAACACGCCTAGTCCCAGATGTCCTTTTCCTATTGGCACAGCTGCCAGCATTCACTCGTGCAAGCTTCCAGCTTGCTTGTCTATGTCTGAAGCTTGATTTTACAGGCTGGTCTTTGTCAGAAAAGAAAACGATTTGGGGCCTGCTTTCCATTAAAAAGAAAACCTTACTGAGACTTCTGTACCCTCACTACCTGCCTAAATAATTTCTTCTTAAATCCTATATCACTGCCAGACTCTGAGCTAGAATGAGGTGACACAGAAAGGCTGGGATTGTGCAGAATGCATTTTAGTAAACATGGCTGAGTGTCAGTAGTGATGTCCAGTTGCCAGGGGCAGCAGTGACATCTATCCTAGCCTTGGGGTCCAGTGTCCAGCACCAGGATGTCAGAGGTATGAGCAGTGGTGTCTGTGCTCAGCAGCAGGGGCAGTTGTTCCTAGGAGGGACCTGATCCAGGGGCGTGGGCTATGGATTCTTTTCTGGGATGTGTAGTTTTCAGCCTGGTTCTGTGGCCTTCCCCACAATAAAATTAACCCCCAATACCAGGTATACTACTTTATGTATAAATTACAGAAATTTGTTTTCCATAGTTTTCTCCAAGAGGTGAGTGAGAAATGAATCTATGGACCAGGGTCAGAGAGCAGCATTCGGAGGTGTTCCTTGTGTGACAGCCACATCCTGAATTGTCTACCTGGCCTCTACCTCATGGTGGAGAGATCAACAGGGATTATCACATCTCTTAACTGATGATATACATCCTCCCTTTCCTTTCTGCAAGAAAAATCCTCTTTTAAACAGGGTTTGAAAACCCACCCACCCACCCTGGGCACTCTCTGATCTCTGAGGTTCCTGATCTGGCTGAGCAACAAGATTTCTGGTGGAGGCTTAGAAAATACTCAGGCCACTCCTCAGAACCCCTGTCTCACAATATTATGCACAAGACCAAGGAATCATTTACATAACAAGCCCTACAGGCGAGGCCGATGCAGACGTGGGGTCCTGGTGTTCTGGCTACTCCAAGTGTGATCTGGAGACCAGCAATGTGAGCTCCAGCCTTGTCATAAATCCAGAATCCCTTGCTCGACTCCAGACTTCCTGGATCTCAGCACCACATCCAGGTGATCCTGGTGCACACGGGAGTTCCTTGTCTAAGCGTCCTCTAGACGTGGGGCCAGAACTGTGCAGTCTGCTCTGTGGTCTGATCAGATCCCTTAGAACTGGAGGTCCAGGGTTCAGTCCTTGCGCTGATTCTTTTCCACAGTCAATCACTCCCTTGGTGCTTCATCCATGCTTGAGGTTTTAAGTATTGTTTATGTGGTGTGAGCTCCTAAATCTATTTCTCCAGCCCAGTCCTTTCCCCTGAACTGTGGAGTTGTCTGCCCAGCTGCCACCCCAGCTCCCCCACCTGCATTCCTAGTAGACATCTCCTCCACTGAGTGCCTGTGATGCCCCCTCCTCAGGATGCTCCTGCCAGAGTCTCCCCATCTCCACTGACAGCAGCTCCACCCTTCCTTCTACTCACTCATTTTACAACTATGGGTGTCCTTGATTCGTCTTTCTCACACCACAGATACAATCCATTGGCAAATGCTGTGAGTCCATCTTCAAATGCATCCAGAATCCCCTCACGTCCCACTATTTCCTGTGCTCACACCCCAGACATCTCCAGCCTGGAATACTGCACTCGATTCCTACTGTTTTCCCTTCTGCCTCCCTCATCCCTCACCTCTCAATTCTGTTCTCAGCACAGCCATCAGAGATCCTTTTAAGAAAGAAGTCATATCATGGCTCTCTTCTGCTCCAAACTGTCCTCTAACTCCCCCATCCCACTCAGAGCAGAGGTCAGACGCAACCCCACTCCCCTCAAGCCCACCTGCTCTGGCCATACCTCTGACCTCATCTAGTTTCTCTGTCCAGCCCTCCTGGCCTCCTTGCTCTTCTGGGAACACAGACACCTTCCTGCCCTAGTGCATTTGGACTGGAGTTTCCTTGCCTAGAAAGAACTTCCCCAGACATCCTCATGTCCCTCAAATCTTTCCTCAAAGGTCATCTTTGCAACAAGCCACACATTGACAACTCCTGTCCAACAGCCACCTTCCCTGTCCCCACTGCCCATACCCGGATCACCTGCCTCATGGCACTTACCACCTTCCATCACTTTCTTTTCTTACTGTGGTTATAGTGTATGTATCGTCTGCCTCTTACCACTGAAGCATATGCTCAGATATTTTTCCGATTTTACTTCAATGGTGTTCCCCAGATGCAGAACTTTTCTGTCCTGTGTCTGGCTGACAACAAAGGTCAGTTGAATGATCAGTGTAGAGCACCTCCTATTCTAAAGCCAGTATCTTTATTAACATAGCCTCAGGCCAAGTGCTGTTTTGTGGCAGCTGCAGCACAAGGTCCCCTCACACTGACACCGAGGCCGCCTGTACTTTTCTCAGCAGGGCTGCTTGTGTGTCCTCCCTCCCCTATCCCTCCTCCCACACCAACCGCCCCGCACACTGCAGCACACAATCAGGTTTCTCTCTTCAGGAAGGAACAATTCTAGACTATGGACCCAATTTTACAAACAAATATAAATCTAAATTAGGCTCTGCTTTAGATTCATGAGTTGGGATTGGAGTCAGCACGAAGATTACTGGAATCAGGGAAGGGAGAGAGGGCAGGAGACCAAAGCAGAAGAGGAGCCCTAGAAGGAGGGCAGGAGCTGAATGGGTCTGAAAATTTGTCTCAGAAAGCACAGGGACTCCCGTGTGCAGGGGCTGCCCTGGGCGATGTGTGAGCCTCTGTGGTCACAGCTCCCGCTGGACAAGTTTCCACTGAAGGGACAAGGACAATGGAGCAGTGAAGGTGACCCAGCTGAGGACTGACCACATAAAGCCCATGAAGAACTGAACAGCAACTAGGCACAGGCCCCGTCCACACTCGTCTCCTCACAGCCTTCCCCACCCCCACCTGCAACAGACTCAGCACAGCGAACATGCGGATTCTGGAAGGTTCTCAGGTCTTTATTTGCTCTCTCAACTTCCAGGAATTGACTTATTTAATTAATCCATCAACCTCTCATAGCAAATATTTGAGAAAACAAATTTATATTCAGATTCTTATTTTCAGTAGGGAAGTAAGAAGTTGCAGCTCAGTACACGTAAAGTTGAGACAGAGATGGAGACATCCAGCCCACTTCTCTGGAACAGGAAAGATGATCGGGGAGGGAACACAGGTCAGTGTGGGGACAGGGGTCACGGTGGACACGGGGGTGGGCTGTCTCTCCACCTCCTCACATTATGCTAACAGGAACGCAGACACATTCAGATGCCTTTGCAGAAAGAGATGCCAGAGGCTCTTGAAGTCACAAAGGAAAGGTGTGAAGAAATCCTGCATCTCAGTCCCACACAGGCAGCTGTCTCAGGCTACAGAACACAATAGTCATGAACAAATTCAGGTCAGTCATGGTAAGTGATGACACTCTGAACAGCTCACCACACATTCGAAACGTCCCAATCAAAGGATCCCCATTACCTAGGCCTTTTCCCTCTGCCCCACCCCCGACCACTTCAGCTCCCCAGAATCTCACCTTTACAAGCGATGAGAGACTCATCAGAGCCCTGGGCACTGTTGCTGGCTGGGGTAGAACAAAAAAAAAGACCTGGTCAGAGCCCGCAGGAGATGTGGGACAAGAGGAATTATGGGGTGGGTGAGCTCCTCCACACGCCCACCGCCATCACTTACACGCAGCCTGAGAGCAGCTCCCTCCTTTTCCACCTGTGGGAAGAAAATGCCCTGTGAGGGGACAGGGAGGAGGCAGGGCCATGCGATCTTAGGGGAACCTCCTAGTCTTGGACCCAAGAGAAGTTTCCAGAACTATGACTGCAGACCCAGGGCAGGATCAGGAAACACGGGGAAAGCAGCTGTGGGTTCTGGAGCAACTGCCCTCCTAAGGTCTGTCCTTAGCAGGGACCTTCCCCTGACTCATGAATGCTGGAATCAAGGACCCCAACACCATAATCATCAAGGTGATACATCTGTCCTTCATTGTCATGTGCTTCACAACAGAGTAAGTGCTAGCACACAGGGTCCCAGGCTGGGATGGCCCATGTGTGGATGGTGCTTCCAGTAACGAGGTGGGGCACACTTCTACCTGGGGCTTGAAACTCCCAGTGGGACAAGAAAACCCAGACCCCACTCCTCACCCCTTCCCTACCTGAGCTCTTCCTCCTACACATCACAACAGCCATCACAGCTCCTAGGACAGCTAGGACAGCCAGGACAGCCAGGCCAGCAACGATGCCCACGATGGGGATGGTGGGCTGGGAAGATGGCCCTGGGAAAGGAGGGGAAGGTGAGGGGCCCTGACCCCCAAGCCTCAGCCCTGACCCGGCTGAAGGGCTCCAGGACTTCTGCTTTCCCTGAGAAGACACATGACCCCTCATCCCCCTCCTTACCCCATCTCAGGGTGAGGGGCTCTGGCAGCCCCTCGTGCTGCACATGGCACGTGTATCTCTGCTCTTCTCCAGAAGGCACCACCACAGCTGCCCACTTCTGGAAGGTTCCATCTCCTGCTGGCCTGGTCTCCACAAGCTCGGTGTCCTGAGTTTGGTCCTCGCCATCCCGCTGCCAGGTCAGTGTGATCTCCGCAGGGTAGAAGCCCAGGGCCCAGCACCTCAGGGTGGCCTCATGGTCAGAGACGGGATGGTGGGTCACGTGTGTCTTTGGGTGTTCTGACGGGAAGAGTCAGAAAATTCAGACACTTTGTATCTCTCTTGCGACACTCCAACAGTGCCCATGTGACCATCCTGAGAATGGACAGGACACCTGGGGTGGGGAAGGGGGCACAGAACCCAGACGCCAGCCTGGACACAGGCACCTGGGATAATCTCCTATTCATTGGAAAGTTCTAGTCTCTGAGGGAGGAACAGCGACTTCTGGTCCTGACCTGAGTGGAGGCCGAAGGACTCAGAAAAGCTGGAATCAAACCTTTAAACACATTGAGCGTGAGGCAGAGAACAAGGCCTGAGAGAAAGGTCAGCAGCCTGACCACAGCTGCTGCAGTGGTCAAAGTGGTCAAAGGGGACCCCTGATCAGTATTCCAGGGACTGTCTTCCCCTCCATTTCCTCAAGGACTTCATCCCTTAATTGTCCTAGAGAGCAGAGGGGGCCCTCAGAGGAAACTCAGGAAAACTCATCCCATTCTCCATTCAAGGGAGGGCGATATTCCAGCGCTGATCCCATTTTCCTCCCCTCCTCGTGGGAGGCCATCCCGGGAGATCTACAGGAGATGGGGAAGGCTCCCCACTGCCCCTGGTACCCGCGCGCTGCAGCGTCTTCTTCCCGTTCTCCAGGTATCTGCGGAGCCACTCCACGCACGTGCCCTCCAGGTAGGCTCTCCGCTGCTCCGCCTCACGGGCCGCCTCCCACTTGCGCTGGGTGATCTGAGCCGCCTTGTCCGCGGCGGTCCAGGAGCGCAGGTCCTCATTCAGGGCGATGTAATCCTTGCCGTCGTAGGCGAACTGGTTATACCCGCGGAGGAGGCGCCCGTCGGGCCCCAGGTCGCAGCCATACATCCTCTGGAGGGTGTGAGACCCTGGCCCCGCCCCCGTGGTCAGCCCCGTCCCCCGAGCCCCGCCCCAGCCCCGACCAACCCGCGGGGATTTTGGCCTAAACTGAAAATGAAACCGGGTAAAGGTGACTGGGGCTCTCTCCGGTCGAGGGTCTGGGCGGGTTCCGCAGCCTCGGGGTGGATCTCAGACCGGGAGACTCGGGGCGACCCGGGCCGTCCGTGGGGGATGGGGAGGGGTCGTGACCTGCGCCCCGGGCCGGGGTCACTCACCGGCCTCGCTCTGGTTGTAGTAGCCGCGCAGTTTCCGCAGGTTCACTCGGTCAGTCTGTGCCTGGCGCTTGTACTTCTGTGTCTCCCGGTCCCAATACTCCGGCCCCTCCTGCTCCACCCACGGCGCCCGCGGCTCCCCTCTTGGACTCGCGGCGTCGCTGTCGAACTGCACGAACTGCGTGTCGTCCACGTAGCCCACTGCGATGAAGCGGGGCTCTCCGCGGCCGGGCCGGGACACGGCGGTGTAGAAATACCTCATGGAGTGGGAGCCTGGGGGCGAGGAGGGGCTGAGACCCGCCCGACCCTCCTCCCTGCGCGGCTCCCCGGGTCCTGCGCCCTCGCCGGGCGGGCCCCTCGCTCCTCTCCGCAGAGGCCGTTTCCCTCCCAACCTCGCACTCACAGGCCCAGGTCTCGGTCAGGGCCAGGGCTCCCGAGAGCAGCAGGATGAGGGTTCGGGGCGCCATGACCCGCATCTCGGCGTCTGGGGAGAATCCGAGTCCGGGTGGGTGACTGGGGACTTTAGAACCGGGACTGCGGAGACGCTGATTGGCTTCTCTAGAACCCGACACCCAATGGGAGTGGGAATTGGGGACGCGTCATGAGTATTCAGGAAGAAGGACCCGACGCAGGTTGGAAGAAGAAGTGAAACTCAGGGGAGTGGAGAATCCTCAACGCGGCGCCTCCCCAGTGCAGACACGGCCCTTGGAGCCTGAGACCCTGAGAGCCCCGCCCGGGACCTGGGACTTCGTCCTGATCCCTCTTCTCCTACACCAAGCATCTTTGTCACACTGTGTGCCTGAGTCCTGGCCAAGGATCTGTCTGTGGAAACCAGGGAGAGACCCCCAGGCTGCGCCCAGCCCCTTCCCCTTCACTTCTCCTGGAATCCCCGTCCCTGAACTGGACTCCCTGCCTCCCACTCTTTGCCTTACCTTACCTCAGGTAATATTAAACTACATCCAGCAAAATAAAGGACACTTACCTCTCCCCTTGGACTCTTGTACAGGGAAACTCACCATGGGGAACTTGATGCCAGACAGTGAGCTCGCCCTGGGAATGGACGTGTAGAGTCAGGAGTTTTCTCTTTAAACCTGGTGAAGTTTTGTCTGAAAGCACCAGGTAGAGATTCTCATAGAGACCAGTTTCCTTTTTGTTTATTGATACAGTAGGTAGCACAATATTGGTAATCCCTGAATGATTAGAATTCCAATCTGTGAAAGACCTGTGTCAAAACTGCATTACAATTAAATTCTCAAAGCTCCTGTTTTACTTTCGCAGACTATGGATCTGTGACTCTGGGTTGTTGCATTTAAAGTTATCCTCATTCTCTAGCCCGAGTTTCCTTGTGTGAGTCCAGAACATCTCCTGAATACAAAGAAGCAGGGTTTGTTACTGTCTATTGCAACCGGGAGCCTGTAGTCATCACCTCAAAGTTGCGAGGGCTCAATGCAGTCCCAATGCTCTTCACCAGCGCTCCAGCACTGCCCGTTTTCCGGAACTATGCACATCTAAGCAGTGTGCATATTTTATTTGGACACTTGATATTTTTGTAACCCCTTTTTTAAAAAAAATCATAAGGAGGCCATTAGTTTTAAGGCAGTCACACAAAAGGTATTAAATACCGAATGCAAAGAACCCCCTGCCAGGCTCTTCTACTGCTTTAGAATTCTTTCCTCTGCTCCTTTCCTCACCTCCTGCTTCTCCAGCCCTTCTGTCTGCCCCTCTCATCCCTCACACCCTCTTTCCCCTTTAGTCCCCGCCACCCTGTCACTCCTGAATTGTGGCACTAACACTGTCCCTCACCTCCTGCCCATGTCTGTTCTCCCCACAGTGCTCAGCAGTCCTGCTAATGTGACTCAGGTCGTGTCATTTCTTCACTTACAATGGTTGGATTTTGGTCTACCATTTTGCTATATGTTTTCAATTTGTCTCATATCTTTTTGTTTCTGTTCCTCCTTTGCTACTTTCTTATGTGTCAAGTAAACATTTTTTAGCTTATGGTTTTAATTCTCCTAGTGGCTTTTAGCTATATTTCTTTACATTAATTTTTTATTGTTGTAAGAATTGAAACCCAATTCCTTGACTTTTCACAGTGAAATTCAGGTAATATTAAGCTGCATCCAGCAAAATAAAGGACACTTCAAATGGTGTAGTTTCACTTAAACTATCATTATGCTATTATTATTGTATATGTTACATCAATATACGTTATAAACTCAACGATACAGTGTAATACTTTTTGTTTTAGACAAGCAGTCACATATCTTCAGGAAATTAAGAAAATGGGTGTGTATGTGATATGTGTATGTGCATCATTTCTGTTGTTAATTGTTCCTTTCTGTATATCTGGGTCACCATTTAGTATCATTTCCCTTCAGCCTGAAGAACGTCCTTTAAAATTACATGTAGTACAGGACCCCTAGGAAATGAATTTTATGGGTTTGATGATCTAACAATGCCTTTATTTTTGCCTTCTTTCCTCCCCCCTCCCCCCCCCCTTTTTTTTTTGCTTATTAGGGCGTTTACGTGTACAAAAATTCACCAGTTTTAGCTGCACTTTTTGGTGGATATTGGTAATTATTTATAGTGTAACTACCACACTGCCCAGTAGAGAAACACCAAATGCAAAGATCCTCCTACTAGGCCCCTCCACTGCTTTAGAGTCCTTTCCCCTGCTCCTTCTCCTCTCCTCCTGCTTCCCCAGCCCTTCTCTCTGCCCCTTATCCCTCAGACCTTCTTCTCCCCTTACTTCCCCCTCCCAGTCACTCCTGAATTGTGGCGCTGTAGAGAACAGTTTCTTTTCCCTAAAAACTTTCTTTATGCCCCTTTCTATTTAATCCTTGCCTCCCACCCTCACCCCCTTCCCTTCATTCAACCACTGCTGTGCTTTCTGTCACTGCAATAGTGACATTTCTAGAATTTCATGGACATGCAATCATATGTTATGTAGTCTTTTGTTTGGTCTCTCCCTTAGCATAACGATGTTTGAGATGATGCCATTCATTCATTTTTGTTGCTGAGCAGCTGCCGAGTATTGTTGGAATCCCAGTTTATTCATTGGTTTCTGTGTCTCCAGTTGATAGACATGTGGATTCCTCCAGTTAGGGTTTGTTATTAATGAAGCCACTATAAATAACTGCTTACAAGTGTGGACTTACATTTTTATTTCTTTTGGATAAATACGTATTTGTGGAATTGCTGGGCCATGTGGTAATAGATGGGTAACTGTATAAGAAACTGCCATACCACTTTACAAATTGGCTGCCACATTTTTTGCATTCCTACCAGCAATATCAGACATTCCTATTTTTTCCATATTCTTGCCAGTGTTAAGACTTATCATATGTCTTTTTAACTTTATCTGCTCTAGGTGATGTGTGATGGTTTCTCATTGTGGTTTTAACTTGCACTTCTTTGATGACTAGTATTGTTTGCTATCTTTTCATGTTCATCTAAGCGACTTATTACATATATTTTATGAACTATTTTGCAAATTCAATGATTAATTCCAGAGACTTTTTCAGAATTCCCTAGTGTTTTCTACATATACAATGAAGTTGGTGACAAAGAAAGACTTTCATTTCTTCCTTTCTTATCCATTGATCTTTTTTCTTTTAAAATTATTATTATTTGGTAGAGATGAGGTCTCACTTATCAGGCTGGTCTCAAACTCCTGATCTCAAGTGATCCTCCCACCTCAGCCTCCCAAAATGCAGGGATTACAGGCATGAGCCACCATGCCTGGTCCTTGTTGCACTGGTTAGGATGACTGTTAGGTGTTTAAACAAGAATGATGAGAGCTCACATGTTTGTTTACAAGGAACTTAAACAAATTTACAAGAAAAAAACCCATCCCCATCAAAAAGTGGGCAAAGGATATAAACAGACACTTCTCAGAGGAAGACATTTACGTGGCCAAGAAACATATGAAAAAAAGCTCACACACGTATATGAAACGTGACTGTTTATAATCCTATCCAAAAAAGAACTGATTTCAAGCAACAGCAGTATTACTTCCATTCAATACTTGGACCTGCAAACATCAAAAAAGCCACTGGAGAAACTGAACGACTCTCTGAAAGCCTTAAACTAAGATATGAAGAAGTTGAAATCTGGAAAAAACTTGAGGAAAAGGACAGGCAGGGGGAAGCACAGTGGCTACAACAAAAAAGGCAGGAAACAGGAAGAGAGGATGGCAGCATGTTGGCTAAAGGTTCTTTGGAGATTGTATTGGATTCCAAAGACAAAACCCAAAAGAGCAATGGTGAAAAGAATGAAAAATGTGAGACCAAAGAGAAAGGAGCAATCACAGCAAAGGAACTATACACAATGATGATGGATAAAAACATCAGCTTGATTATAATGGATGCTCAAAGAATGCAGGATTATCAGGATTCCTGTATTTTACATTCTCTCAGTGTTCCTGAAAAAGCCATCAGTCCAGGAGTCACTGCTAGCTGGATTGAAGCACACCTCCCAGATGATTCTATAGATACATGGAAGAAGAGGGGGAATGTGGAGTATATGGTACTTCTTGACTGGTTTAGTTCTGCAAAAGATTTACAGATTGGAACAACACTCTGGCATCTGAAAGATGCACTTTTCAAGTGGGAAAGTAAAACTGTCCTGTGCAATGGGCCTTGGGCCTTTGGTTTTAGAGGGAGGCTATAAAAACTGGTTCCTTTGCTATTCCCAGTATACAACAAATGCTAAGGTCACTCCACCCCCACAACACCAGAATGAAGAGTTGTCTATCTCATTGGATTTTACTTATCCCTCATTGGAAGAATCAATTCCTTCTAAACCTGCTGCCGAGATGCCACCTCCACCTATAAAAGTGGATGAAGACATAGAATTGATAAGTGATCAAATAAGTGATAATGATCAAAATGAGAGGACAGGACCACTGAATATATCAATTCCAGTTGAATCAGTTGCTGCTTCTAAATCTGATGTTTCACCCATCATTCAGCCAGTGCCTAGCATAAAGAATGTTCCACAGATTGATCATACTAAAAAACTGGCAGTCAAATTGCCTGAAGAGCATATAATCAAATCTGAAAGTACAAATCATGAGCAACAGTCTCCTCAGAATGAAAAAGTTATTCCTGATTGTTCCACCAAGCCAGTAGTTTCCTCTCCAACTCTCATGTTAACAGATGAAGAAAAGGCTCATATTCATGCAGAAACTGCTCTTCTAATGGAGAAAAACAAACAAGAAAAAGAACTTCAGGAAAGACAGCAAGGGAAACAGAAAGAAACTGAGGAGGGAAGAACACGAGCAAAAAGCCAAAAAGAAACAAGAAGCTGAAGAAAATGAAATTACACAGAAGCAACAAAAAGCAAAAGAAGAAATGGAGAAGAAAGAACGTGAACAGGCCAAGAAAGAGGATAAAGAAATCTCAGCAAAGAAGGGCAAAGAAATAACAAGAGTAAAAAGACAAAGTAAAAGTGATCATGAAACCTCTGGTGCCGAGAAGTCTGTAGAGGACAGGGGGAGAAGATGTTCAACCCCAGAAGTACAGAAAAAGTCAACAAGAGATGTGTCCCATACATCTGCGACAGGGGATTCAGGTTCAGGCAAGCCTTTTAAGATTAAAGGACAACCAGAAACTGGAATTCTAAGGACAGAAACTTTTAGAGAGGATACAGATGATACTTAAAGAAATAAAACTCAACGAGAACCTTCGATAATAGCACGAAGTGAAGAAATGGGGAGGATGGTACCAGGACTGCCTTCAGGCTGGGCCAAGTTTCTTGATCCAATCACTGGAACGTTTCATTATTATCATTCACCACTAACACTGTTCATATGTACCCACTGGAAATGGCTCCTTCATCTGCACCTCCTTCCACCCCTCCAACTCATAAAGGCAAGCCACAGATTCCTGCTAAGCAGGATAGGGAACCTTCCAAACTGAAATGCTCTTACTCCTCCCCAGATATAACCCAGGCTATTCAAGAGGAAGCCAGCAGTAACTCCAACAGTTAATCAGGAAGACAAGCCAACATGCTACCCTAAAGCTGAGATCTCAAGGCTTTCTGCTTCTCAGATTTGGAAACTCAATCCTGTTTTTGGAGGTTCTGGACCAGCTCTTACTGGACTTCGTAACTTAGGAAATACTTGTTATATGAACTCAATATTGCAGTGCCTATGTAATCCTCCACATTTGGCTGATTATTTCAACCGAAACTGTTATCAGGATGATATTAACAAGTCAAATTTGTTAGGGGCATAAAGGTGAAGTGGCAGAAGAATTTGGTATAATCATGAAAGCCCCGTGGACAGGACAGTATAGATATATCAGTCCAAAAGACCTTAAAGTCACCATTGGGAAGATCAATTACCAGTTTGCAGGATACAGTCAAGATTCACAAGAATTTCTTCTGTTCCTAATGGATGGTCTCCATGAAGATCTAAATAAAACTGATAATCGGAAGACATATAAAGAAGAAAATAATGATCATCTCAATGACTTTAAAGCTGCAGAACATGCCTGGCAGAAACACAAGCGGCTCTATGAGTCTATTATTGTTGCACTTTTTCAGGGTCAATTCAAATCTACAGTACAGTGCCTCACCCGTCACAAAAAGTCTAGGACACTTGAGGCCTTCATGTATTTGTCTCTACTGATAGCATCCACAAGTAAATGTACATTATAGGATTGCCTTAGATTATTTTCTAAAGAAGAAAAACTCATAGATAATAACAGATTTTACTGCAATCTTTGCAGAGCTCGACGGGATTCTTAAAAAAGAAATCTGGAAGTTACCACCTGTGCTTTTAGTGCATCTGAAACATTTTTCCTACAATGGCAGGTGGAAACAAAAATTACAGACATCTGTGGACTTCCCGTTAGAAAATCTTGCCTTGTCACAGTATGTTATTGGTCCAAAGAACAATTTGAAGAAATATAATTTGTTTTCTGTTTCAGATCACTGCGGTGGGCTGGATGGAGGCCATTACACAGCCTACTGTAAAAATGCAGCAAAACAGCGGTGGTTTAAGTTTGATGATCATGAAGTTTCTGATATCTCTGTTTCTTCTGTGAAATCTTCAGCAGCTTATATCCTCTTTTATACTTCTTTGGGACCATGAGTAACTGATGTAGGCACATAAGGAGACATAGGTTATAAACTAGTTATCTTTTAAAAGGCTCAGCAACACAATTCTTGAAATGCTTATCAAGATAATGGTAGCAATAGCTGGCCATTTAGAGGAATTCTAGGACAGTGGGAGCTGTGTTACTAGCACTATATAATTCCTGTCAGTGGTGACAAATAACACTTAACAAGTATTGCAGTAAGCATCACTTACAGGTACCATTTATTTCAAAACAACTTTTTTAGTCTGCTCCAAAGTTAAAATAATTAACTAGCTAAGCATTATTATTCTACTGGTCTAAAAACCTTTGTACCCTTTTTTTCCTTTTCACTGTTACAGCCTTTTCACATTTCTAAATCCCATCTTCATATACTATGAATACTCTAGAATGATGTGAAGCAGATAGGAATGTATGTGTACATATTTATTGCATACTTACACATCAAATCGATATACATAGTTTAACATGTGGTCCTTTCGTGAAACTTAGAACTCAGAGGATTGCATTTTTTTCTTTGAGCATATTTTGAGTAACTGCAGTGCTTTCTTAGGGAAATGACAGGGCAAAGCTATTTTTCTGTTGGCTTTGGGGGCATTTGGGTGCGCTAAATCTTTATCTTAAAAAATAAATGGAAACTTCCTTTAATTTTTTAAAATGAGACATTAAAATCTTAATGAGAAAAATTTAAAAAGCTCAATATCACTGCTCATTAGAGAAATGTAAATCAAAGCCACAATGAGATACCATCTCCCACCAGTCAGAATGGTAATTATTAAAAAGTCAAGAAACAATAGATGCTGGTGAGGCTGTGGAGAAATAGGAACACTTTTACACTGTTGTTGGGAATGTAAACTAGTTCAACCATTGTGGAAGACAGTGTGGCCATTCCTCAGAGATCTAGAACCAGAAATACTATTTGACCCTTTGGGTATCTACCCAAAGGAATATAAATCATTCTACTATAAAGACACATGCACACGTATGTTTACTGCAGCACTATTTACAATAGCAAAGACTTGGAACCAACCCAAATGTCCATCAGTGATAGATGGATAAAGAAAATGTGGTGCATACCACCATGGAATAGTACACAGCCAGAAAAAGGAATGAGTTCATGTCCTTTGCAGGGACATGGATGAAGCTGGAAGTCATCATCCTCAGCAAACTAACACGGGAACAGAAAACAAAGCACCTCATGTTCTCATTCCTAAGTGAGAGTTGAACAATGACAACACATGGACACAGGGAGGGGAACAACACATATCAGGGCCTTTTGGGGAGTGTGGGGGGCAAGGGACGAGAACTTAGAGGATGGGTCAATAGGTGCAGCAAACCACCATGGCAGACTATACGCATGTAACAAACCTGCAGGTTCTGCACATGTATCCTGGAACCTAAAGTAAAATAAAACAAAGCAAATTAAAAAAAGAAAGCCCATGTCTTACATGTATGCATATGTTCATTGCAGCACTATTCACAATAGCAAAGACATGGAATCAACCTAAATGTCCATCAATGGTAGACTGGATAAAGAAAATGTGGCAAATATGCTCTACCGGCAGGATTTGATGGCGTGATGTCTCACAGAAAGTTCTCCACTCCCAGACATGGGTCCCTCGGCTTCCTGCCTTGGAAGCACAGCAGCAGGCATCATGGGAAGGTGAAGAGCTTCCCTAAGGATGACCCATCCAAGCCGGTCCACCTCACAGCCTTCCTGGGATACAAGGCTGGCATGACCCACATCGTGCGGGAAGTCGACAGGCCAGGATCCAAGGTGAACAAGAAGGAGGTGGTGGAGGCTGTGACCATTGTGGAGAGGCCACCAGTGGGCATTGTGGGCTGCGTGGAAACCCCTCAAGGCTTCCGGACTTGCAAGACTGTCTTCGCTGAGCACATCAGTGATGAATGCAAGAGGCGTTTCTATAAGAACTGGCATAAATCTAAGAAGAAGGCCTTTACCAAGTACTGCAAGAAATGGCAGGATGAGGATGGCAAGAAGCAGCTGGAGAAGGACTTCAGCAGCATGAAGAAGTACTGCCAAGTCATCTGCGTCATTGCCCACACCCAGATGCACCTGCTTCCTCTGTGCCAGAAGAAGGCCCACCTGATGGAGATCCAGGTGAATGGAGGCACTGTGGCTGAGAAGCTGGACTGGGCTGGCGAGAGGCTCAAGCACCAGGTACCTGTGAACCAAGTGTTTGGGCAGGATGAGATGATCGACGTCATCAGGGTGACCAAGGGCAAAGGCTACAAAAGGGTCACCAGTCATTGGCACACCAAGAAGCTGCCCCGCAAGACCCACCAAGGCCTGTGCAAGGTGGCCTGTATTGGGGCATGGCATCCTGCTCGTGTGGGCTTCTCTGTGGTACGTGGTGGGCAGAAAGGCTACCATCACCGCACTGAGATCAACAAGATCTATAGGATTGGCTAGGGCTACCTTATCAAGGATGGCAAGCTGATCAAGAACAATGCCTCCACTGACTATGACCTGTCTGACAAGAGCATCAACCCTTTGGGTGGCTTCGTCCACTATGGTGAAGTGACCAATGACTTTGTCATGCTGAAAGGCTGTGTGGTGGGAACCAAGAAGTGGGTGCTCACCCTCCACAAGTCCTTGCTGGTGCAGACAAAGCAGCGGGCTCTGGAGAAGATTGACCTTAAGTTCATTGACACCTCCTCCAAGTTTGGCCATGGCCGCTTCCAGACCACGGAGGAGAAGAAAGCATTCATGGGACCACTCAAGAAAGACCGAATTGCAAAGGAAGAAGGAGCTTAATGCTGGGAACAGATATTGCAACTGGTGGGATCTCAATAAAAGTTATTTTCCATTAAAAAAAAAAGAAAAAGAAAATGTGGCACATATACACCACAGAATACCATGCAGCCATAAAAAAGAATGAGATCATGTCCTTTGCAGGAACATGGATGGAGTTGGAGGCCATTATCCTTAGCAAACTGAGGCAGGAACAGAAAACCAATTACCACATGTTCTCACTTATAAGTAGGAGTTATATGATGAGAACACATGGACACGCAGAAGGGAACAACACACACTGGGGTCCACTTGAGGGTGGAGGGTGGGAGGAGGGAGAGGATCAGGAAAAATAGCTAATGGGTACTAAGGCTTAATACTTGGGTGGGTACTAATGGGTACAGAAATAATCTGTACAATAAAACCGCATGACACAAGTTTACCTATATAACAAACCTGCACATGTACTCCTTAACTAAAAATAAAAGTTAAATTAAAAAAAAAAGAAACAAAGAAACTGCATATCTGGAAAGAGCATATGGTTGGGTTCTGTGTTTTGTTTTGTTTTTTAACCAATTCACACAATCTCTGCCCTTCATTGGAGTGTTGATTCATATAGGTTTTTTTTTCATTATTGATAAGTTTTAGGTCTACCATGTTATTTCCTCAGTTTTGGTTTCTCTGTTCCTCTTGTCCTGACCAACGACTTCTTATTAGAAACCATAGAAACAAAAGAAAGTAGAATAACACCTTTAAAGTGCTGGAAGAAAAAAAGGACAACTAAGAATTCTATATCCAGCACAGATGTCCTTCAAGGACAGGCAAAATAAGGAGATGTTTCAGGTAAAAGAAAATTAAGAGAATTTGTCACCAGCAGATCTGCACAATAACAATTGGTAAAGAAAATTCTTCAGGCTAAAGACAAATGATACCAGGTGGGAAATGAGGTTATCAGAAAAGATGAAGATCACTTTGGGAGGCCGAGGCGGGCGGATCACGAGGTCAGGAGATCGAGACCATCCTGGCTAACACAGTGAAACCCCGTCTCTACTAAAAAACACACAAAAAAAATTAGCCGGGCGTGGTGGCGGGCGCCTGTAGTCCCAGCTGCGCGGGAGGCTGAGGCAGGAGAATGGCGTGAACCCGGGAGGCGGAGCTTGCAGTGAGCCGAGATCGCGCCACTGCACTCCAGCCTGGGCGACAGAGCGAGACTCCGTCTCAAAAAAAAAAAAAAAAAAAAAAAAAAGAAAAGATGAAGATGATCAAAAATGGTAAATACTGAGCTAAGTGCAAAAGGCTATCTTGTTCCCCTCATTTACTCTAATTTATATACATAGAACTGTTTAAAGATAAGAAGAAGTTTTTTTCTTGTGGGACTTATAACCTATATAGATATATTACATATAATATCTGTACCATAAAGATGGACATTTTATAGAGGATAAATGGTTGCAAGATTTCTCTATTTATGGGTACTAGTACATTTTTAACTGAAAGTGGACTGTGAAATGTTAAGAAGAGTTAAGTTCTGAAGGAAATTGAGACACAAAAACCATTCAAAAGATTAACAAATCTCATGATGGTTTTTTGAAAAAAACAAAACAAAACAAAATAAAAACTAAACAAAAATAAAACCCTAGCCAGTCTTGAGTCTCATCATCCTACGATTTCAGAACTATTGTGAATACAAAAGTAATCAAAGAACAGTCCTGCCCAGAAAGAGGAGTTATCCCTAAATATGGTGTCCCTGGAACAGGTGGCTCTCCCTGCTGGACCTCTTCCACGTGGGTGCTTTCTGCAGTGACTTTGTTGCCTTGCTATTCCACTTTACCCAGTGTCCTGACCCAAGAGACAAGGGGTGTCTGCTGCTGTGTCCACACTTGGAGAAAGAAACCTTGATAGTGTCAGTACATTACAAGCTGGGCATGACAGCTCACGCCTGTAATCCCAGCAATTCAGGATGCTAAGGCAAGAGGATTGCTTGAGATCAGGAATTGGAGACCAGCTTGGACAACATAGTGGGACCCTCGTCTCTAAAAAAAATAAAAATCAGTAAACGGCTGGGCCTGGTGGTGGGCGCTTGTATTTCCAGGTATTGTGGAGGCTGAGGTGGGAAGATCCCTTGAGCTCATAAATACAAGGCTGCATTGAGCTACGATCCCACCACTGGGCTCCAGCCCAGGCCAGAGTGAGGTCTTGACTCAAAAAAATACATTGTAAGCCTTTGCTCACTATGGGTTATTTATTATTTATTCAATGTGTATTTTGATTTTATTTTACTGGCAGCACAATAAACCAGGACATGCTGAAACTAGAAATCACATCCACTTTCCAGTGTTAAAAAGCCCAGTCTAGGGAGGTGAGAAGGAGACAGTCCTCATTAGCGTTGAGGATTCAGGGAGATCGAGATGGGCTGGGCAGGAAGGTTCTTACTTGAAACCTGGAGGATGAGCAATGACATTCCTCTCTCCACCTTAAAGCTCATCCTGGGCATCCGCCTCCTGGGAGCAGGAGCACTGCAAGCTCCGCCTCCCGGGTTCACGCCATTCTGGCTCAGCCTCCCGAGTAGCTGGGACAACAGGTGCCCGCCACCATGCCCGGCTAATGTTTTGTATTTTTTAGTAGAGACGGGGTTTCACCATGTTAGCCAGGATGGTCTCAATCTCCTGACCTCGTGATCTGCCCACCTCGACCTCCCAAAGTCCTGGGATTACAGGCGTGAGCCACCGCACCCGGCCTCTCCTTGGGATTTCTTTACTGGACACCAGCCTGAGTCAACTTTCCTGTAAAGCAAAAGAAGCGTGAGGTTGCTAAAGGAGGAATGGTGTGATCTCCACCTTTGGCGAGATCCCTGTCACCGTGTTCAGGCGAAGGGCCAGGCCTTACTCCCCATGCAGAGAGGAGGCTATGGCCGTGAAGACGCCTGTGGAGAAGTGAGGACCCGCTCCCTCTACACTGATGGCCAAGAGCCTACAGATGGCGGAGAAGGCTTCCCTTCAGCTGTGTCCTATCAGGTTCTTCCAGGAGTCAAGGAGTAGACCTGCATGTTACCTCTGGTGATGTAAGCTGCATGCACACCTAGAAGTGAGGTCACCCCTGCTGGGGGTCCTGGGGCTGCTGGTTGTTCTGGGTGCTCAGTGTCCAGAAAAGAAGATGGGGAGGAGGCTTTGTGCAAAACAGTAACCATACTCTATAAATTATTTTTTCATTAGCCTTTGTGTCATAAAATAAAATCTAGGACTCCAAAAGAAAAAACTGTCTAAAATTTGTGTCCTTTAATACAAAGTAAACACCCATTAATCACCAGGGATAGATGTTTGTGGGGCAAACCAGAAGCCCCATCATTTGCTCCAGCCCAGCAATAAACTCTTTCTTCCCTCAAATAAAAACACAACCTGACTTTTACGATCATCACTTCTTTGTTTTATTTTTATTTTTATCATCCAATATTATGATTTAGTTTTACCTTTAGAAATATGCTTTTGTTGTCTTTATTCTATAGATTCTTCCTTGAAATTTATATTGTGTGGTAGAGCTTCCCATAGTGTGCATTTTGCTGATTGCTCCCCAAGGCATAGTTTAATATGCATTTCTATTATCTGTATTGCCTCTAAATTGGTAATTGGCTATGGAGATCAGCTTCTATTCAGGCTTGGTTTCTTTTTCACTTGGACTTGTTTGATGGTGCTGTATTGTGTTCTTCCATCAAGAGGAAGAACCTCACATTAGTTTTTTCTTTTATTGTGTTGTTAATTGCCATTGCTATTCAATGGCTAAATCTGTTAATTCATGATGGGTTGCAAAAGAGTTATTATAGTCTCAGTCTCTCATTCCTTCTTCATTTATTATCTGAATAATTTCTAAGTAAGAGATTCACCCTCCTCTACTGTTTGTTTACTACTAGAAACTTGCTTTTTGAGAGACTAAGCCAATCATCTACTCACCTATGATCCAGCAATAGCACTCTTAGTTCTAAACCAATAGAAATGCATGTATGTGTGTGCCAAACTATATGAAAATATTATTCATAGCAGCACGATTTGTAAAATCTGTATACAACAAAATTGTCTATCAACAGTGAAAGGACAAGAAATGTGAGTTATTTATAAAGTGGAGCATTGGACAGCCATGGGAGTGAATAGGCTACGACCACACACAGCGAGATGATGAGACCCAGGGTCATGATGGTGACTGTATAATGCCATTCAACTAGACCTGGCAGAACTCATCTGTATTAGAAATCAAGAGTGGCTACTCTAGGGTGGGGAGGGTGGTTTATGACTGAGTAGGACCCAAAGATGCCAGCAAAGTAGGCCTCTACATTAAAAAAAAAAGAGAGAGAAAAATTAAACAGAGAAATTTAAAAGTTTATAAATAATGTTTACTTGTATTCAAGAAAATTATAGCGACAGCCGCCAGATAATGATCAGCTCTAAAAAGAGAAGCTCAAGAAGCTCATGCCACAGCAGCTGGTACAGCTGAGGAGATCAGATAAACCAGCACAAGCATGGTCATGAAAGGGAGCTGCAGACATATGGTTTCCAGAGTTTCAAAATCCATATGACTAAAATCTATGTGATGCGTATTATATGATGACTGCCTCAAGACAGACAGGTGTCCACTTAGAGACACAGAGCTGTGACTTGCAGGGGCTGGTTGATTTTCTCAGAACTCATTAACCTAAATCCATTAGTTACCATCCTGTTTCCACTCCTATCATCACCTCAGACAACCCTGCGTTTAGCTCAAGATTCTTCCCTTCATCGTAACTGAAAGTCACTAATGACTTCAATCAATTTGAAATACTATAAGTAGGTAAGATTTCCTCAGTAAGTAAATGGTCTTAGCATATTTTTGAAGTCATAACTATAATCAAAGCCTGGGACATTTATTTGTTCTAAACAAGCAGTTATTCTTCATCCAGAATTACACAATAGAAGCTCTCTTTCTTGCATTTCCCAACAGTTTGCCTTAGCCAGGAAAATAAACCCCATGGGTCTCTAGCATGACCACGGTGCAAGAATAAGGGGAAGGGCAGAGGTGAGAACTAAGTGCTCTTCTACAGCTACGGGTCTATCAAGGTAATCTTGAGAGGTACTTATCAACATGTGATGTGCCAGCAACAACATGAGGGAAGATAACCACGTGTTTCTAGGATAAGGCAAAGGCCCTGCTCATGGATTCATCCGTAATCTGAACACAGCACATGAAGAGTGAACAGCTGTCAATATCTACTTTCACCTCAATGTAAACTTTCAAAATTAAGACCAAGTGGAGCACGGTGCCCTCTGAAGCACTGTCTGTCACACACTAAGGAGCTAAGAACTCCTGTGGCCTCCTTTAGAACACAGCTCTTCCAGGACACACAATGAGCAGGCCTGCTTAGCACCCAGGGCCCACATGCAGCTGCTCTGCCCAGAGCTGCCCAGCTCCTGGACCACTCACCTCTGCTCCTGCTGGCTGGTGCCCAAGCTGTAAGGGCTGGCAAATATTTTGAGTATTGGTCCCAAAGGACCCTGAAGGTGAAAGGATCTTGTTCTTCATTTTCATTACTTCTAAGCACTGAGACCTCTTACAAGAATCATCCACAAGCATTTACTAAGTGAATGTTCACAGGAAACCCTTCCTGAAAAGGGTCCTTCCAACTTTACATTTGACAAGTGTGTACTAAGGCAATAAAACTATTCAACTGAGCATTCAAATTCACACAGAGGATACCACGCCAAGAAAATGAAAGCAGAAATATTGGATTCTCCTTATTTGTTAAACCTTTCCCTCTAGAACCAACAGCTTTTCAAACTCATAAAACACCCCAAAACAGTAAAACAATATCAATTACTCATCTGAAGATATCCACCTGAAACACAGTTATTAATCTTCAAAGGCCTAGCACCAGGCAGCTTCACACAGCACATCTGCAGAATTGTAATGATCAATAAGAGTAAACCCAAAGTACACTAAATACTTTCATGGCCTACAGGAAAAAAAAAACGCTCTTTTCAGGACGATGTAATAGTTACATCCTATTTCTTCATGTGCAGCATGATATTCTATGCTTAATGGCATTTAAATGTTACACAGTAAATACGAGAAAACCCAGAATTTTTGGATGTGCAGAAGCAATATCACATCATTAATACAAAAGGTGCTCAGCTGCGGGATTATAATACCATTGAGTGCTGAGACCACTTGAAATCTTAAGTACATTCTTAGCATATGGTCTCCTGGCTGTCACCCAGCCTGGTACCAGCTACCCACCTGTTGCATAGAGCTAGCCCCAGCACTGCCTTGGTTGGGCCGGTTGTTTTTGTCAAACTCTAAGTCTCCCTCAGAATCCCTGTACTTCTCCACTGCAATGTATTGACAGGGTTGTGACCTTGTCCTTCCCAAGGGGCTCACTCTTGGCCTCTTGCTCACACAGATCCTGCACCTTTTCCCGTCAAATCCTCATTCCAGTAGCAGCAAGGAGATCACTTCTCGTATCACTTTTTGGTGGCTGTGCAGGTTCTTGACGCTTTGCCTCAGCTACTGGTGGTAGTGTGGGGGCGAATGCACGGGGAAGACAAAAAAGAAGAACTGAGCCAAGAGGCCTGGTGGGGAAAGTGTGTGGCTGGAGGAGGGAATGCTGGACCCAGGGGCCAGTGGAGGGAGGGTGAGGAGGAGGGTGTGTGGAGCCAGCTGATATGAGGAAGGAGGCGGCAGGAGGATTTGCAGAAGGCAACAAAGGCAGTTTGTACTGTAAAAGGGGGAAGAGAAGGAGGTCTTGACGGGTTGTAATATGCAAGCACCTGTGCTGGGAGCATCCTGTAGTCTCCTGGAGCCATAAGTGCACAGGATTGGAACACAGCTGGGGTAAGGCAGGGAAGTGGGGGCCGCTCTTGAGGTCCATTTAGGGCCATGTGCCTCACTGAGGCAGAGGAGGGGTGGCACTCAAGCTCAGGGGCCTGGTTTGTGGGCCCATGTGGAGATGCATCTTCAGCTGCCTAGGAAGGGTCGTGAGAATGGTTTGGAGTAGCTCCATAAGAGCATCCCTAACATCCATTGTATGGGACCTGCTGTCTAGGGACAGGGGTTCTTGCAGGATGCTCCATGGTACACACTGAGACAACCTGTTGCTGGGTCTAAGCTCTTTGTCATATGCCATCATATTCCACTCATGGTGCTTGTTTCTGGCTTTTGTAATCCTTTTCACATCATAAGTGGTGCCATCTATGTGGTTTTGCTACTTTTGATGCCTTCTGTCTTTCCTTTTGTCTTCTGTGTCCTGCAGCACTTCTTTCCAGAGGTCAAATAAATGGGAAGGATCAGTATAGAACTTCAGCCTGTCTTTATCATCTCCATGTGCTCTCATGCTATTCAGGGGAGGTGGTCAATCACTCTGATTGTAAATGTCAGCAGCAGGAGTAGGAATGCTGCTCTTTGAAACTGCTTGCTGGTCTTGGGCTGGGGAACTTTTGAGGGCTTTTTCCATGTTGATGTCCTGTGGTGACACCTCTTCCACTGCTGAATCCAGCTGAGTGACTTTGACCATGAGGCAACAAATTCTAAGAGAATTTGATCTAATGTGGAAGCAGTTAGCCTCCTTAAATAGCTCACCAAATGTGTCTTCAGCATGTATGTTCAGATTGCTTAGCTGGTGCGTAATAGTGACAAGATTGTTGTTGGTTACACTTTCAAGTCACTGGTAATCCCTTCAGGCAGAGTTCCCTGGTGCAAATGCTGGGATTAGATGCTCCTCTTCACGGGAGGCATGGCTTATAATGGTCTAATTGACTAATGGCTTCAGAAATTTCCTCAGGAAGCATCACCACTTTGATTCAGATACCAGCAGTAACTGCAATCAAAATTAAAATGATCAGTCCCGCTGATGTAGAGGCAGAGATTGCACTGGTAGCTCCCTGATCTTACTCCACACCAGAACACACATCCCTGGTGCTAGCTAAGTTGCCTCAGGCCAGGCCAAGGCCTTGGTCACCCTATTTGTAATTTTCTCTGCAGTTATTTTGCTTTCATTTATTGAACGCCTTAGATATGAGCTAAAATCCCCCACCAAATGTGGGAAACTTTCAACTATTATTTTCTCAAATATTTTTTTCTGATCCTGTGTCTTCTTTTGAGGATCCACTTGCATATCTGGTCACCTGCTTTATATTCTCTGATGGGTTCATGAGGTTCTCTTCATTTTTTTCTTTAATCTTATTTCAATCTGTGTTTTGGATTTTAGAATTGAGCACATTCTGGAGATTTATATTCAAAGTCACAGGCTTGTTCTTTATTCTGCCATCTCAAAACTTCTGTGGACCTCTTCCAGAATACTTTCATTTTCTTTTTTTTTCTGTTTGAGAATTTCCACTTAGTATCTTACGTGGTTTCAGCAGGGGTTTCTGAGTGTGTGTCCTGCATCTGTGTAATTTAGAGGTTGACCAAGTATTTGGGTCATTTATACTCAGATTTTGTGATTCAACTTCATTGTGGTTGCTTTGTTTCTGGAATTCTCTTTGAATTTCCAATTGTTTTGTTAGCCTCAAATCCTGCCTTTTCACCTCTCAAGCCAGTAAGATTTTTGCTTTCTTCTACTGAGCTCTGTGCAGGTTGGCAAATGTACTCAGTCCATGTTACTGAAGACTTGCAGATCTCACCAGGATCATTTATCTCTTTGGAGGGTAGACCTCCCTCTAGTTTCTTTCTGGTTTTTCACCAGATTCCCAAGTGGCCCACACCCATGCAGAGTTTAGTGTTCAACTAGGGATGAGCATAATTTGCATTCACATTGTTGATCTCAACTCTTCTGCAGCTCTCTTTCAACATTCTCATTTACATTTCTAGCTGATTTGGGCTCTGAACTCTATAAACTGCCCATATTGAGCCACTAGGGCTGCAGTTATCTGCTGGGAGGCTGAAGAGCACTCATAGGTAAGAAGGAAAGGCCACCAACTTGCAGTCCTTACCTAAGACAGGAGTCTTAAACAAGAAAGCTCTTATCACATATTGCTTGCCTTTGTTAATTTTCCAGTGACTTCAAATGTTTGTTTTTAGTATTTAGTACAGTTTTCATGTTGCTGTTGGAGGAAAACTTGCTGGTCTATCTCTTCATGTTGCCATAACCAGAAGTTCTACCCTGAAAGAGACTTTTGGGAGAGAAGGTCACAGTCCACAATTCAATCTTCTGAGACAAATATGGATCCAGGCACCAGAAACTGTCAAGTTAGATTTCTAAAATTAAAATAAGATTAGGGCTGGGTGCAGTGGCTCATGTCTGTAATCCCACAACTTTGGGAGGCCAAGGTGGGTGGATTGCTTGAGCCCAGGAGTTCAAGACAAGCCTGGGTAACATGACAAAAACCCATCTCTACAAAAAACACAAAAATTAGCCAGGTGCGGTGGCACACAGCTGTAGTCCCAGCTACTTGGAAGGCTGAGGTGGGAGGATCACCTAAGCCTGGGGCGGTCGAGGCTGCAGTGAGTTGTGTTCGCACCATTGGACTCCAGCCTGGGCAAGAGAGTGAGACCATTGTTTGAAAAAATAAAGATTGAATGAATAATAAAAGAAGATTAGGCCTGGCATCTGTGACCCCAAGGTTCTATGGGAATCACTGACTTCATACAACCTACAATGATAAAGAAGGACACCCTACATATATATGACTGGCCTCTTTTAGTATTGGAGAGAGCACATTCCATAGCTCATAACTTTCCGACAGTCTGTGAATCAAGTCACCAAAACTGCAGCTAAAGTTGAATGGAGGCCATGGAAGTAGTTCAGTGAAGTACAAAACAAGCACTGCTTTTGTTCTTGATTCTTTCCCCAAACAATGCACTCACATGTTTTTAATAAATTCTACAGCCGGTTGTAGCCATTGGCAATGAGACCTCCCATTATTGAGGCCCTGGTCTTTTTAACTTGAGGAATTCCAGCAAATCTAAGGAGTACAAGCTCTTTGAGAAATAACTGCATGATATTATTAAACTCTAATGAGGACAGATGATTTCACCAATGAAAAAGTATGACTTCATATCCTGCAAGGGTATTTCTCTAATCCAAAATCCTATGAGCTAGTACAAGTACAGAAACATTCCATAATAAATGGAAATGTCATTTTGATCCAGGCAAAAGTCAAGCATATCTGCCATTTGGCCCTAAATGCTCATTTGGATATTGTTGAGTGTGTGTGTGTGTGTGTGTGTGTGTGTGTGTGTGTGTGTGTGTGTGGCAGTCATAGGACTCATTGCCCAAGTTTCAGGGTTTGGGGAAAAAGTTCCATTCTTTTTCTGAATTTGAGTAATAGCTTCTGGCTTACTACTGGGCCCTGGTAGATTCTGAATTCTATGATCATGATACAGAAAATGACCAAGTGACTTGAGATGCCCATTATGACCTGAGTTTTATCGGGTCACTCATGCTCACCAGCCCTCAGTCTGCAAGGGGAAATGGTATACACAGCATCAGACTTTAGCAGGTTCCATAAGGCCAGGTAAGTTGCCTAATAATTTGTACTATACTCCTAATGTTCTTATTACCACTGGAGAGTCCAATCTCCCTTGTCTCATTATTGAGGTCTTGAGGAGTTCCCTAAGGACAATTGACTGTAGAAGGAAAAAAATTTGAGTATGCTTGGATACCCCAGAGTTAACTGTCAGGGCATTAGAGTCTCTTTCAGGAATCATCATTAAGAGTAATGGAAATAAAAATACTTCCAGTGAGAAGATGTTCAATTAGACCATCTGGAAGTGCAGTTTACCAAAAGGAGAAATGTCTTACTGTTGGGTCCTAATCAATGCACAGCAGTAGCTAGTAGTTTGCTTAGATAGTCAGTGACTTTAAAGGAATAAGATGGTAAGGTTTGTGATAAGGAGCATTGGGGAGGAGATTTGAACCACTCACATGGCACATTTAGGTAAACATACCTACCCTCATGCTAACAAAAATGGATGGTGAAAAAATAAAACACAATGTAGAAGCATTGAGAGGCTTAAACTTTAATAAAAATTGTCAAATCCTAAATCACGGAATTGTGCATTTACTTTTTTTGCTGAGCTTATTTACTTAATGTAGGATAATTAAGGTTTAGTTTTCATGGCCTCCTAAGGCATTTGGAATAGAAGACAGAGTTCAGGTAGCACTCAGAGTGGGAAATTTAATAGAGTGTTCTCCTCATTTCACCAGGATCCCAAAGCCAGCTCCTCAGTATAAGGAAAACATCCTTGCTTGAAGGTCTCCCCAGAAAGTCACCTTGGTGCTGAGTGGAGAGGGGCAAAACCTTCTCCTGAGATTAAAGAGAAGTGGATTTGCAGCCCGAGTTCACACTCCCTGGGTGGTCTCAAAATCATCAAGCCATGAATTTATTTTAAAGTAGTGCAGACTCCAAGGAACCTTGGAAAATCAAGCAAAACTTCTCTGGAAAATTTCTACTGTCATTGGCACTCTGAAAATTCCAAAAAATCATTACACCAGCAAAAGGAGCACTTAACAGTTAAGAACAACAACAGAGAACAATGTTCATAAGAGACAAAGCACCGTGAAAGAACAAGAAAATACAACAGACAGCAGAATCATACAATCATATAACTGAGAAATCAGAATAATTGTATAGGATATAAAATTGCTAAATGGGCTATGATTAAAGAACAGATTGTTAAATACATTTAGTGACTATAAAACTATAAATAATCTTCAGAAAAATTTGAAGAGACAAACACATAACACTTAAGCATGAAAATATAATAATAAAATTTAAATCTCGATGAATTTTGAAGACAAACAATTTAACACAAACACACCTAGTAAAGTACAAGAAGTTCTAAAGAATGTACTTTAGTCACAAAAAGATATCCCAGGTAGAAAGTATGAGGTGAAAGAAAAAAACAAACAAAAAATAAAGGTAAATGGATGGTTAAATATAAATTGAGGTTTAAAAGGATAGTGTATATATTGAGAATCTATAAATATTGTTAAATGAAATACAAATTATTTTATCTTTTTCCAGGTCTAATGTTGGATTTCTTTTCTTCATATTCTGATTAAAATTTCAAGATAAACTTCTCACTCATAATGTGTCCCATTCTGGTTTTGTTTTGTACATTTCAGTATAATGCATATAAAAGAATATTCTGCGGGTCTTTTTATGGTATCTTTCCAAGCTATTGTTGGATTGTCCAGTACTTCACGTTCTCCAATCTTGTAAGTAACGAATGTACAAATTCAACTGTACATTTTTACTAGTGGGCAGTTTTCCACAATATGAATGCCATTCATGTAGTTGGCGGGACCTGCCAGTGTGTCTTTCAGAACCACGGACAGATCTACATGTTCTGGGATGTAGGGAGCTAGAGTGCTCTCTCAACTGGATGCAATGGAATGCCAGGGAGGAAAGTTTAAGATAAACTCTAGTCACCACGGAATTGTGATTTTTAAGCATAGTAAGCATAGTCTGAAATACCACATTCTTTCCAACCCCTCTCTGCACCCAATACGTCATTAGCCCTGTATTTTATACTCACTGTCATAAAAGAACCTGTTGGGGAAGGGGAGGTAGCTTTAGGTCAGTCTTGGTACAATCATACAGTGGCTAAATTAGTAGATCTAGTGTAAAATGGCCTGGAACTGAATTCTAGCCTCATATCTTCAAAATTATGGAACTTTGGGCAAGTAACTTAACATCTCTGTACCTAATTTTCTTGAACAAGTTACAGTTTACAGATTTCATTTATTTATTGTGGATAATAACATCCTTCTCATATGGTTGTGATAAATATTGAACAAAATAATCCATGTAGGTACAAAAACCAGTGCCTGAAATATAGCAAGAGCCTTTTAAATGCAGCCATTATTGTTATTATGGTTATTCTTATTGTCGTTTTTCACAGAATACCTTCTGGTTCCCACACAGGATCTCTGAGGACCTGTTGGATCAGCAGCTCTTTTGTAAGATTTGTTGATATTGTGAAAATTCTCTAATCACAACACAGCTACAATTTTACAGAAGTTCCCAATACCTTATCTGAAGGTTTCTTACAGTCAGATTATGAGTCTTGGTTGAAGGCATCTTCTGGAGTCATGGTAACACTCCGGGTATTCTGGGAAAACAGTGATTTCAAAATACAGTTTGTCTTGTTGAGACTAGGAATTTGGAAAATTCCAGTCTGTGAAGTGAAGGGAGAGGAGATACTTCCTTAGCAGGAGGAAGAGAATGTACCAAGTACAGGGCAGTTAAAGAAATGTTTGTTTGATTTTTTTGCCAGTGGTTATATCTGTGGTTTCATTAGTTAAATGCCTTATGTGGTACATTCTTCCCAATAAGTATTTTTAAAAGCCTCTGAAAGGAAGGAGCTCTTGCTACCACCATCCTCTCAGTCAAGTGGGAATAATCTGGTGAGCATAGCAGATGCCAATCAGTTCATAAAAAGCTCAATCTTCAAGTTTGCAGAATTAATTCTAAAAACGAGAAGAGTATTGGACATAGAATTTGACATATATGTTGCATGCAGAAGCTGATATTTTAGCTTTATAGTTTACAGGTCCCTCAGAATGTTTTATACTTTTTTATCATAACTGGGAAGCTGTCACTTTAATCTTTGAGTAGGACTAAGGTATGAAAAGAGCAATGATGGTGTGCTCAATGGCTATATTACTAAACACAAGAATGTTTTCAGCATGATCTACCTGAGCTACATGGAGATTGATAACTAAATATAAAGTGAATGGAGATAAATGCCTTACTTACCTTCTGCAGATGACACCTTCTAGTTAGCAAGTGGCAGATCCAGGACTACGGGGCTAGGAAACCGCTTGGGCTGGAGTACAAGGGCAGTTTCAGGGATAGAGAAATTAACAGGCAGAGAGGGAATCTCTGAGACTAGGAAAGACTAACTGCAGCTGGGCCTAGATGATCTGAGATCCAAATGTAGCTGTTGATCTTAAATTATGCAAAGTAGCAATGGAACTGTCAGTCAGTCAGCATGTCTAGCTAGTCAGACAGATCAGGAGTTTAATCACTGACGTTATGGGAAATCAGAAAACTCTGGGATGGCTGGGAGAATATGTGCATATAGACGTCTGTAGAGTGGGTGACAAATAAATGAAACCACCTAAATATTTACCCCAGGGGAGTAGGTGCATATAACATACTATGGAACAGCATTAAAATGATGAGTTAAACCATTTTTTCTGTGAAATTCAAAGGATGTTCATGATATAATAGAAATAAAAATATCAAATGGTAGGGCACTGTGAATACAATGTAATTTTTCAAAAGCTACAATGAGCAATAAGATGAAATAAAAGTCATCTAGATTAAAAAGCAAGAGGTAAAACTATCTCAATTGCAGATGATAAAATCTTATATAGAAATACAAAAGAATTCACTAAAAACAAGCTTAGCAACTACTAAACCACTAATACTAAATTAGTTTAGCACATTGGTAGGCTACAAGATCAAAATACAAAAATTGAGTGTGCTTCTATAGAGTATCAATGCATTAATACAAATGTTATTTAAAAATCCAACTTACAACAGCATTAAAAAGAATGAAGTCAGAAGAAAATTGAGGGCCCAGCAATACTCTTCACTTATATGGTTAATTGGTTTTATAAAACAGTGCTAATATAATTCAGTGAGGGGAAGAAATTATCTTTTCATCAAACAGTGCAGAAACAACAGGCTATACCTATGCAAAAGAATAAAGCTGGATCCCTACTTCACACCACATATAAAAATTACCTCAGTGTATCAAAGACCTAAATGTGAGACTTAATATTAGAGAACTCTTAGAAGAAAACATAAGCATAAATCTTCATGACTTTGGATTAGGTAAAAATACCTGATCTTAAATGATACCAAAGGCACAAGCAAAAAGAGGAAATAAAAGATAAATTGAACATCATCAAAATTAAAAATGTGTGAGTCTAAGGACACCATCAAGAAAGTGAAAAGAAACTCATTGAATGGGAGAAAAGTTTTGCAAATCTTATATCTGGCAAGGAAAGGACTTGTATCTAGAATATATAAAGAATGGTTGTAACTCAATATAATAAGATAATAATAAACAATAAATAATAAAAATAATAATAATAAGACAAATAATATACAAAAGGCCCATAAGCACATAGAAACATGTTCAACATCATTAACCATCAGGGAAATGCACATCAACCCAAAAATGAGATACCATTTCCCACCCACTAGAATGGCTATAATTAAAAAGATAATAATTAGTGTTGATGAGAATGTGGAGATACTAGAATACTCACACTTTGCTGGTGGGGATTTAAGAGACATAGCCCCTTTAGAAAGCAGGCTAGCAGTAGCTCAAATTTGTGAACATTAAGTTATTACATGACCCAGCAATCCCCTCCTATGATACAGTATACCCAAGAGAAATGAAAACATGAGTTCACATAAAAACCTATATGCCATGTTTATAGCAGCATTATTAATCACAATCCAAATGAGAAGGACCAAAATGTCACCAACTAATAAATAAATTGTGATATATCCATACAATGGAATGTAATTCAGCGATGAAAAAGATGTGAAGTACTGATACAAGCTACGACCCACACAAACTTTGAAAATGTTCTGGTAAGTAAAAGAAGACAGACACAAAAAGCCACATGTTGTATAATTTCATTACATAAAATGTTCAGAATAGGTAAATCTGTAGAGTTAAAACATAGGTTGGTAGTTTCTTAGGGCTGGGGTTTGGATATGGATTTTTCTGCAGGGCTGGGAGGAGATAAAAGGATCTGTAATTGATTGTAGTAATGGAGGCACAACTGTGAATATTCTAAAAGCCACTGAATTGTATATATTGAATGTGTGGATTTTATACTATTTAAATTATATCTCAAGTTGCCCTGAAAATGATTAAATTACATATAAAACTTATAGTCATTACAGCTCAACAAAAACTACCAGATGAAAACACTCACTATGGTTTGCGTGCAAGTGAAGAAAGTAGACATGCAGAGAGTAGGCTGATACAATAGTAATCACCTTAGTTAAGTGGGTTTGGATTTAGTGAAAGGAGAGATTTAAAAGTATATTTATGCATATTTTGATTGTTTCATTTCCTACTGTGAGCATGAATTATTTTTACACTAAAATTTAAAAAATAGAAAGTTACAAATCTTGAAAGCTCTGCTGTCAAATAAACATAGTAACAAGTGATAATGAGCTGTCTGGAATGTCTTCCTAGAGAACTGGCTGAAGCACATGCATGCAAAAGGAAGGCAATGGCTGAAGAATCAAGGCAGAACTGCAGTGGTAGAAGAGAAGAAAAATGTAAACATGGAGATATAAGACAAGAAGACGACTGATGAAGGAAGTGGACATGAATACTGTGAAAACCTCTTGGGGAGTCAGAAATGACCGGGTCTACGTGGGAGGGAAACTGGATTACAGCCCAAGATGGCCAGCCATCAGGGACAGTGTCCCGAATCAGATTCTGTCCCGAATCAGAAGGGCTGTCTAATCATTCCCTTTCTTCTCCTTCCAACACCCCAGCAAGATTATTGCCTAATTTACAGCCATGCACGTTGAAGAATCAGTAAAATTTGGAGACTTTGAGACAACAGACAGAAAATTTTTGAGCTCCTCTGGGCATTAGTGAGCTGTTTTCAGAAAAACAGACTCACTCTGGTATTTCAGGAATAAATAGAAATAAGAGCATACACTAATGTTTGGAAACCACGGGTAGCAAATATTGGTGAAGTCATGTGACAGGCAGAATAACGGTCTCCTAAATATGTCTGTGTCCTAATCCCTGGAACTTATAAAAATGTCTCCTAATAGGGCAAAAGGAAATTTTCAGATGTGATTAAGCTGAGGCTCTTGAGATGGGAAGATTATCCTGGATTATCTGGGCAGGTTCGATGTAATCACAATAGTCCTTATAAGTGAAAGGAGTAGAAAGCAGCATCAGAGTTAGAGCTGTGACAACAGAATCAGAGGTCAAAGTGATGTGACTGCTGACTTGGAAGATGGAGGAAGAGACCACAAGCCAAAGAATGCAGGCAGCCCCAAGAAGCTGGAAAGGGTGAGGAAACAGATTTTCCTTTAGAGCCTCAGAAGAAATGCAGCTCTGACGACATGTTAATTTTAGCCCATAGTGACCCATTTTTGACTTCTTACCTCCAGAACTATAAGAGAATACATTGGTGTTGTTTTAAGCCACATAGTTGTGGTAGTTTGTTATAGCAGCAGCAGGATACTATAATAATACCAGTCACCATTGGAGCTCCTGGAAGCTGCAGTAGGGAGGTCAGGGAAGCATATACTGAAGACTTCAGCTTGAAGCATGGATGGGAGGTTCTCAGAATCCTGCTGCGAGATTGCTATATTCTCCAGAACCTATGAGAAAGCTCTTATCACTCATCTTAGTCCACACAAGCAAAGCAGGTGGGTCTCTAGCCTAGCAGGGAAGCCACTGAGAACCTGACATCTGCCTGCTCCTCTACCTGCAGCCACCACTGATGGGTACAGGTCTGTCCCACCATCTCTCCAGGGCCCCATTTCTTATGCAAGTCTCTCTCACTGGAAAATGTAAACTGGAACTATACAGGGAAGGGGATCCTGGGAGATATAGTGCCTGGCTTCTCCTCTGCAGAGAAGATGCTAGAGGGGAGATGAGGTGATACTGGGTTTTTAACAATGCAACACATGAGTTACTAACAGTGAATGAAGGGGGACTGGCTGACCTCAGTTTGACAAGCAAATGTGCCATTAGATGATGCAAACCATTGGTATATCTATGAGATTTAGTAGTTTTAGCAAGCTATTTATTGGAGCAAGGATGTATCAAAAACTATGAAAAGTGCAGGTTTAAAAAATGTACAAAAAATTTAATGGACTATACAAATGAAATAAATTATTTTTTTAATTATACTTTTAAGTTCTGGGATATATGTGCAGAATGTACAGGTTGGTTATATAGGTACACATGTGCCATAGTGGTTTGCTGCATCCATCAACCCGTCATCTAGGTTTTAAGCCCCGCATGCATTAGGTATTTCTCCTAATGGTATCCCTCCCCTTGCCCCCATCCCCTGACAGACCCCGGTATGTGATGTTTCCCTCCTTGTGTCCACATGTTCTCATTGTTCAACTCCTGCTTATAAGTGAGAACATGCGGTGTTTGGTTTTCTGTTTCTGTGTTAGTTTGCTAAGAATGATTGTTTCCAGCTTCATCCATGTCTCTGCAAAGCACATGAACTCATTCTTTTTTATGGCTGCATAACATTCCATGGTGTATATGTGCCACATTTTCTTTATCCAGTCTATCATTGATGGGCATTTGGATTGGTTCCAAGTCTTTGCTATTGCAAATAGTGCTGCAGTGAACATATGTGTGCATGTGTCTTTATAGTAGAATGATTTATAATCCTTTGGGTTTATGCCCAGTAATGGGATAAATAAATTCTTAACTATGCTGCTATTTTATTTATTTAAAAATGTGAGTTCGTGGTCTGAGTAATTTACCTCAGTATGACTCAAGAAGGGCACTGGAAGTCCGTTGATCTGGCCAGAACAGAACCACATATATGAATGGAAAAAGTGGTCTTGTGTCTGCCAATCCCAGGGGCTTACAGGATGCTGTCTAGAATAGGCTGGCTACAGCAACTCCTAGTTAAGCCAGAAGTTTGGAATGAGTTCAATTTTGGGGGATTAAATTCTAATGAGAGGCAGAAAACAGGAAAGTTTATGCTTTTCCATGCTAATCAATGGCCCCATAAACATTTTCTTGTATATATTTTTGTAATTTCAAAAAACTCAAGTGTTTTGTCAGTAATTTCTTAGAGGTGCACACAGAGAGAGATGAGTATAATTGTGAAGCTAAGTTTTGTAAAGCACAGGGATGGCTAAGAATGGGAAGGAACTGATCCCAGAATCCCACAGAGTTAACCAGTAACCCTCAGCCCAAGTACGTGATGACCACTGTTGAGCTTCAAAGGAAAAGCGGCCATCTGAGGAGCAAACAGAATTGCATGAAGAATAAGAGTGCAGACGGTGTCCTAAATACAGTGCTGAGATTCATGTAGAAGCACAGGAGGAAGCAACTGTGTAAGTATCCAGAGTCCTATGAAGTAGGGATTTCAATCCTCCGAGCCACCTGCTCCCATCTGCTAACAAGGATCAAGGCTTTTGTGGATGTAACTGGCTGTGGTTGATGGGAACCCCTGCGATCCCTATGGGGTTACACATAGCTTCGGAGAGGGGAATGAACACACACACAGCAAAGGGAAACCATCTGGGCCTTTACTGAAACCACTGGCTGACCCCTGGGTTAAAGTATGTATGTTCTGAGTACTGATGTTAATTACATACAGACATTGCTCAGACCCCATGTCACCTCACACTGCTGGAAATTTGCCTTGACCTCGACTCTCACCAATGACCTTATGGGTAGTTTCTATGACCAGCTGACTTAAGAGGAAAATTCTGAGCTTCTTCATAAACATGCCAGCTTAGTGTGTTGGTGTGAGGCAGCAGTAGAGTGTGTCTGCAGTGTGGGCAACTCAGGAATGAGCAGAGACAGTGCTGAAGAGGGTCCTGCCAATAGGCAGGTGGGGCTCTGATTTGCCCACTTTGTGTAGACAGAAGTGGCCTGAGGTGAGAATATGCACAGACTCATAGGCAACGGCAAATGGCTTAAATAGCGGGTCCGGGGCCTGGAAGGAGCAAGATAGGAAGATCAGGAACAGGAATATCTGGAAAGAGGCATACAGTAGATACAAAGTGCTTGGCTCTTTTGTATCAGATGTTAATACTCAGCAAAAATTACCCTCTATACAAGTAGTCTAAACAACCAGGTGTACAGGATGAATCATTTGGTACACATCAGCCAGCCTCTGTCCTTAACCATCCCAGTGCTCATGAAACAGGCTCTTGAAAGCAGTATCTATGGTGGAAGAGATGCACTGTGGGTGAGTCCCAAGGCTTGGGCTCCCTTCAGCGTGGCTGACGTGGTTATTGTCACAACCTACCTTCCAACGATAAATAAACTCCAACAGATTACCTTTGCTTATGGAGGCCAATGAGCAATTTGATGGCAAATTGATTCTACTCTTACTTTTTCACAATGAAAAAGGCAGGGGTTCTGTCAGATTTAGCTTGCCTTGTATTAGCGGTATGAGTTTGTTCTTTCTTCCCACAGTGCCACACTCAGAAACGTTATCTAAGGGCTCACATATGTATGATCTTCTAATAGGGGAACCACATAACATTGCCCCAGACTAAGGGACCTACTTTATAGCGAACGCTGTCTGGTAGTGGGCACACGACCATGAGATCTCCTGGTTCTACCCTATACTGCATCACACACGCTGCCAGCTGATAGAGCAGTGGGATGGTCTCTTGAGGGTGCAGCTGGGTTTTATCTTGAAGATCACATCCTATCAGGATGGGTAATGTCCTTCAGGATGAAGCATACACTTAGGCTATGGCAGCAGCTGTTACATAGTGCCAAGTCTCCAACAGGCAGAGGAAGTAAGTCTCTAACCACCAGTGCTGGAAGAAGGAATGACTATACTCACCAGCACTTCCGGTAACCCGCGTGGGGTGTTGGTGCTTCCCATCCCCTCAACGTACTCAGCTGGTCTAGGAGTTTGGGATCCCAGAGAAGGAAGTTCCTACCATGGAACAGAGTACAAGTTACATTACGTTTAGGGGTATGTTTGTTACCTGTTCAATTTGGGTTCCTCATGCTAGGAGGCTGTTGGGAAAAGGAGGGGTTACTGTATAAGCAGGGATAATTGATCGTGATTATTATGAGGAGCAGAACTTTAATTTCTGTCTTAATTTCTTGCTGAAACTGGTAACAGTGGTTGCATCCAGGCAAGGAATTTGGAAGAATTGTGGATGGGGTGGAGAAGGAAATTTGCTTTGCACACTATACACATTTTTATTATTATAATCTTTTAAATCTTGTTCTTGTATTAGACTTTCAAAATAAATTTTGAATTTATTTTGAATTTATTTTGAATTTAAAATAAATTTTAAATTACAACCCCACATTTATTAAAACTTATTCAATAGTTTTTGGGGGACAGGTAGTTTTTGGTTATGTGTGTGAGTTCTTTAGTAGTGAATTCTGAGATTTTGGTGCACCGTCACCCGAGCAGTGTACTCTACCCAGTGTTGCCTTTTATCCCTCACCCTATTCCCAACCTCCACCAACAAGCCCCTAGAGTCCATTATGCCATTTTGTATGTTTTTGTGTCCTCATAGCTTAGCTCTCATTTATAAGTGAGAACATTCAGTATTTGGTTTTTCCATTCCTGAGTTACTCCACTTAGAATAATGGCCTCAAGCTCCATCCAAGTTGCTGTATAAGACATTGTTTCATTCCTTTTTATGGCTGAGTAGTAATCCATGGTGTATATACACCACTTTCTTTAGCCACTGGTTGGTCAGTGGGCACTTAGGTTGGTTCCATATCCCTGCAATTATGAATTGTGTTGCTATAAACATGTGTGTGCATGTGTCTTTTTCATATAATGACTTATTTTCCTTTGGGTAGATACCCAGTAGTGGGATTGCTGGATCAAATGGTAGATCTAGTTTTAGTTCTTTAAGGAATCTCCATACTGTTTTCCACAGTGGTTGTACTAATTTACATTCTCACCACTAGCAGTGTAAAAGTGTTCTGTCTTCACCACATCCATGCCAACATCGATTGTTTTTTGACTTTTTAATTAATGCCATTTTTTTCTTTTTCTTTTTTTTTTTTTTTTTTTTTTGAGACAGAGTCTGACTCTGTCTCCCAGGCTGGAGTGCAGTGGCACTATCTCAGCTCACTGTAACCTCTACCGCCCAGGTTCAAGCAATTCTCCTGCCTCAGCTTCCTGAGTAGCTGGGACTACAGGCACGTGCCACCACGCCCAGATAATTTTTTGTATTTTTGGTAGTGACAGGGTTTCACCGTGTTAGCCAGGATGGTCTCAATCTTCTGACCTTGTGATCTGCCTACCTTGGCCTCCCGAAATGCTGGATTACAGGCTTGAGCCACTGCGCCCAGCCAAATTAATGCCATTCTTGCATGTACAAGGTGGTACCTCATGGTGAACTCCACATTTATTTAGCAAACATTTATTAGGCAGTTACTATGTGTCAGGCTCTCCTAGGCCTCAGTGAGTCAAACATCAAAGATTCCACAAGGGGACTAAAAAAACAGGTAAATGCAGGCTACTATAATTAGTGGGGGAAAACTGCTTCCAAGAGGATGCAATGTCTAAACAGAGAACTGGATGAGGAATACAGTTAATCCAGGTGAATGGCAGGAGAAACCTTTTAGGGAATCGGTATCACAAACAAAGGCTCAGAAGAAAGAGCACACAGGGAGTCTGGGGGAACTGTCAGCAGTTCAGGGTGGAGATTAGAGAGAAAGGAGCACAGGGGCAAAAAGCAAGCTTGGAGCAGTGAGCAGGTTCAATGACTAAGGCTTGTGGGGTTGGGGAGAACCTTGGCTTTTATCCGAGGACAATGTGCAGCACTGGCAGCACTGAAGTCAGGAAGAACCTTGGTCAGATCTGAATTCCAGAAGAATAGCTCTGGTTTAAGTGTGAAGAATGAACTGAGAGATGCTAGATTGGATACATGGAGAAGAAGAGGTTTGGGGAAACCCTGGTGGCAACTGTAGGGAGAATATTAGGATGGAGGAAAGGGTAGAAAGGACCCTGAGAGATCTGAGTGATCAAGACCCAGTGTTTCACACATGGAAAATAAGGTGGAAAAGGAGAAAGGTCCCCATATGAATAGCACCTCATCTGGAAAAATGACATAAAACAAGGGAATTTCGCCCATGACATAAGAGGCGCTTGGGTTCACATGGTATTGCGTGATCAGGGAGGAGTTTAGTTGAGTTCACCTCTACAGACAGGTATTGAGTGCCAGGTATGCTGTCATCAGGGTCACAAGGAAATCAAAGGTATATGCCTTATATCTTTGTGACTTACGTGTCTGATCCTGCTTAAGAACTATGCTAATCCCCGACTTTCCAGGACCCCCAGTAATTTTGTCTTGTGCCCATGTGGGAAGAGCTGAGGCTTGGCAAGAGGATCTTACCCATATGGTCCAAAAAATAGTAGAAAGGTTTCTTTAGAAGACACAAATTCCCTAATTAAATGGACTAATTTATCCATACAAGAGAAATAAAATCACTAAAAAATAAACTGAGTGAAGGCAAAGAAATCAACAAAGAGTAATTACCAGAAGTTTGTGGGATTCTGCATGAAAACAAGCTTGAAGAAATAGTGAAAGGAGAAGATTTGCCTAACAGTATGACATTCGAATGAAAAAAAAAAAACCAGATAGGTTTAGTGGTGTTGCTTCTTTACAGATGCAGGAGGTTTGAAAAGTAATAGAGAAAAACATTTGGAGAGAACGTCATCTTAGCTTTCACACAGAATGCAAGACCAGCCTTTCCTGTGGGCATCTCTTGATTTTTGTTTCCAGGGCTTTGATTTCATAAACACAGCTCAGCTCCGCAGATCATCTGGCCCAGTCCAGGATCCGGGTTTGTAATGATCTTGTTCAGTCATGGTCCAGCCTGTGCATAGAGACCCTAAGACAATGCCCGGTGATCCTGTCTCTTGGCATCTCATCCAGCTGAGAACCAATGGGACCTAAACTTGCTTCTAACCAATAGAAAGTGGCAAAAATGATGTCACTTCCGCAATGAGGTCATATGACAGCCCCACTTCTGTATTACTCGATGACTCTGTCTTCTGCCTTGTTTCCAAGTTTCGATGAAGCAGAAAGGCCTGTGTGGCAAGGAACTGAAGTCAGCCTCTGGCCACCAGCCAGTAAGGAACTGAGGCTGTCAGTCTAACAGACATGGAGGAATGAATCCTGCCAACAATTGCTTGGGCTTGGAAGGGTATCCTTCCCCAGTTCAGCCTCCAGATAAGACCAAGCCATGGCACTCTGATGAAAATCATGTGAGAAAGCTGCATAGCTGTGTCTGGATTCCTGAACCATAGAAATGTGGGATAATACATGTGTGTTGTTGTAAGCTGCTAAGTTTGTGGCAATTTCTTATATAGCAATGGATAGCTGAAAACACCTCCCACAGCTTTCACTGAGTTAAGCGACCCTTGGGGCCAGTTAGAACTTATCTCATCCCCTTCCCTGTGGCAGCCCTTATCTTTCTCATAGGTTGACATCCCACTTTCTCTTTACCAGTGTGAATGTCAAGTTCTCTTACTATCTCTGTTGCTCTCCTCTCACACCATCCAGGAGGCCCCACTAGGGAGTGGCAGGCAGAGAGGAGGAAGTGTGGGGTATGGGTAGACTCCTCCTCATGGTTCAACCTTGAGTGCAGGTATTGCCAGTTGGAAGAAGAGAGGTCAGGAACCAGTAAGGATTGGAAGGAGATTAGTGAATACCCCACCACTCTCAGGCCCATGCAGGCTGTGAAATAAAACCGTGATGAATAGACTCTGCATGGCCCCTGCTGGTCTTTACCCTTCAGCATTCTAGACAGTGCACCTCATATGCCATGATGCAAACACCACTGACTCCCTCCAGGGCAGATATAAATCTCCCTTTCCCCCGCGTCCAGCAAGCACACTCCATCAGCCTATGGGTCACTTCAACCCCATGACTCCCTAGTCGGGACTGCGGCAAATGCAATAGACTTCGGTCCAGTCTCTGGGCCTGGAGAAGAAAGGGAAGCTGGTCAGAGCCCACAGGAGGAGGTGACCCACAGGGAGCCAGTAGATGGGTGTGAGGGTGAGTATGACAGAGCAGTTACTTGGGCTCAGCAGTCAGACTGTCTCCTTAGAGTCATGAGTCAGCCCATTGACAGTTACTAAACTTCCTAGTGACCTCAGTTTCCTTGTCTGTAAAATGGGGCTGATAGCTGTCTCTAGGTCATAGGGCTCTTGTGAGGTTTAAATGATTTAATTCATGTAAATCCCTTAGGAACGTGACTGACACTTTTTTTAAGGTACAATTCTGTAAAAGAGTGGGACCCATCCATTTAGGTCCTGTTTCCTTATTCCAGGTGTGATGAAACCAGCTCTCCCCAACACTTATCCTGACCCCCGTTCTATGCCTGCAGGTGGAGCACTGTTCTGTCCCTTACAACCTATGGTGTGGGGGGCAACCAGGAAAAGGCCAGGGTGGTGCCAAGTATGAGGAAGTCACAGAGTAACACACACACATACACACATACATACCCATACCTGCTTGTATACATAAATATGTACAGATACATACATATACGCACTTATAAACATGCACATACACACAGATGCCCAAACCTGTTTATATATCCACATGTGCACAGAGAGACACAGGCACATTACACACTCCCAATTCGTAGATTCAGTTTGGGGCCTGGATAATTCCGATTCAATCTCTTTTAAGAAATTTAAGAATCTGAAAGAGAAAGACCTGAGAATTTTTGTCCCACAAGAGACAGACCCACTTCCCAGGCACTGTGGGACTTTCTGAGCCCCATGTGGCCCTGCTCCTGGAAGCTCATGGAGGAGCGGGAAAATCTGACTTAACATCAAGGTTCTGAAGTCCAGAGGCAGCCCTAGGAACTGGCCTTCCCTGGGTACCGGGCCTCCAGGAGTCCAGCAGGTCCCCTTCCTCCTATCTCACCTATGACGTCTCAGCCTGCCTTCCACAGCCAAGGGCCCCTCCCAGGCTTTGCTGCACAGCAGGAGTCTCCACAGGGCTCCAGAAGGAACAGGAACAGAGTTTAACTCAACCCCCTCGGGTGAGGCACCCTCAGGTCCAATTTTTTGGTTCTAACATTGGTGATACCACTTTTCAGTCTTAAAATGTCTTTTTCGGCCGGGCGCGGTGGCTCACGCCTGTAATCCCAGCACTCTGGGAGGCTGAGGCGGGCGGATCATGAGGTCAGGAGATCGAGACCATCCTGGCTAACACAGTGAAACCCCGTCTCTACTAAAAATACAAAAAATTAGCCGGGCGTAGTGGCGGGCGCCTGTAGTCCCAGCTACTCGGGAGGCCGAGGCAGGAGAATGGCGTGAACCTGGGAGGCGGAGCTTGCAGTGAGCTGAGATCGCGCCACTGCACTCCAGCCTGGGTGACAGAGAGAGACTCCGTCTCAAAAAAAAAAAAAAAAAAAAAAAAAGTCTGTTTCTTTTCTGATTTGCAAAAAGGTTTATAATTTTTGATACTCACATCTGCTACTTTCTATTAGAACCTAGCAGTCCTTCGTGGTACTTTCATCCACTGTGTCTCCGCCGATTCCGTTTCCTGGTGTTTTATCTTCTGGTTGGGTTAAAGATTATATGTAATTGTTGGGCACAGAGGACCAGGAAAGAAAAAGATTCCCGGTGAAGCTAGACCCAAGTACATCACTGTTGACAAGGGTAACTACTGTCCTTTCCTATTTACCTCCCTGCACTCCTTCTTCTCTGTCCTCCCTCCCCACCCACCCATGGGAGAGCCTCAGGAGCCTGAGCCAGAATCCCCAACCCCGCAGTAGGGAGGAGGAGGAGGAGGCGGCGACGGAGGAGGAGAAGGAGGAGGAGGAGGAGGAGACGGAGACTGTTCGGTCTCCTCTTTCCTCAAATATGGATGCCTCCAAGGAACATAATTCCAGCTCCAAGAGGTCCTGACGTGGGGCCTGGAGGACCCCAGTACCTGCCGGTAGCATCATCTCCTTGCCATGCTCCAGGTGTCTGAGCAGCCACCTAGTGCAGTGACCCATCGGGGCTTCCCTTGTGGCCTCCGCGGTCCAGAACCTCTCCCAGGTGTGATGGATCCTCCAAGCCGCTCTTTGAGCCGCTGTCCAGGTCTGCAGGTCCTCGTTCAGGGACATGAAATCTCCTTGTCGTAGGCGGACTTAAAGTGTCCTTCGAGGAAGCTCCTGTCCGGAGCCACCACCCAGCCAGACAGCAGCATCTGCAGGTGCGGTACTCTGGACCTGCCCCAGGGTGAGCCGGAGGCGGGGCCAGGGAGGGGAGGGAGGTCGCCCCGCCCACCCCAGCTCCTTCCTTCCTCTGTCATTGGTCACAGAACAAGTCAGTCATGATCCAGATTGAAGGAGAAACCTGGAGCAAAATGGCCCCAGCGCTTCCCCACCTGAGAGGGATCAGCTGAGGCCCCGACCCCCCATCCCTGGGAGAACCGGGCTGGTCACTCTGGGGTCGGGGCGGGGCACACCTGTGCCCGGAGTCTGAGGTCACTCACCGGCTGACCCTGGTGGTGGTGCGGGCCCAGGAACCTCAGGCCCCTCAGTAACACATTCCCTGCGGTCTTCGAGAATTTTCCTCAGGGCGCCCACAGCCCTGTGCCATCTTCTCCACCCGCGCTTCACGCTCTGATTCTCGCCGCGGCTGTGGAAGCTCAGGAATCGCGTGTCGCCCACGAAGGCGCCGCTGAGGAACTCAGGGCCCACGTGGTGAAGGCGGAGCCCGGCGGCCTTCAAGTACCCGGGGTGCGGGCCTGGGCTCCGGGAACCTACACATTGCGGGCGGGAGAGGCGCAGGGTGCCTGGGACCCCGCCCCGCTCCCCTCTCTCCTGGACGCCGTCGCCCTGCCTCCCCGCGGGGACACAGCCTCCCTCCCACGTCCCGCCCGGCACCGGAGCCGCTCACTTGGGAGCTTCTTACTGTGTGGGGGGAGCTGGGGAGGGGACAGAGGGACGGGAACCAGGGGAGGGTGGCTTGGGGCGGTGGCTCTGGGAGAAGTGACCTGAGGAGTCTGCAGATCCCAGCCCGGGACGGAGGCGCCGCGAGAGGAGCTACTAAGCCCTCCAAGCCGCCCTTTCCCTCTTGCCTCCCCAGCCCAGTTCATCCTGATCTTCTCACCAGCCCCGTTCTCCCCAAGGTCAGGGCCCACAGAGGAACAGGAAGGGGGTTCCGGGACACAGGATCCGGCTTCTCTGGGTATCTTGGAGTCCAGGAAGGATCCTGGAGATCTCCCACTTTATGAAGCTCATCCTCCACTGACTCTGATGGCTTCTCTAGAACCCGATACCAACTGATAAAGGCGTCCCATCTGGACGCCCTTATCAGTCCTGGGGGAAAAACAAGAGCCAAGGGTGAGAGGTGGCCATGAGGTCAGGGAAACCCCTGCAGAATTCTCAGGAGAGGGAAATCTTCAGAGCTGTGGCTTTGGCTTAGTTTGTCTTCCCACCAGCCACCTGTCCTAGAGCTGGAGATGCCAAACCAGAGACTTTGGATATTTTCCCTGAGTGACATAATCCTTGTCTTTCTCTCCTGGAATTGTGGGTCCAGACCATCACAGTGATCCAGTCGGCCCCCTCTCCTTCTTCTCTCACTCCAATCTCTCTCCCTGAGCTGGACTCTCCGCCCACCCTCACATTCTGGAAAAGTGCAGTGGTGTGAGCATGGCCCTGGGGCAGAATTGTCTGGGTGCAAACCCGGCTCCATCCCTACTTTTGTGTGATCTTCATTCCTATGGCATTAACTATGAAAGGGAAAAATAACAGGCACAAGCCATGGATGTGTAGTCAGAATAAAATGAATTGGCATTTTTAAAGTGCGAAGACCACTATTTGACACATAGCACAATAAAAGTGTAAAATGTTATCATTCTTGTCATTTCTTTAGGCCCTTTTTCTTGAGGTCTTCCTCTTCTCTTTGGGTTCCCATGAAAATTTACCCTGTTGGAAGTTGATGTCAGCAAGAGACCTCCTCTTGGGAAATGCTGGCTCAGTGTGGGGCCTCCCTTTTAGTAAAGGGAAAAACCGATGGTGGACCAGTAGCTAGTGAGTCAGAGACCATTTTATTTAAACAAGATCACCTACCTAGAATTAACTCCATTTTGATAAGGGCATGCATCTCACAGATAAGCCCAGTGTAATTTATGAGGAGATTGCTTTATTTGTGTAGAACTTACTCTAGTGCTTTTCATAGTCTTGCAACACATTTTGAATCCCTGGTTCTCATTTCACACTGACTGCCTCACAGAGTGAAGACGATGAGAAGTATCTTCATACTATATTCCCACGTTCGTCTATCGGAGTCACAGTCATATATTACATATGCAGATATTTTTCCTAGAAGTTTGAATTTATTGATGTAGATTTTAATCTGGAATAGATAGATATTACCTAACATTTTTGTTTTTATTACCTCTAAGTTACACATGCTTAAGTAGTCACTACTGATACCTATGCATTTTCTCCCTTGGCATGTGACATTGACATAAAAATTGTACATTGTACTTTAGTTTTCAGCAATTATTAATTATGTAATTTGGATCATCCCTCCCATTGAGTACTACTGGACAAGTGGGAAAAGGGTACATATTTGAAAAATCTGATGGAAAGTATGAAGGGGCTAACCAAGCAGTAAAGATTTGCCAGGCCAGGAACCAGGAGAAGGCAGAAATCTAGAAGAGCAAGTTGAGCTGCAGGGTTGCTTTTGTCCTGGGTGATGTTGGCTGCTCTGGGCAGTGTCTGAGACCTTTGAGGGCTAGGTGGATAAAGCCTACATCTAAAGGCTGCGGGTGCATATGTGGCACTGTAAATCCCTGGGATTAGGATGGGTCCCAAAGGGCTGATCCATAAGAGCAACACAGTCAGTTCTCAGGAGTGGCAGCTCAATTTTTGTTTGAGTGGTCCAGCAGTTTTCACTGCTCTTATTAAAAATTGTAATTGAGGATCTTCCCAGTGTCATAAAGAAGAAAAGAAATACACTTAAAAAGGTTTGAAAAGAAGGCACAAAACTCTTATGCTGAATGCAGAAAATACAAATGATTAGAACACTCTTGAAGTTAATAAGATACATATATATATAAATATATATATATATATATATATATATTTTTTTTTTTTTTTTTTTTTGAGACGGAGTCTCACTCTGTCGCCCAGGCTGGAGTGCAGTGGCGAGATCTCGGCTCACTGCAAGCTCCGCCTCCCAGATTTACTTAGGCCATTCTCCTGCCTCAGCCTCCCGAGTAGCTGGGATTACAGGCGCCCGCCACCATGCCCGGCTAATTTTTTGTATTTTTAGTAGAGATGGGGTTTCACCATGTTAGCCAGGATGGTCTTGATCTCCTGACCTCGTGATCCGGAAGTTAATAAGATATTTTTGCTTGGTAGGTAGAAGAAATTATAGAGCTGTTTTGCACAGATATAAAATGAAAATTTAAAAAAATTGATTCAGCAAAAGTGCGTACATATAAACTTCTAAAACTAAACCTAACAAATTCTGTACAAGATATCAATTGGGATATTTAAAAAACCCTACTGAGTAATAATAGAAGACAGTAATTAAAGAAGACAGTGAATTAACTGAATCAATTTACCAGGATCCTGGCTTGGATGGTTCAATATAATAATGACATTAATTTCCTACAGTACTCTAAGAACTCAAACACATCTCAATTAAATGTTTATCAAGCATTTTTGCAACACATAGTAAGCCAATTTTAAGCCTTATATTGAAATATGAAAGAGAAAAAGTAGCTATGACACTCTAAATAAGAATAATAAGCAGAGAGAATTTCCTTAGCAGATATTAAGACTTATGTTAGAGTTATTTTAATTAAGAGAGTCGAGATGTTGAGACAGGGTAGTAAACTAGAACTTGGGAACAGAATAGAAAGCCCTGAACGTATGTAGAGCAGAGGCAACATTACAGATCAGTGGGTAAAGGAAAACGATTTAGAAAATAATTTAACAACAATTGGTTATCTATCTGGAAAAATGCAATTGTACTCATCTCTTGTAAAAAAATGTGATTGTACTCATCTCTTTACAGTAATATAGTAGAATATCTTCATTACTTTAGTGTAGGGAAAGATTTTTATGCAGGTTACAACAAAGTATTAACCCCAGGGTAATCTTTGACAGGATTAAAGACATTAAAGTTGAGCTCCCAGATTATTTGGGGTTTTCCATTCCCCAGTGGACAGCGATAAATGACTAAATGTTCCTCTGGGAAAGTCCTGTAAAAAGAATTTATCTCAGAGTGAATTATAGGGTCCTTTCTCAAGGGCACCAGCCTTCTGCTTATTTGAGGGGCTCTGACATATCAGCTGGCTTTGGTGTAGCTACTGGATAAGAATTTCTGAATATCCAGGACTCAAGGTTGGTGACTGCTCAGCAGACCTAGCAGTTTTTATACCTGTATGTGTCATGTGGCACCTTAATGCCTTGGTAAGGGGGGCATCCTCTCAGCCCTCCCGGGAGATGTGGTTAGGAGATGTTAAGTAGGTTGCACATAATGGATACATTCCCACTTTTCCGTCTCTCTGAGCTGTGTTCAGACACTTTCCTCTGCAGTATGCCTGTGATAGGGATTCTGTTGATATAGGCTAGTGGTTTTCACAAACTGTTGCATATAGCAAAATCTGGAGAGATGATTTGTTTTAATAAACTCAAGGCTCTAGCCTGTTAAATTAGAATAATATCTGGGCCTGTGTAGTTTTGCTACAATTCCCAGATGATTTTGATACATACCAAATATTGAGAACCACTGCTTTGAGCTACTAGTTTTTAACTTGGCTGTTGATTGGAGTCAAACCTGGAGAGTTTTAGGAACAATACTGTTTCCAGGATCCTACTTTTGATGAATTAGATTTCATTGGTTTTACATGTTGATCTAGACCTGGGGCTATTTAAAATCTCCCACGTGATGGAAAGCGCAGTCGAATTTGAGAAACACTGTGCTAGGCCACAGTTGAATTCGGGTTTTAATTAGCTAACCTGGCTGACTATTAACATCACTCTTAGGTGTTCAAAATAACACATTTAATCTAAGATACTGGGTGAAGATCCCATATTGATGAATCCAGGCCAATCACATCTCATTTCTCCCTATGTCAATACTGAAAGCTATGGGGAGAAATCCCTCCAACCAGTGCTCCTCATCACTCTCTCCGTGATGATGCTCCCATTTAGCCGATCCCAAATAAAAGCCAGAAAGCAAGGCTGCCTTTTGTGGTCCAGCAGGCCATGCAGCACAGTGTCCAGGACACGGAGCAGGGAGAGTACATGGAGCGTGGATCAGGAGTGCACAGAGAAGATACCAGCAGACCTGCCCTCTCCATTGCACTCAAAATCACACTGGATTTCCTAGCTAGTGCAATCAGGCAACAGAATATATCAACTACATGAATTAATAAAAGCTTTAAGCAAAGTCATTGAATTAAAACTATATAAAATTATTTATATTTATACATACCACAACCAACACTGAAATTCAACAAAGAAAGAGATACTGTGAACACTAGCACCATATTTCAAGATCTTTGGAATAAATCTACTAAAAGATGCACAAGTAAAACCAGCAATACTTTATTTAAGAGTATTTAATAAGTAAACATTACATGTTCATGAATTATAAGTCTCAATGTGGCAAAATTTGTCAGTGCTCTCCAAATCTGATTACTGAATGAAATCTCTATTAAAAATAAAATTGTTAAAGGTACTTGGAAAGGTGCCTGTCAAGCTAGGAAAGTTGCCAATGATAGAAAAAACACTCCTGAAGTGAAAACTCAAAATTTATGGATTTACTTCATTGTATAGAGAGACATATTATAAAGCCGTGGATTATCTTGGGATGATGAAAATATTCTAAAATTAAATATGCAGATTTAAAACTCTGAATATGTGAAAAACCATTGAATTGTATACTTTAGTTGGGTGAGTAGTATGTGATTTATATCTCAATAAAGTTTAATGAGGAAAACATAATGAGATATTTTGAAAAATGCACTAGAATTTCTATATTAAAATTACTGAGTTTTCCAAACACTGATGAGAATACAGACCATCAAGATCTACCACACATTGCTTGCCACAGCCACTTTATCTAGCAGTGTGGCATCATCTCTTTGAGTGGGATATCATACACATATACCAGTAACTCCACTCCTAGGTGTATAATTTTGACAGATATGTGCCCATTGTGCCAACAGACTAGTGCTAGAAGGCTTGTAACAGCATTGCTTGTAATTTTAAAAAATCTGACAACAAATGAAATGACCATAAACGAGAGAAGGGTTAATTTAATATATGATGTATTTATTCAATGAAATGTTACAAATAATAAACATGAATACTCTACAGACACCTATAAAAACTTAGCAAACATACATTTGATCTAAAATGAGGTCTTGTAAGAATATACACAGCATGATTCCATTTGTATGAAAAATTCAAAATTTATATAAAGTTTGAGATAACCTGTGTTGTTTTAGAAATATATGCATGGGGTAAAGCTTTAAAGAAAGACATGAACAGGATTACTATGAAATCAGAATGAGGGTGAACTCTAACGACAGAAAAGGGATTGTTATTGCTATGGGAACTGGTATGAAAACTTCTGGGTTTTTTTTCTGAGTTTTGTTTCTTTTTCACACGGATCTTCCCTTTAAAACCATGTGTTAAAATGTAAATGTAATTCAAGCCCTTCACTTTTGGTTGTAACTTAACAGTGTAAAACTGGTTTTAAAAAAAGTAATGTTAATTATTTATCTGTAGTTGGAAAAATTAACCTTTACTCACAAAAGAGATGGATTTCCCCCTACACCACTCATCAGAGAAGAGACCATGAATTGGAATGGGAACTCGGAATTGTCATCATCCTATAATTCTACTCAGGATTCTGTCCTTAAAACATTGGCACACTGCTGTCCAGCTCCCTTCTGTAGTGATGGAATGCCTATATCTGTGCTGTTCATTACGTCAGTCACCGGCCACCCATGAATTCTGAGTATTTGAAATGTGGCTAGTACAAATGAGAAACTGGGAAAACTGACTTTTAAAATTAATATAATTTTAATTGATTTAAGTGTAAATAGTGTCTTGTGGACAAGGCAACATTACAAAAACAAAATGCAGCACCCGCTGTCTCTGTCTTTTTGTTCAGCCATGCATCGTGTGAATGACAGCTTCATTGTTACTAACTTTGAAAAGACCCCATTTCGAAGAAAAATGGAATTTCAGCTTCTTCAGGGGTGAGACTTTCTTGAACTCAGCATCTAATAAAATACCCAAACCACATGAAAGGACCCTGTTTATCTCTGTTCTCTCTGGGTATAGAAAAACATGCTGAATTCTTATTTGTATGCGAAATAAAGGGGTTTTCAATGGGAAATTTTTCTGTAAGGTGAGAAATTTATTCTAAATATAGTTCTCTAATTTCAAATGTTTTATCCAAGTTGCTTATAATTATTACTGTTTGGCTACTATAGTGTAAATATTTTTCAAATCATCTGAAATTTAAAAATATAGCAATATAATTCTATGCTGTGTGTGAAAAGGATTAAAAACAAGGTAAGCCTGTGTTAGCTTGGTAAATTATCACAATATAAGAGTGTTGTACAATGTACCAAGTTTAATGTAAAAGATGATGAACACCTCACACAGCCTGTTAAATTAATCAGAAACATTTCACTGTGAATGTGGAAGGGAAGATGAACAGAATTTTAAACACATTGGGTGTGTACAGAGGATCAGAATCTTGAATTTAGCATCACTTTTATATATTTTTTATTTACGTAGAGAGACTTTAGCACTTACTACGTCTCAGGCACTTTTCTAGATGCTTTTGATGCATTAAAACACATTTAATCCTTGTATCAACTTTAAGAAGTAGCCACCATGCTAATCCCAATTTACGGGTGAGTAGTAACTTTGCGTAACTCCAGCCAAGGGCGTGATAAGCTTTTACAGTTCTTTTGTAGTTTTTATTCCTAAAACATGTCTTTCATTCATCTTTTTTCTAATTAATGTTCAAATGTATCTAGCAACTGGTTATGTTTTGTAGGATAATTTTTTTGTCATTCATTCTACAATGATTTAGCTTAGCATTAAAAGTTTATGGAATTTCCTTTTAGTTTGTAAACTAGAAACAAGGTAGGCATTTACTTCTTGTTGATATTCCCCAAACTTCATTGTACACAACAGCTTCTCTCAAATAGGATCTCACAGAATCAGTTCAAGGTTGAACTCCTAACACTAAAATTTTACATTAAAATTGTATTCTCTGTTGCCCAGGCTGGAGTGCAGTGGCACCATCATAGCTTGCTGCAGCCTTGAACTCCTGGGCTGAAGGAACCTCCTGCCTCAGGCTCTTGAGTAGCTGGGACTACAAGGCATGCATCACCATGCCTGGCTTGATATTTTCTTTTATCAGATAGCAGAGTGAAGCACTTGCATTACAAAAATAAAATACATAAAAATTACGATGACTTTGCCAATCTAACATATGACTTCAAATGGTAGTGGTTAAATTAGGAGCCAGTCAGCCACTTTCAAACATGTTTTTCAAAATGAAATTTTAAAGACAGTGTCATTGTTTACTTCTACTACTACTCATAGGTTTAGCTGTGGTCCTGCTATAGAGTTTGTTAAGAAAACTTCCCTGAGTTGTTTTAAATGGTCTTTTGAAAGCCAAACGCTGCAATCCTATAATCATTGGAATTGGGAACAAACGATACGTTTCTAGGCTTTATTTTATTATAACTTAAAATCTTAGTGATGGTAGGATTATTTTTCCTTATTGATTTTTTCTAATATATTTAAAGCATTGATAATTGTGTTCAGTCAGTTGTATTTTATGCTGAATCATTTGACCATGTGAGGAAAGCAGATTTTTAGACTTTTAGCCCATCTTGACCAGAGGGATCAGTAAAAACCTGGAATGAAGAATTTCTTCCTGTGCACACCTTTTTTCTTGTGTGCATTGCCCCTCATTCACACTTCTGCACGTTCATACATTTGTGATTGCACTTTTTTGTATTAATTTGGAATCATTTATTAATTCCACAGTCAAGTTAATAAAATGGTTAAAAATAAATTTTACATGAATTTTTTCAAAATTCATTACTTGATCCATTTATTCATTCTAAACCCATGTCAAATACCATTCTTTAAACCTCATCGTGTATTAAAGTTGCTTTCATTTATTAATTCAATCAAATGGCATTGAAATTTGTAGCAAGAGGCATCTAAGAAGGCAGAATGTTTCTATCTGTTCTGGGATTAACAGGGGTAGAAAGATGTGAAAGGCAGATGGAAAAGAGGCCTCAGAGAGGCAGCCCAGATATAATGACACCTGCCTCCCTGGCCAGAAGCCAGCTTCCAGGATTCAGGATTCAGGAATAAAGTGTCCCAATATTCAGAAGGTTTCCTGGTCTCTCTTGAATTCAGTGCTCATTTGGCCAGGGCTAAGACCCTCACACACTTTGGTTTGAGGATCCAAGCACAGAATGTGGCTGCCTCTGGGACATTTCATGCTAAAGAAGCCCAGCACGTATAGACAAAGGGTCTAGAGGGCACCAGCCACCCTTCCATGGAGCTCTGTTCAAGGCACCTCCCCGTGCTCCATTACTTATGTTGGCCACGTCCTCAGGAGTTTAGAGAAATGGCCGTGTTGTCTCTGAGTGGAAGTGAGGGGAGGACACTAGGATAGTCAGGATTTTGAATCCCTGTGTCCTTTCCCTCCATCTCTACCAGAGACCACTTGTGGAAAAAAAAGACACGAATGTCAGAGGTGAATCCAGGCCCATGGATCCATTGTGGTCAGGGGACTGAAGCCAAGTGGCCCAACAGTGATGAAGTCTATGAGGCCTTGGTCACCCCAAAGCTTCCCCCATTAGGAGCTGCCTCTTACTGCCATCAGGGACCCCAGGAGCTGGACATGGCATTCTTTGTCATTTTTCATGAGGAGCTGGAGAGGTCCCAGAGCATATAGACCTTGATTGAATTGGAACCAGAGAGAAGTCAGGTAAAACTCTCCATTGGGCAGTATAATATGTTTGTTTTAATTTGCTAGAGCTGCCATAACAAAGTACCACACGCTGGGTGACTTAAACAACAGAAATTCATTGTCTCACAGTTCTGGAGGCTGGAAGTTTAAGATCATGGTGTTGGCAGTGCTGATTTCTTCTAAGGCTTCTTTCCTTGGCTTGTAGATATGTTCTCTCTATGTCTTCACATGGTCATTCCTCCGTATCTGTCTGTGTCTAATCTTCTCTTTTTATAAATACACTAGTCACATTGAATTAGGGCACACTCATATGACCTCATTTTACCTTAATGACCTCCTTAAAGACCTCTCCATATGCAGTCACTTTCTCAGGTACTGGGGGTTAGGACATCAACATGCCAATTTTGGGGGGATACAATTTAGCCCATAACAGTCTGATTATCCTTGAGATTGCATTTTCTAAAGAATAAAATAGAGTAAATCTCTTTGGCTCTTGATACTCTGAAATTTTGTTCTTGCAATGAGAATAAAAAAACGGAGAGCCAAAGGTTGGTGTCACCCAGAAGGTGAGCCCTCCCTAACTCTGGCTGCCCCAAGACCTGGTGCTGTGTCATACCAGAAAGCCTTGCTCCATTCTAGTGATTCCGGTACCAGCCTTTCAACTGGAAAGAGGATGCTTTCCCAGGGGAACAACTTCTCCTGCTGTGCTGGCTTATTTTCTTTGTATTTGGAGGACAAAAAAGTTGATGTAATAAAAAGAACATATTTGTCAAATTTTGGTGGTAATCATTTTGATATCCTTATCAATACCCCATATTGTAATGAATATGTTGGCTTCATTTTGGTGGAAGGGACATGACACTGGTCCTTTTGAGCCAGAATGTTCTAGGCCTTTCCATGGGATTCAGTTTCTGCCATGGTGGATAAGGGGAGAGCTCTTGGTGTAGGGTTTGGTCTTTATAATGAACCATGCTGTTTGGGCAGCGGGTTTATCTCTGGAAGCGTGAAGGTTAGGCTGGAGTGCGATCCTCCTCCCCATTCGAAAGGACAAGGTAGAGCAGGTTCTTGTTCAGGGTGCAGTGAGTGAGAGAAGGGAAAGTGACAGAGCATTCTTTCACCTTTTTGTGACATGCATGCATCCAAGTCTCTGGTGTTTTAAATAATTGAAACTGAGATCTAGTTCCACTTATCTATAAAGTAGAACTGTGGAGAGGGAAGTGTACCATCCCCGCCACTGGAGAGATCCCTGAAGAGAGATTTGTGAGCCCCCATTTTATCGAAAATGACACAAAATTTCATCAAAATAAAGTGAAATTGTGGCTGTAGATGGGGCTTTATTTAGAGCTTCGACTCCCCACCTGCTTCCTAAGACATGATCCTTCCCCAGGATACTATAGAATCACAGGGCTTAGACTGGAGGGGTAAGGCGTGATGGTGTTCTTCCTTTCTGGCAGACAGGATGTTTTGGATTGCATGTATTTTCCAAAGACAGCTGCAAAAATATCTAAATATCTTCCATCACACTTGCTTTTCTTTAGTTTGACCCACCACTCCCTCATCAAGAGGTAAGGTCTCTCCACTCTTTAAACATAAGCAGATCTGATATTTGCGCTACCCAATAGAATACGGCAGAAGTATGCTTGTGTCAGTTCTGGGCACTGCTGTTAACCATCCTGCCTGCATCTGGTTCCTTCCATTTCAATCCCTGGACCATGTAACACTCTCAGGCCATCATCTGAACCCAGCCAACACATAGAACCCTATGAGAGATCATTAAAAATTCTTAGTTACTATTTTCATGAATATCCTTCTCTATCCTTCCAATTTCAACTTCCGAGTGTCGTTAGATCCAAAGTGAGAATCTTTTTTTTTTGAGACGGAGTCTCACTCTGTTTCCCAAGCTGGAGTGCAGTGGTATGATCTCAGCTCACTGAAACCTCTGCCTCCCCAGTTCCAGCAATTCTCCTGCCTTAGCCTCCCTTGTAACTGGGATTACAGGCACCTGCCACTATGCCCGGCTAATTTTTTTCTATTTTTAGTAGAGACAGGGGTTTCATCATGTTGGCCAGGCTGGTCTCAAACTCCTGACCTCGTGATCCGCCCGCCACAGCCTCCCAAAGTGCTGGGATTACAAGTGTGAGCCACTGTGCCCAGCCAGATTCTTTTTATTCTATCCATTGTGATAATCTCTGAATTCTGATTGGGGAGTTTAATCCATTTACGTTTACATTTAAAGTAATTACTGATAAGGAAGGATTTACTTCTGTAATTGTGATGTTGGTTTTATGCATGTCTTATAGCTGTTTCGTCCCTCATCTCCTTCATTCAAACCTTCTTTTGTTTTTAGTCATTTTTCATTTAGTCGATTTTTTTCTAGTGATATGTTTTAACTGCCTTCTCATTTTCTTTTGTGTATATTTTATGTATTTTTTTGTGTGATTACTGTGGTATTATATATAACAATACAGTTATAACAATCTTGAACTGAAATCAATATGAAACTCTGCTTCTTTACATCTTTTCCCACCCCTCATTTTACGTTATTGACGTCACAAATTACACCTCAGCAGGCTGGAAGGCTGGAAAGTCATAATGTTGCAGCCTTCAATCTAAAATTTGTAGACCAGGCTGGCAGATTGGAAACCTAAAGTGTAGTTGCTACTGTCATCTTGAAGCAGAATTTTTTCTTCTCTGGGAAGACTCACATTTCGCCCAAAGGCCTTCAAGTGATTCAAAAAGTCCCACCCACATTTTTTAGGGTAATTTCCTTTTCATGAAATCAACTGATATCAGATTTTAATCACAACTGCAAAACACCATCATATCAACATATAAATTTAGTGTTTGATTAAATAACTAGGTGCTATGGTTTGGTAAAATTGACACATAAGACCCACCATCCCAGTCCATGCTTGTGAACTTGGCACCCACTAACATTTTCCTTAAACCTTACTTCGTCTCCAAATAAAAACAGCTATAAAGTCTTACTTTTGCCAAAGATGATACAATTAACTTGCATCCAACTAGAAACACACTAACCCTTTCCACAGAAAAAGATTCTCTTTGATATACTGTAACCTAAATACCATGCGTAATAAAAGTTAACTTTTATTAATAAAAGGGAATTATTGTTAGCACATCTTATGTTTTATTACAGATGATCAGGAAAGATGAAAAGAAAGGTATTTGCTCAATACATGTAAGGATACATACACACAGACATAAATATCATTATAAAAACATAAAGAAGTAATGCTGATAACGTTTACTGTCTTTATTTCTGTAAGTTCTCACATGGTTACAGCTGGTTATTTATTTATTTATTTATTTATTTATTTATTTGAGACAGGGTCTTGTTCTGTTGCCCAGGCTGGAGTGCAGTGGCATTACCTTGGCTCACTGCAAACTCTACCTCTTGGGCACAAGTGATCCTCCTACCTCAACCTCCTAAGTAGCTGGGACTACAAGCACACCACCAAGTCTAACTAATTTTTTGTATTTATTTTCAGTAGAGATGCAGTTTCAGCATTTTGCTCAGGTTGGTCTCACATTCTTAGACTTAAGCAATCCACCTGCCTCAGCCTCCCAAAGTACTGGGATTACAGGCATGAGCCACTGTGCTGGCCACAACTAGTATTTATAAATACTTTTTTGTTGTTTTTCACTAACCATCCCATATTCCCATTGCTTTCAGCAAGTCCCTCAGCTGATCAGGTTTCTTTTCCTGCTTGAATGACTTAAACCTTCATTCCTGAAGGGTATGGGTCATTAGTAGTCCTACCTGACCTGGGTTGTTGTAGTTTTTATTGACTTTAGTTATAGGGCAGAGTATTACTAAGAGATGCTCTAAAAGACCTCCTGTGTTCCAGACATAGTCCTATTTACCGCCATTGTGTAGTAGCTGACCAATTCCCCCTGATGACCAAGACCAATCACCCCAGACAGTGCAGTAACTCCTTCCTTTGTTGATTCAGAATTATGAGGAGCTGAAGGGCCCAGGTGGCTGTCTTAGCTTCCACCTGAATGGTTCATTTCTGTGTCTCCTGTAGGAGCATTCCTCCTTTTGTAAACCTCTAGATCCTGATCCTGTTCCTCTTGACTGGGCAAGATCTCCCAACCAGGGTCTCCAGCACCTCCTACAGGTGTGTTCAGGCTAGCAACAGGTCTGTACTTTTCCTGGAACAGACCTCCCAGAAGAAGGGGCAGACTGCCATCTTTCCTGTTACATAGCCTTCACTGGTGATACCTTCAGGTACTGGAAAATCTGAGGCAACTAGGGACTGGAGCAGGCCCCCAGCAAACTGTAGCAGCCCTGCAGAAAAGTGGCCAGACTGTTAAAAGAGAAAACAAAAGAAGAGAAAAAAAAATCCACTCAAAGGTCAGCAACCTCAAACATTGAGGGTAGATAAGCCCACAAAGATGAGAAGAAATCAGCAAAAGAATTTGATAACCAACCTGACAGAGCTGAAAAACACACTATAAGAATTTCATAGTGCACTCACAAGTATTAATAGCAGAATAGAGCAAGTGGAGAAAAGAATCTCAGTGCTTGAAGACTGGCTTTCTGAAATAAGACAAGAAGACGAGACTAGAGAAAAAAGAATGAAAAGGAATGAACAAAACATCTGAAAAACATGGGATTATGTAAAGAAACTGAATATATGAATGATTGGTGTACCTGAAAGAGATGGGGAGAATGGAACCAATTTGGAAAACATTTCAGGATATGATCCATGAGAACTTCCCCAACCTAGCTAGACAGGCCAACACTCAAATTCAGAAATGCAGAGGACCCCAGTAAGTTACTCCATGAGAAGATCATCCCCAAGATAAATAATCATCAGATGCTCCAAGGTTAAAATGAAAGAAAAAATATGAAGGGTATCCAGAGAGAAAGGCCAGATCACCTACAAAGGGAAGCCCATCAGACTAACAGTGGATCTCTCAGTGGAAATCCTATAAGCCAGAAGAGATTGAGGGCCAATATTCAACATTCTTAAAGAAAAGAGTTTCCAACCCAGAATTTCATATCCAACCAAACTAAGCTTCATAAGCAAAGGAGAAATCAGATTCTTTTCAGGCAAACAAATGCCAAGGGAATTCATGACTACCAGACCTGCATTACAAGAACTCCTGAAGGAAGCACTAAACATGGAAAGACAGTTACCAGTCACTACAAAAACACAATGAAGTACACAGACTAGTGACACAATAAAACAACCACATAAGCAAGTCTGCAAAGTAACTAGTTAACATCATGATGACAGGATCAAATCCATACATATCAATACTAACCTTAAATGTAAATGGGCTAAATGCCCCATTTAAAAGACATAGAGTGGCAAGCTGGATAAAGAACCAAGACTTATCAGTATGCTGTCTTCCATATACCCATTTCACACGCAATGACGTACATAGGCTCAAAATAAAAAGATGGAAGAAAATTTACCAAGCAAATGGAAAGCAGAAAAAAAGCCAGGGTTGCAACCCTTGTTTCTGACAAAACAGTTGTTAAACCAAAAAAGATAGAAAAAGACAAAGAAGGGCATTACATAATGGTAAAGGGTTCAATTCCACAAGGAGATCTAACTATCTGAAATATATATGCATCCTGTACAGGAACACCCAGATTCATAAAGTAGGTTCCTAGAGACCTTCAAAGAGACTTAGAATCTCACACAATAGTAGTAAGAGATTTTAATACTCCACTGACAATATTAGACAGATCATCAAGACAGAAAATTAACAAAGATATTCAGGACCTGAACTCAGCCCTGGATCAAATGGACCTGATAAATATCTACAGAAGTCTTCACCCCAAAGCAACAGAATATACATTTTTCACATTGTCACATGGCACTTACTCTAAAATCGATCACACAATTGGAAGTAAAACACTCCTCAGCAAATGCAAAAGAACTGAAATCATAACACTTGGACCACAGTGCAATCAAATTCAAAATAAAGACTAAGAAATTCACTCAAACCATACGATTACATAGAAATTGAATAACCTGTTCTTGAATGACTTTTGGGTAAATAATGAAATTAAGGCACAAATCAAGAAGTTCTTTGAAGATAATAAGAACAAAGATACAACGTACCAGAATCTCTGGGAAACAGTGAAGGCAGTGTTAAGAGAGAAATTTATAGCATTAAATGCCCACATCAAAAAGTTAGAAAGATTTCAAGTTAACAACCTAAAATCACAACCAAAAGAACTTGAGAACAAAGAGCAAACATATCCCAAAGCTAGCAGAAGACAAGACGTAATAATAAAAAATTAACAAAGGTATTGTCTCCTGAAGGAGACAGAGACATGAAAAACCACTCAAAAGATCTACGAATTCAGGAGTTTTTGTTCTGTTTTGTTTTGGTTTTGTTTTTGTTTGTTTGTTTTTGTTTTTGTTTTTGTTTTTTTTGAGATGGAGTTTCACTCTTGTTACCCAGGCAGGAGTGCAGTGGTGCGATCTCAGCTCACTGCAACCTCCGCTTCCCAGGCTCAAGTGATTCTCCTGCCTCAGCCTCTCGAGTAGCTTGGATTATAGGCATGTGTCACCATGCCCGGTTAATTTTTTTGTATTTTTAATAGAGATGAGGTTTCTCCATGTTGGTCAGGCTGGTCTTGAACTCCTGACCTCAGGTGATCTGCCTGCTTCAGCCTCCCAAAGTGCTGGGATTATAGGCGTGAGGCCACCGCTCCTCGCCTAGGTTTTTTTTAAATTAATAAAATCAATAGACCCCTAGCTAGGCTAGTAAAGAAGAAAAGAGAGAAGATTCCAGTAAACACAATTAGAAACAATAAGAGGGACATTACCATTGACCCCACAGAAATTCAAGCAACCACCAGAAAATATTATGAACACCTCTATGCAAATAAACTAGAAAATCTAGAAGACAAGGATCAATTCCTGGATACATACACCTGCCCCCTCCATGACTGAACCAGGAAGAAATTGAATCACTGAACAGACTAATAATGAGTTCTGAAATTAAGGCAGTAATAAACAGCCTACCAACCAAAAAAAACCCAGAACCAGATGATTGACAGGCAAATTCTATTAGATGTACAAAGAAGAGCTGGTACCATTGCTACTGAAACTATTCCAAAAAAAAAAAAAAATGAGGAGGAGAGACTTCTCCCTAACTCATTCTATTAGGCCAGCAACATCCTGATACCAAAATGTGGCAGAGATACCACAACAACAAAAAAGAAAACCTCAAGCCAATATTCCTGATGAACATCGATGCAAAAATCTTTGACAAAATGCCGGCAAGCCGAATCCAGCAGCACATCAAAAAGCTTATCCACTACAATCAAGTAGACTTCACCCCCAGTATGCAAGGTTTGTTCAACAAGTGTAAATTTAAAAATGTGCCTCGTTATACAAACAGAACTAAAGACCAAAACCACATGATTATCTCAGTAGATGCAGAAAGGGCTTTTGATAAAATGCAACATCTATTCATGTTTTAAAAAACTCTCAATAACCTAGATAGTGAAGGAACACACTTCAAAATAATAAAAGCCAATTATGACAAACCCACAGCGAGCATCATACTGATGGGCAAAAGCTGGAAGCATTTCCCTTGAAAACTGACACAAGACAAGGATGCCTTCTCTCACTACTCGTATTCAACATAGTATTGGAAGTTCTGGTCAGGACAATCAGGCAAGAGAAATAAATGAAGGTATTCAAATAGGAAGATAGGAAGTCAAACTATTCCTGTTTGCAGCTTACATGATTCTATAACTAGAAAAACCCAGTCTCAGCCCAAAAGCTTTTAAAGCTGATAAACAACTTCAGCAAAGTCTCAGGATACAAAATCAATGTGAGAAAATTACTAGCATTTCTACACACCAACAACAGGCAAACTGAGAGCCAAATCAGGAAAGAACTCCCATTCACAAATGCCACAAAAAGAATACAATACCTAGGAACACAGCTAACTTGGGAGGTAAAAGGTCTCTATAAGAAGAACTATAAACCACTGTTCAAAGAAATCAGAGATGATGCAAACAAATGGAAAAACTTCCTATGCCCATGGATAGGAAGAATCTATATTGTGAAAAAGGCCATACTGCCCAAAGCAATGTATAGATTCAATGCTATTCCTGTCAAACTGCCACTGACATTCTTTTTTTTTTTTTTTTGAGATGGAGTCTTGCTCTGTCGCCCAGGCTGGAGGGCAGTGGCGCGATCTCGGCTCACTGCAAGCTCTGCCTCCTGGGTTCACGGCATTCTCCTGCCTCAGCCTCCCAAGTAGCTGGGACTACAGGTGCCCACCACCATGCCCAGCTAATTTTTTGTACTTTTAGTAGAGACAGGGTTTCATCCTGTTAGCCAGGATGGTCTCGATCTCCTGACCTCGTGATCTGCCTGCCTCGGCCTCCCAAAGCGCTGGGATTACAGGTGTGAGCCACCGCGCCCGGCCACTACCACTGACATTCTTCACAGAACTAGAAAAAACTATTTTAAAATTCACCTGAAGCCAAAAAAGAGCCTGAATAGCCAAGGCAATCCTAAACAAAAGGAACAAAGCTGGAGGTATTACACTACCTGATTTTTTTTTTTGAGACGGAGTCTCTACCCTGTTGTCCAGGCTGGGATGCAATGGTGTGATCTCAGCTCACTGCAACCTCCGCCTCCTGGGTTCAAGTGATTCTCCTTTTCTCAGCCTCCTGAGTAGCTGGGATTACAGGCACGTGCCACCACGCCCAGCTAATTTTTTATATCTTTAGTAGAGATGGGTTTCACCTTGTTGACCAGACTGGTCTCAAACTCCTGACCTCATGATCCACCTGCCTCTACCTCCCAAAGTGCTGGGATTACAGGTGAGAGCCACCATGTCCAGCCTATGCTACCTGATTTCAACTATACTTCAAGGCTACAGTAACCAAAACAGCATGGTACTGGTACAAAAACAGACATATAGAGCAATGGAACAGAATAGAGAACCCAAAAATAAGACCACACACCTACAACTATGATCTTTGACAAACCTGACAAAAACAAGCAATGGGGAAAGGGTTCCCTATTCATAAATAGTGCTGGGATAACTGGCTAGCCATATGCAGAAGATTAAAACTGAACCCCTTTCTTACACCATATACCAAAATCACCTCAAAATGAATTAAAGACTTAAATGTAAGATCCAAAACTGTAAAAACCCTAACACAACCTAGGCAATACCATTCAGGACATAGGCATGGGCAACGATTTCATGACAAAGACGCCAAAAGCAAGTGCAACGAAAGCAAAAATTGTCAAATGGGATCTAATTCAACTAAAGAGCTCTGAACAGCAAAAGAAACTATCAACAGAGTAAACAACCTACAGAGTGGGAGAAAACTTTTTGCAAACTATGCATCCAACAAAAGTCTAATATCTATAAGGAACTTAAACAAATTTACAAGAAAAAACAAAACAACCCCATTAAAAAGTGGGCAAAGCATAAGAACAGATACTTCTCAAAAGAAGACATACATGCAGCCAACAAACATGAAAAAATGCTCAACATCACTGATAATTAGAGAAATGCAAATCAAAACCACAGTGAGATGCCATTTCACACCAGTCAGAATGACTATTATTAAAAAGTCAAAAAATAACAGATGCTGGCAAAGTTGTGGAGAAAAAGGAATACTTATACACTGTTGGTGGGAGTGCAAATTAGGTCAGCCATTGTGGAAGACAGTGTGGTGATTTCTCGAAGACCTAAAGACAGAAATACCATTATACCCAAAGGAATATAAATCATTCTATTACAAAAACATAGGCACACATATGTTCATTGCAGCACTATTCACAATAGCAAAGACATGGAATCAACTTAAATGCTCATCAATTATAGACTGGATAAAGAAAATGTGATACATGTATACCATGGAATACTATGCAGCCAGAAAAAGGAATGTGATCATGTCCTTTGTAGGGACATGGATGGAGCTGGAAGCCGTTATCCTTAGCAAACTAATGCAGAAACAGAAAACCAAATACTGCATGTTCTCACTTATAAGTGGGAGCTAAATGATGAGAATGCATAGAGACATAGAGGGGAATAGCACACACTGGAGCCTTTCAGAAGGTGGAGGGTGGGAGAAAGAAGAGGATCAGGAAAAATAAGTAACGGGTACTAGGCTTAAAACCTGGGTGATTAAATAATCTGTGTACCAAACACCCACAACACAAGTTTACCCGTAAAACAGCCTGCACTTGTACCCCTGAACTGAAAATAAAAGTTAAAAAAAGGAACTGATCTGTGGATTTTGCCTGTTGCTGAGTAGGTCTGTTTCAATTATGCAAACCAGCACTGAGGAAATAATCACAGAGTGGTCAGGGGCCCACTGGAACCACTGTGAGAATGGTTCATGGATGTTAGGGCTTCAGGTTTTCTATTCTTCCTAGTTTAATCTTGGTAGGTTGTTTGTTTCCAGGAATTTATCCATTTCCTCCAGGTTTTCCAGTTTGTCAGTACAGAATTGTTCATAATAGTCTCTGACAGTCTTTTGTATTTTTGCAATATCAGTTGTAATGTTTCTCTTGTTTCTGATTTTGAGTCTGTTAGAAATTAAGCTTGAAGTCACAAAGAAAACGAACACTTGAACAAAGGATTTCTCAGCAAGGCAGTTTTTACTTCTGTGGAAGGGTGCTACCTGTAAGCCTGATTGCCATGAGAGCACCCAGAACAAGGGAAAGCAGGGGTTTTTATTCCTAACGCAAGTTGTTTCTACTATTGTGTCCTGTCTGCATTGGCTGGAGCTGGACTGCGCAGTCTAAACTGATCCCGGTTGACTAAAAACTTTAACTTTCCTAAAAAAGGTAAAGGTGCAATGGAGAACAAAGGAAAGGAGGGGGTCGCTTACGGGAAACCAGGAAGACAATAATATTTCTAAATAAGGAAAGGGCATAGGCTGCAAGCTGGGACATGTTTGGGCATGTCTGGTCAGATCCAGGCAGACTACGAGTTAGGCCTTGGTTCAAGTACAAGAACATAGAATGTGTTTATTTATTTACTGTATGTAACAACTACTTGGAGCACGATAAAGAGTCATTAGTAAATTAGAAGATTTGTTAGTATGAAGAGTGAGGGAAACTTAAAGAAAGCTTTTAAGAGGAACTATCTTCTTAACACTTATGTTAAACCAAAAAGGAAAACTTTGGAGAGGAACTTTTATTCTTTACAGCTTCCCCCTCTTGATTTTACAGTTCTTCCTCTTCAAATCTCCTTAACATATCTTTAGTTTGTTACTCTTCTTAATCAGTTAGAAGGGACAACTTATCCGAGTAAGGGGAGGAGAATTGAAAGGGGTTTTGGTAAGAGCCTTTTCAATAAGCCTTTGCACTAATCCACGAATGCAAGGTATAATACAACATTCTACAAGGATAAGTACACTGATTATGAGAGCCAGTGAGGTGAGAACTGAGGACATGAGTCCTTTCCACTTACCAAACCACCTTTCCATTAAGCTAGTGAAAGGATCATTTATTCCAGAGTTTTTAGCTAGTTCATTTGATAAAGCAGTAAGACCTTGTCATGCTTTTGTTATAGTTCAATCAGGGGCAGTATTATCAGGGATAAAAGTACAACATTGAGTTCCAATCATAACACAAACCCTGCCTTTTTCTGCTAGCATCATGTCTAGTGCTATTCTATTTTCCCAAGTCATCTGTCTGGTGGGTCCTAGTTGCTCAGCTATTCCCTCATAGCATCCCTTGTGCAATTAATGAATTATTGCTGATTGTAGTAAATATAATTTATCCAATCTACATTTTTTTTTTGAGATGGAGTCTCAGTCTGTCGCCCAGGCTGGAGTGCAGTGGTGCGATCTCGGCTCACTGCAACCTCCGCCTCCCAGGTTCAAGTGACTCTCCTGAGTAGCTGGGATTACAGTTGCATGCCACCACGCCCAGCTAATTTTTGTATTTTTAGTAGAGAAAGGGTTTCACTATGTTGGTCAGGCTGGTCTCAAACTCCTGACCTCGTGATCCACCCGCCTTGGCCTCCCAAAGTGCTGGGATTACAGACGTGAGCCACTGCACATGGCTATCCAGTCTACATTTTTATTGATAGCCACCCACCTGAATAATGACTTAAATCCTGCAGCTATTTGGTTTCAAGCTTTAAATTCATCTGGTACTCCAATAGCATCTATATAAACGCTGGGATCAAAAGACTCACAAGAACACTTCTTGTACTACGATGCCTGGTTGTTAATTCTTTTGGCGAATGAAATGCCAGGGTGAAAGAGATAGCCAATTGAATCAGAGCACAAGTACCACTCCAGTTATTTGGCAGAGTGTCCCACAAAGGTCCACCGCAATACCACCATACATCTGCTTGGGGATGGATAAGGGCAGACTGATCGGTTAGCTCTTGGAAGTGCTTGACCTCCCTGCATCCCATGAGGTTTCCAAGGAAAGCCAAATTTTCTCCCTGTTGTGAGAGACACGAAGCAAATTTGGTCCCAGAAGATGGAGGCTGAATGGCCTTCGGGGGCTGACCTACGGGGTGCTGGACCACAGGGAATAGCAGAGAAAGTGTTTGACATGATTTATTACCCCAGGCTGTGGGGTCTTGGAGCAGAGCTACCATGCGGTCCGTATCTGGTCTATTACAAGACCATCTCAGTGGAAAGGGGATAATTTGGGCCTCTGATCTGCTGTGTGCCCAAGCATAACAATCTCTCTTATTTTGACTGTGGATGGAATATTTAATCCATTCCACCCAGGCATTTGCATCCTGAGACCCTGTTTCAATGGCTAGAGTTTGCCTCAGGTCTTTTACTTCTACTATAGCTACTTTGGCTTTGTCACTGAGTATAGGTGGGGTGATGGTTTGAGGAAGATGTGATAGAGAGGTGGAAGGGGCAACTTTCCCGAGATGTTGGCCCCTATGCCATAAATACGACTTAATGAAGGGGAAGAGTTTTGGGATGTTGCAATAGTAATAGTAAGCCAAATAGGATTACATTGGTTATATGGACAATTAGAAGAGGCAATCCCTTTTGTAAGATGGATATATGGCTTTAAGGACTGGCAAAGACTGGTGGGAGCAGTCCAGCCTGGACCTTTGGTGTTCCGTAGGACATTAGACCAAGTATAGCATATGGACTCTGTTTTAAGGGGACAAGAGTCCCATTCCCACCAGTTAATACAACTACTTTTTGGAGTTATCATGATCTTTACAAGAATTTGCTATATCTTTCCAATCTGAGGAAGTCCAAGACGGACGAAGATATTTAAATGAGGCAGTAAGCTCTTTGGTCCTGTAAATTTCCACAAGGCACGACTAGACAAGCATCAAAGGTAATAATTTTGGGCAAACTTGATCTAGTTACATTAATGATGAGATGGGGGCAGTTAAGGGAAAGAAAAGAAGAAAAAAGATAGATATATTAAGTTTTTCTTTTTATCGTTACTCTGGTGGGAGTTGACGGAATAACGGTCCATGTCTCCAGAGAAGGTGATGCCTTCTTGACTTGAGTATAATGAGTCCACCCTTTTTCAGTGGTCTGAACTGCTGTTTCAGTTGTTGTGAGCACCAGATAGGGTCCTTCCCAGGTAGGCTCAAGCTTTCCCTCTTTTCAGCCTTTGATAAGGACGTGATCTCTGGGTTGATGTTGGTGGGCCAGGAATTCAAGGAGTGGAGTCTGTGCTAGGAGACCTTGAGTCCTGAGGGAAGAAAGAGTGGAAGACAGACCAAATACATAATTTCTAAGGAACTGATCTTTTGTTTCGATCATAGGAAGGTCAGTAGTAGTGTTTAGATAAGGTAACCCACAAAGCATTTCATAAGGAGACAGGCCAAGATCCCTCCGAGGGAAAGTTTGGATTGTTAGTAAAGCAATGGGAAGAGATTTTGTCCATGGTAGCCAAGTTTCTAAGATTAATTTGGTTATGTGACTCTTTAAAGTTTGATTCATTCTTTCTACTCTCCCTGATGAAGGTGGAGACCAGGAAGTATGATATTCCCATTTTATCTCTAATACTTGGATTAGGCCTTTAATAATGTGCATGGTAAATTAGGTCCCATTATCTGAATCAATGTTCTCTATTATTCCAAACCTGGGTATGATATGTTCTAACAGAGCTTTGACCACGTTACTGGCTGTTGCACTTGGAAAAGGGATGGCTTCTACCCAGTGGGTAAGATGATCTACTATTACTGGTAAATACTTAAGGCGGCCTATTGGGGGCATTTCAGTAGAGTCAACTTGGACACTTTGAAATAGCCTTAACCTAGGATTTCTTCCTCCAGGAGGTTGTTTTTATAGGGTCTGCTTATTAGATTTTCTGCACACTATACAACTTTCCACCATTTGCTTGGCGAGGGTGTATATTCCTATGCACCCATAAACCCTAAGGACTGCATCACACATGGTTTGAGGACCCCAGTGAGATCCTTGATGAAGCTGTGACAATATTTCCCTCATAAGAGGTTTGGATAACATTTCTCTTCCATCTGGTAATACCCACTTTCCTTCTGAGTTTTCCTCAGCTCCTATTTTTTTTAGTTTTTCCTGATCTGCTTGAGAGAAGATAGGGAGTGCAGCTGAAGATGGAAGACAAGGGGTTAGTCAAAAAATGGGTTCTGCTGGAGAAGAGGCAGCTTGCTTAGCTATTTGGTCAGTGGGATTATTTCCCTCGCCTTCAAATGAAGGATTCTTTTGATGTCGTGGGACATGTACAACAGCTATTTCTTTTGGCAATTGTAAATTTTCTAGTACTTGTATTATTAGGTCCCCATGGTCTAAAATTTGACCTTTGCTGTTAATGAGGCCCCACTCAGTCCAAATTTTTCCAAAAGTATGGACTACTCCAAAGGCATACCTGGAGTCTGTATAGATTGTTCCTTCTTGATTTGCAGAAATTTTAAGGCCTGATTTAATGTGAACAACTCATATGTTTGTGCAGACCACTCATTTGGTAACCTTTCAGACTCTATTTCTGTGAGGGTATCTCCATCTATCATTGAATACCCGTTATGCATTTTTCCTTTGATTACTCAGGAGGAACCATCTATAAACAGGTGTTTCCCAGTCTGAAAGGGTGTTTCATTTAAAACAGGTCTAACTTCTGTTTGATAACTAATTAAATCTAAACATCTGTGCTCTGGGCAAAGATCAAGGGTCTGTGGGTTGGGGTTTCCTGTTAAGAAAACAGCTGGATTAATTGAGTCATCAGTGGTTAAGGTTAGATCATCTCTTTCTAACAAGATGGCTTCTTACTTTAAAATTCTTGAATCAGTAAGCCACCTTCCCGCCTTCTGATTGAGAATTGTTCTCACTTGGTGAGGAGCACTAATGATAAGATTTCCCCAAAGGTTAATTTTCTGCTGTCCTCTGTGAGCAAGGCTGTTGCTGCCACTGATTGGACACACTCGGGCCATCCATGGGCTACTGGGTCAAGAATTTTTGACAAGAAGGCTGTGGGTTGCCAATGGCCTCCATGTGTTTGAGTAAGTACCCCTAAGGCTACTCATTACCTACATTAACAAAAAGATGAAAGGGCAATTCTAAAGAGGGTAAGGCTAGAACATGGGCTGTCACTAGTAACTCTTAATTTTTTTACCTGCTGTATTTCTGGTAAAAACCATATAAGGGGGTCCAATTCATCCTGTGTAAGTTTTTTTATATAGAGGTTTGGTTACTAAAGCATAAGAGTCTATCCATAAGCGACAATACCCTACTAACCCTAAACATTTTCTAAGTTCCTTCTTTGTCTCAGGCAGAGGTAAGGATATGATGCCTTCAATCCATTCAAATCCAATTCTCTATTTGCCCTTACTGATTAAGTGCCCTAAATACTTGACTTCAGGTTCTACAAACTGAAGTTTGCTTTTTTGACACTTGTAACCCCTCCAGTTGTAAATTATTTTTTAAAAACCTATTGAAAATCCTTCTACTTTTTGTCTATCCTCCCCTGAAATAAGGATATTATCCATGCATTGGAGCAGGCATATATATGGTGGTTTGTAAAACTTTTCTATGATCTGTTCTAGTATTTGACCAAACAAATTTGGAGATTCTGTAAATCCCTGGGGCAAAACTGTCCATCGATACTGTTATTTTCAACCAGAGTGAGGGTCCTCCCATTCAAAGACTATCTTTGCTAGTGGGCAAGCCCAGAAGGCATCCTTTGGATCTATTACTGTGAACCACTCATGGTTGTATGGAATGTTACTAATAATAGTATAAGGATTAGGAACAACAGGGTGAGTTGTTCGAACTATTTGGTTAATAGATCGAAGATCTTGCACTAGCCGATATGACCCATCTGGCTTTTTCACAGGTAGTGTGGGAGTGTTATAAGGAGACATACAGGGTTCAATGAGTCCACAATGGAGAAGGCTTTCTATTATGGGCTTTAAATTGATCTTAGCTTCTAAGGGAATTGGTTATTGTTTTCTTTTTACCACTTCCCCCAGCTTTTTCAATTTAACTTGGATTGGGGAAATTCATAATTTTCCTCGGTTTCCTTCCTTTGACCATACATCTGGATGGATGTATCCCTCATTTAGAGTAGCAAGCAAATTTAAGGAAGGGAGGAGATTTCCTTGATTAACATAAAGGCCTAGGTTTAATTTTAGCATTAAATCTCTTCCTAATAGGTTTGTTCCTGCCTCCATTATTAACAGAAGTTTAATAGTTACTGAGTGGTTCTGATATTTAATTTTTGCTTCTTCGAAGACTTTTGCTTTAAACCCCTCCCCTTTTGCTCCCAAAATAAAAAGTTCTTCTTGTGACCAAGTTACACCAGGGGAAGATAACAAACTGAGGAATCAGCAGCTCCTGAGTCAGTTAAAAAGGTTTGGGTCCCACCTCTAAATTTATCAAGGGCTCTTGGTGGGACTCGAGGTAAAAAGAGTAGAGCCCCTTGCCCCCCATTCCTCTTCAAAGATCATAAGTGGGTGATTTCTTTTTCTTTTTTCCATTCAGGGCATTCTCTTTAAAGTGACCTTCCTTCCCACACTTGAAGCATTTATTCTGCCCTATTCCTCTTTTTATTCCCTTGTTCCCTGGTTTGATTCCTTTACCTCCATTATAGGGTCTGGCAGTCGGGTACCTAAAAGATTTACCAGTGACATTTCTTTGAGCTGTCTATTGGGGAGTTCCCTGCTGTAAGAACAGCATAATCTTTGCCTTGTCCTTTTACTTTTCTTCATCTCTTCGTACATACACCTTTTGGGCCTCCCTTAAGAGTTCCTCTATGGGACAGTCCTTCCAATTTTCTGTCTTTTGTAATTTCTTGGTAACATCTGGCCAGCTATTTGTGACGAAGTGAAGCTTTAACATTCCTTGTCCAAGTGGGTCTCCTCCATCTAAACCAGCATATTTCCTCATTTGTTCCTTAAGCCTGTTAAAAAATTCCATAAGCCCCTCATCTTTTCCTTGCTGTATATTAAAAGCTTTGGTCATATTCTGGGTGCAGGGTAACGATTCTCTAATTCCTTTTATTATCATTTCTTGCAGGTCTCTCATATTCCTCCTATGAGCTATGTTGTTATTATCCCACTGGGAATCTTGAGTAGGAAATTTCTGTTTGGCTGCAGGGACGTTTTGACCGGGAGGATGCTCACACTCCCAAATGGTCATAGCAGCCCTGTGCGTCATGCTCCTTTCTTCCCCTGAAAAAAGAATGCCTATGATGGACATTAACTCAGCCCAGTATACAACTGGAGTCCTAAAAATTGATGAATTTGATCTGTCACTACATAGAGATCGTCTAAGAGTGGCTTGAGTTCCCTCTTCAAGCTCCAGACTTCTGAACTGGTCAGGGGAGCATTTACAAAGGCAATGCCCCCTCCTCCTAGAGACACTTCCCTCAATGGGAAGTGGTTTGTAGCTGAACCCCTAGAAGAAGGGAGAAAATGGAAGTTTTGGATATCATTTTTACATTGTTCTAACTCACGTTGAAGTCTTCCTGAGGGAGGGCATTCAAGCTGGGGATGACCCCAAGAATCAGGGTTATAAGGAGGGAAAGAAAATCTGAGTAGGGGAAAGGTCTGGGACTGTTATATCTACTGGAGTGGGAGGTGGGGGATGTTGGTCTACTGGTTGGGGGGAAGAAGGTTTGGTGGGGGAAGGTGGTCTAAGGGGTCCCATGTGTTGGTGGGGTTCTTGGCGTAAGGGGTATTAATTTCATGAGAAGTAGTTTCTGGCTTCTCTCCTTTAGTTTTCAGATGACAAAGGAGGATGGGCCTTTGCCACCAACACAGAGCATAATGTATTTCCTCCTGGGAAACAGGACTTTTATCATTTACATATTCTATTAAAAGCTGGCAGTCCAATCCTCATTTGACCCGAATTTTGGCCAGAAAACTGAAGGCTTTAGAATAGGTTCCTTGGTCCAAATGAAACAATAATACTTTATCATCTGTTGCTTTTTCTTATGTTTAGTCCTCTCGTATCCTTCCAATATTTTAACATGAGTCCTAAAGGACTATCAGAGGTGATTTCACTGTCTGCCTTTTCCTTTTTACCTTCTGTCTTACTCAGGGTATTTCCCATGTTGAATACTGGTTAGGCTCAGTCCCTTGAACTAGAGATTTCTCACCTATCCTTCCCTGGAGGTTTAACCCCTATCCTGGAGGTTCCTTGCAATCTTCTCCTTCTGCTTCGTCCACTCTGGCTGCTTTCCCAGAGGAAATTAGGCTCCCCTTAGCATCAGCGGGATTGTATAAACCCCAATGTCAGGATCCCTACAAGAGGGCCACCATAAGCCATATGAGGTGACCACAGAACCACAGATTGGACTCACTCACTCCGCACAGCAGTAGTGCTTGTTACCTTTCACACCCTTTAACCTCCAGAATATGCCGACCACCAAGGAAATACTGTTGCCCTTGTGACTTTTTTTTACCTTGGTCTGTGCACAGTTACCTGGTCATCGCGGTACTTGCAGGCCTTCTCCTTCCACATTGCTGAGAGCCTGGATTTATTCGTCACAATGGGTAGTCTCAGTCTCCCGTCCCTGGGGCCACTGCAGTGGGGCAGTGGGGTGCACCTCCCCTAGATGGGGTGACCAAAGACCCCTTCCCAAAGAAGAATGGGAATAGTGGACGAGCCCCCAGAAAATTGTTAGAAATAAAGCTCGGAGTCACAAAGAAAACAAACACTTGAACAAAGGATTTCTCAGCGAGGCAATTTTTACTTCTGCAGAAGGGTGCTACCCATAAGCCTGATTGCCATGAGAGCACCCAGAACAAAGGAAAACAGGGGTTTTTATTCCTAACGCAAGTTGTTTCTACTATTGTGTCCTGTCTCCATTGGCTGGAACTGGACCACACAATCTAAACTGATCCCAGTTGGCTAAAAACTTAAACTTTCCCAAATAAGGTAAAGGTGCAATGGGGAACAAAGGAAAGGAGGGGGTCACTTATGGGAAACCAGGAAGACAATAATATTTCCAAATAAGGAAAGAGCATAATCTGCGAGCTGGGACATGTCTGGGCATGTCCAGGCAGATCCAGGCAGACTAGGGGACAAAGGAGTTAGGCCTTGGTTCAAGTACAAGAACATAGAATGTGTTTATTTCTTTACTGTATGTATCAACTCCTTGAGGGCACAATAAAGAATCATTAGTAAAATAGAAGATTTGTTAGTATGAAGAGCAAGGGAAACTTAAAGGAAGCTTTTAAGAGGAACTATCTTCTTAACACTTATCATTCTAAACCAAAAAGGAAAACTTTGAAGAGGAACTTTTATTCTTAACAAATTTTCTCTCTTTTTTTCTAGGTTTGTTTAGCTAGTGGTTTATCAATTTTGTTTATGTTTTTGAAGAACAAACTTTTCACTTTGTTGATCATTTACATGGTTTTTAAAAGTCTTTATTTAGTTCTACTATGATCTTTATTATTTCTTTTCTGCTAATTTTTGATGTGTTTTTTTCTTGCTTTTCCAGTTCCTTGAGGTTCATTGTTATATTGTTAATTTGTAATGTTTCTACTTTTCTTAGGTAGGTATTTATTCCTATAAACCTCCCTTTTAGCCCTGTTTAGCTGTATCCCACAGGTTTTGGTATGTTGTGTTTCCATTTTCATTTGTTTCAAGAAACTTTTTAATTTACATCTTAATTTCTCTGTTGACTCAATGGTTATTCAGGAGCATGTTGTTTAATTTCCATGTATTGGTCTTGTTGCCAACATTTCTCTTGGTGTATATTTCTAGTTTTATTCCATTGTGGCCAGAGAATATATTTAATGATTTCAATTTTTGAAAATTTGTTCAGACTTGTTTTGTGGCTTAACATAGGCTCTCTCCCCGAAAATGTTCCATGTGTTCATGAAAGGAGTGTATATTCTGTAGTGTTAGATAGAATGCTCTATAAATATCTGTTAGCTTTATTTGGTGTAAAATTCTGTTTAAATCCAATGTTTCTTTCTTGATTTTCTATGTAGATGATCTGTCTCATGCTGAGGTTGGGATGTTGAAGTCTCCTACTATTATTGTATTGGAGTCTATCTTTCTTGTTAGATGTAGTAATATTTGTTTTATGAGTCTAGGTTCTCCAGTGTTTAGTGCATATATATTTAGAATTGTTCTATTCTTTTCTTGGAAGGATCTCTTTATGATTACGTGATGGCCTTCCTTATCTTTTAAAAAAGTTGTTCTTGACTTACAGTTTATTTTATCTGCTATAAGTATAGCTACTCCTGCTCACTTTTGGTTTCCATAGATAACCTCTTGCCATTCTTTTACCTTCTGTCTCTATGGATTGTGGTGAGGTGGTATTACCGGTGAGTTTTTCTGTAAGCAGAATGTAGTTAGATCATGTTTTCTACCCATTCAGCCATTCTAAATCTTATAAGTGGAGAATTTAATCTGTTTACATTCCAGATTTTTATTAATATGTGAGGCTTTGTGCCAAGACTAGCTCAGTCGGGAAGACCCTAACCCAGTGGCACTAGAGGAATCAAAGACACACACACAGAAATATAGAGGTGTGAAGTGAGAAATCAGGGATCTCACAGCCTTCAGAGCTGACAGCCTCGAACAGAGATTTACCCCCATATTTATTAACTCAAGCCAGTGATAAGCATTGTTTCTATAGATTATAGATTAACTAAAAGTATTCCTTATGGGAAACAAACGGATGGGCCAAAATAAAAGGATGGGTTTGGCTAGTTATCTGCAGCAGGAGCATGTCCTTAAGGCACAGATCACTCATGCTATTGTTTGTGGTTTAAGAACGACTTTAAGCAGTTTTCCGCCCTGGGTGGGCCAGGTGTTCCTTGCCCTCATTCCGGTAAACCCACAACCTTCCAGCGTGGGCATCATGGCCATCATGAGCATGTCACAGTGCTGCAGAGATTTTGTTTATGGCCAGTTTTGGGGCCAGTTTATGGCCAGATTTTTGGAGGCCTGTTCCCAACAGCTTTGTTCCTATCACATTGTTGTTTTCGGGTTGTTTTATATGTCCTTTATTACTGTCTTTTTCTCTTATTGCTTGTCATTATGGTTTGGTGGATTTCTGTAGTAGGACCATTTGAGACCTTTCTCTTCCTCTTTTGTGTGATTGCTTTACCAGTGAGTTTTATACTTGTGTATGTTTTCATGGTGATAATGTGGAAATGTTGAAAATGTCGTTTCAATTCCAGGTTTAGGACTTTCTTGAGCATTTCCTGTAGGCCCTGTCTAGTGGTAATGAAGCCTTTCAGCATTTGCTTGTCTTGGAAAGATAATTTCTTTTTTCAATTATGAAGAATACTTATGTTTTGTTTATTACTCTTGGCTTGGCAGTTCTTTTCCTTCAGGACTTTGATTATACTATCCTATTCTCTTCTGGCCTGTAAGATTTCTGCTAAGAAATCTGCTGTTAGAGCTGGGCACAGTGGCTCACACCTGTAATCCCAGCACTTTGGGAGGCTGAGGTGGGTGGATCATGATGTCAAGAGATTGAGACCATCCTGGCCAACTTGGTGAAATCCCGTCTCTACTAAAAATACAAAAAAAAAAAAAATTAGCTGTGTGTGGTGGCGTGTGCCTGTCATCCCAGCTACTTGGCAGGCTGAGGGAGGAGAATCACCTGAACCCAGGAGGCAGAGGTTGCAGTGAACCGAGATCATGCCACTGCACTCCAGCCTGGCAGCACAGCGAGACTCCGTCTCAAAGAAAAAAGAAAGAAAAAAGAAAAAGAAATTTGCTGTTAGTCTGATGGGGTTTCCTTTATAGGTGACTAAACACTTTCCTCTTGCTATTTTTAGGATTTGCATTTTACCTTATACTATAGAAAGTCTGATTATATGCCATGGTGAGGAACTTTTTGCATTGTATTTTTCTCAGAATTATTGAACATTTTGTATCTGAATGTCTAAATCACTTGCTAGAGTTGGGAATTATTCATCTATTCTTTCATTAAATAGGTTTTCTAATCTGTTCTTTGTCTCTTTGCCCTTGAGGATACCAATAATTTGAATATTTGGTTGTTTATATTGTACCAAATGTCACAAAGGCTTTGCTCATTCTTTTTTTGTGTGTGTTTTTGTCTTATTGAATTATTTCACTATGTATATCTTCAAGTTTTGGAATTCTTCCTTCTGCCTGACCTAGTATGTTGTTGAAGCTTTCAAATGTATTTGGAATTTCATGTCGTGAATTCTTTAATTCCAGAATTTCTGTTTTTTTTAAATCTATATCTTTTGTAAACTTCTTATTTGTATCCTGAATTATTTTTATGTTTTCTTTGTATTTTTTTCAGAATTCTTTTGCATCTCACTGAACTTCTGTAAAATGAATGTTTTGAGTCCTTTATCTAGAATCTTGAAAATTTCTTTTTGATTAAGATCTATTGTCTTCCTTTGCGGCTTTTTTTTTTCTTTTTTGCTTTTTCATGTTTCTGTGTCCTAACGTTAATATTTTTGCATCTGATATAACAGTCAGTTCTTCCTATTTTTGAATTTTATTTCATAGTGGAGAGCATTTTCCTGAAGATGAGTCTATGGTGTTGGTTGCGTAGGGTACTTTGGATTTGATTCTGGGTGTAGTACATAGTAGAGTACTATGGCCTCTGTATAATTTCTTTGGCTGTAGACAGTGTTAATGGTATCTGTGATTTCTTCTGTGCATTAGGGTGTGGTTACTAGTGAGGCTGTGGTGAAAATGTGCTGGGGACTGAGATGCCACATGAGACAGTCTTCAGGCTCCAGTGGTGGCAGTGGTGTGCTGAGTGTTCCTATCTTTGTGCCCCAAGGTGGTATATACTGGCATTTGTGTTGGTGGTTACTGGTGGGCTGATTCCTGGGCCTCCAGGTGGCTTGCTTGGATGGCAGTAGTGGCAGTGGTTGACTGGGTAGGTGCTGGGGACTTCGGCTCCTGGGCAGCCAGCTTGGCAGTGGCAGTGGTGGGCTGCTTCTCTGGGTCCCAAGCAGTGTGCACTGTTAGCGGCAGATGCGATAGGCTGGGTGGGATGCCCATAGGTGGTGTTTGCACGTAGGTGACAGCTAAGGTGATTGCATCCAACCTCAGGTACCCAGGAGGAGTGCACAGGTGCCCAAGGTGGTGGATTGGGTTGAGGAATTCCCAGGCCCTGGGGCTGTGTTCTCTGTCTCAGTGGGAGGGGGCGATGAAGTTGTCTCTTCATCATTAAATGCTGTGCCAACTAGTCCCTTAATTTTCTTTTTGCCTAGAGGACTGAAACATTTATTATAGTTTAGGTCTGCTGGTTATTTTTTCACTCCCTGTATGTCTAAAATCCATTTGTTTGTTTGTTTGTTTGTTTGTTTGTTTGTTTTTGAGACAGAGTCTCACTCTATTGCCCAGGCTGGAGTGCAATGGTGTGATATTGGCCTACTGCAACCCCCGCCTCCCATGTTCAAGTGATTCTCCTGCCTCAGCCTCCTGAGTAGCTGGGAATTACAGGAGCATGCCACCATGCCTAGCTAATGTTTGTATTTTTAGTAGAGACGAGGTTTCACCATGTTGGTCAGGCTGGTCTTGACTCCTGACTTCGTGATCTACCTACCTCGGCCTCCCAAAGTGTTGGGATGACAGGCATGAGCCACCATGCCTGGCCTAAAATCCCTTTATTTTTTGATAGATATATTCAAGGTGTGTTAGCTTAATTTAATCATTACATAGGGTACACATATATCAATACATTAAACAATATCTCACGAATGTATTATACTTTGTCAATTAAAACTATACATATATATTTGAAAAAGGTATTATTTTCTGGGAATAGAATCTAGTTTCACAGCATTTTCCTTTTAGGACTCTAAAGATGTTGCTCATCTGTCTCCTCATTTGCATTGTTTCCAATGAAATAACTGCTGTCATCTTTATTATTATTCTTATTTTTTCACTTTCTGCTTTTTCAATTTTCTCTTCTTCTGTGGTTTTCAACAAATACGTGCTTTTTTTTTACCCAGAATTATAGAGTGAACGTGAGAAACAATCTCTAGGGAGGGCTTTTTGACTATTGCTTGTAAATTTTTAGAAACAGTTGTTTGCTCCTTGTTTTATTAGATCACAGGCTAATTTCCTCAGAGTATTCTTATATTGAAGAATGTCATAATTAATTTTACTGATCATCCCTAAAACCATAAAAACCCTAGAAGAAAACCTAGGCAATACCTTTCAGGCCATAGGCATGGGCAAGGACTTCATGACTAAAACAACAAAAGCAATGACATCAAAAACCAAAATTGACAAATGGGATCTAATTAAACTAAAGAGCTTCTGCACTGCAAAAGAAACTACCATCAGAGTGAACAGGCAACCTACAAAATGGGAGAAAATATTTACAATCTACCCATCTAACAAAGGGCTAATATCCAGAATCCACAAGGAACTCAAACAAATTTACAAGAAAAAATCAAACAACCCCATCAAAAAGTGGGCAAAAGATATGAACAGACACTTCTCCATAGAAGACATTTATGCAGCCACAGACACATGAAAAAATGCTCATCATCACTGGCCATCAGAGAAATGCAAATCAAAACCACAATGAGATCCCATCTCACACCAGTAAGAATGGCGATCATTAAAAAGTCAGGAAACAACAAGTGCTGGAGAGGATGTGGAGAAATAGGAACACTTTTACACTGTTGGTGGGACTGTAAACTAGTTCAACCATTGTGGAAGACAGTGTGGCAATTCCTCAAGGACCTAGAACTAGAAATACCATTTGACCCAGTGGTCCCATTACTTTGTATGTACCCAAAGGATTATAAATCGTGCTGCTATAAAGACACATGCACATGTATGTTTATTGTGGCAGTATTCACAATAGCAAAGACTTGGAACCAACCCAAATGTCCATCAATGGTAGATAGGATTGAGAAAATGTGGCACATATACATCATGGAATACTATGCAGCCATAAAGAAGGATGAGTTCATGTCCTTTGTAGGGACATGGATGAAGCTGGAAACCATCATTCTGAGCAAACTATCACAAGGACAGAAAACCAAACACCACATGTTCTCACTCATAGGTGGGAATTGAACAATGAGAACACTTGGACACAGGGGGGAACATCACACACCGGGGCCTGTCGTGGGGTGGGGGCAGTGAGGAGGGATAGTACTAGGAGAAATACCTAATGTAAATAATGAGTTAACAGGTGCAGCAGACCAACATGGCACATGTATACATATGTAACAAACCTGCACGTTGTACACATGTACCCTAGAACTTAAAGTATAATAATAAAAAAAAATTTATTGGTCATCTTGGGTAAAGCATCGTGCCTGGATAGGTGGTCAAGCATTATTCTGGATGATTTGTGAGGATGTTTGTTGGATGAGATTAACACATAAATAGCCAGACTTTGAATAAAGTAGATTAATGTCTATAATGTGAGTGGGCTTCATTCAATTCACTGAAGGTGTAAATTAAACAAAACACTGACCTCTCTTGAGCAAGATGGAACTCTGTAGCAGACAGCGCTGGGATTTGAACTGCAGTATCAGTCAACTGACCCACTAACAGCTGGTTGGTTTGTGTACAGCATTTGCAAGATGAATGGACAACATACTGTTTGGAAGTCCACTTCTTTGATCAAAGAAGGTAAAAACAGAAAAGCTGTTGTGGACTTAATTGCATGGTGTTTTCTTAGCAGTGGTGGAAGAATTGAACAATGATAAAGCTCCTACGTTTTAGTTTTTACTGACTTACAGGGAGTGACTAATGGCCTGGCCGTATAATTAATCAGGAGAGCAATGAAAAACTTGCCTATGAAAAGAATGCCCATGTGAGCCAAGTCCCACGGAAATCACTATGGTAATTTGAGGGGTTCATTAATGTAAGATCTGTTGATACCTGATATAGATTGGATGTTGTTCTTGTGCAGACCTCATGTCGAGATGTGATCCCCAGCATTATAGGTGGGGCCCGGAGGGAGGGAGGTGGTTGGATCACGAGGTCAGTTTCTCATGAATGGTTTAGCACCGTCCCCTCAGTGCTGTTCAGTGTCCCTCAGAATAACTCCCTTCCAGGTTTGGAAGGTGATTGAAATCAACAAGAATTTATCTCCAAGTGTTTGCCAGGTGCACTTGTAATTCCAGCTATGAGAGCGGCTGAGGCAGAAGGATATCTTGAGTCCAGGAGTTAGAGTTTAGCCTGAGCAACATTTGAGGCCAGCCAGGGAAACATATCAAGACCACATCTCAAAAATAACAACAAAAAAAAAATCCAGGTTTGCTTGTGGTGATCACCTGAGTCCATGAAATAAGTAGACATTGGGGCTGTAGCAATGCAGAGATAGGTGGAATCAAGACATAGTCCTCTTGCATTCCACACATCACAGGCACAAAATACATATAAGAAGTCCTTTCTTTAACAAAAAAAAGAGAGATAGTATATGGCTATGTGGCAGATTCTTTTATGGGAGGGCCTTGAAAATACATAGCTGGCAAGTTAAACTGATACCAGTAGCCCCAGGAAGCAGCAAATGGGTCTTGGCAGGAATAGATCCTCACCCTGGAGTGGGCTTTGTTCAGCTGGTAGTAGGTGTGTTACCAAACTGAACTGGGGTCCACTCACCTGAGGCAGTAAAAGCAAACATCCACACTGAGATTGTAGTGGGACAAAGGAGGGCATTTATGTGTAGGGCGCCAAACAAGGAGAATTGGGCAGCTCATGCTTAAGACCCAACTTTTTGATGGCTCACATGCAAGAATTTTTAAAGGCAGGGGCAAATTTCGGGAAAGCAGAGTTACAGGCAACATCATAAATCAATGCATAGAAGTTATACACTGCTTTGGCCTTAAAAGGTGGAATATCCTGATGAGGGAGCTTACAGGTCTTAGGTAGATTTAAAGATTCTCTGATTTGTGATAGATAAGGAAGCAAAGCCTCTTTACAAAGCTTCGTTACACAGTTGGGGGCAGTAGACAGGAATGTTCAGGCCTGGTCTGTGGGCTTGACTCTCTCCAGGCCCCTCAGGAAGAAATTTAGAACAAAGAACGGCAGTCAGAGTTCAGTCCTCAGTTTCCCCTTTATAAGGTCTCCCTGTCAGTGGATCTATTAGGTGGGAATCCATGTTTCTGAAAAACAACTCAGGGACATATGTTAAGATGTTATTTTTAGTTTCTACAGAGAATCAAACATCTTGTGACTCTAACTTCCTTGGCTATTTTTTTAAGCTATCATTACCGTCTTGCTTATAAGGTCACTCACTTACTTTTTAGGGCTGGCAAGGTGCCTGGAATTTCTCTTGAAGGCACTGAAGGTTTTTCTTTATTTCCAGGTTGGGAGGCCCTGGCAGGCTTCTAAGGGAGGTCCCTGCTTTATCTCAGATGCAAATGCTCGGAGTGTTACAAAAGAACTTGAATGGGAGGTACTGCAACCATGTAGACCACCGAGTCGTATTTCTTTACACCAGAAAATGCACCTGCTCAAAATGTCCAACAATGGTCAGAGAGATATCCTCCTCAGAGGAAGAGTTCCATAGAGAATTAAAATAGTCAATTGGGTGTGTAAAGGCAAGAGTGGGGAAACAAGCACGAAGGGTGGGCTTATACACCTTCATGAGTGTGCTCACACTTGACATGAGAGTATCCTCTCTTTTCCTGGTGGATCAGGGGAAGGTGCTGGTATGATCTACATATATTCCTCCCCAAGGTGGGAGGACACTGGAATGATGACTGTAATTCACCTCAACTTGCTTTTCTCATACCTGATGCAGTGGTCCCAGGACTAGGGATGCAAATAGAGTTCAGAAACAGGAATTATTCCTGAGCAAGAAACTGTAAATATATTTTATGTCCATTATGTAATAATTCCTAAGGGCCTGTAGAGGTAGGTTGTGCCTTCACTGCATCTGGCAAAGTTGGGGCTAACACTGAATGCAGCTGTATTGCCTGGGGTCAGATAGCAAACCAGTTCTCTACCTGCATAACCCTACCCTCTATGAACTGGAATGGACCAACGAGAGACACTTGCTAGAACAGTATTGGTCCCTGCAGTCTCAGCCAGCACAGCAGCAGAACTTAATGTTCCTTCCAAAATTATAAATGTTTAGTATAAATGAAGGGAAGGAGAAATAGTAGCTGAGGGTAAATGAATGAATAAATGGGTTATGTAATGAGGAAAATCCAATGTTACATGAACTACTTGAAAAAGGTATAAGCAAGAGATGATATTGTCTCTTAGCTCAATTTTACCAGATGCCTGAAAGGGTGCAGCCATATGTTGCTGAAACTATTCCTGTTTATGGATTGCACTGGGATCATTGTTAATGACCAAAGAGGATTCTGGTAATGTGCCAGGATCTTTTCACTGTTATGATTCTTCTGGTGTAGGAGATCTGTGATTGGCCAGGCACAGTGGCTCACACTTATAATTCCATCAGTTTGGGAGGCAATGGTAGGAACATTGTTTAAGTCCAGGAGTTTGAGACCAGACTGGGCAGAATAGTGAGACCCATTCCTACAAAATATTTAAAAATTAGTTGGGCATGTTGGTGTGCACCTGTAATGCTATCTACTCAGGAGGCTGAGGCAGAAGGATCACTTGAGTCCAGGAATTCAAGGTTAGAGTGAGCTATGATTGTGCCACTGCATTCTACCCTGGGCAACAGAGCAAGAGATTATCTCTAAAATAAAATAATAAATATTATAAAAAGAGATAATGTGGTCAAAACCAGGGTGTGATCTGTGGTCCAGTAAAAATATTTGGTCTTTTCCCTGTTTCCTGACAACCAGGTTCTAAAACATTTGCAATCTCCTCAGTGATAAACATGACTTCAACATGGCAATGAGATGACTATGGGGTGAGGGGCTCCTAGATAGCTTCAGGATGGGGACTAGTTGCCAGAAACACGAAGCTGTGATTAGAGGATTGGAACTGTTAGCCCCATCCCTAAAGTCTGGGAAGGAAAGAGAGGCTCGAGGTTGAGTTCAGTCACACAATGGCCAGTGATTTAATTAATCATGCTTACACAATGAAATATCCATAGAAACCTCTGGAGATTGGGTTTCGGAGAGCACATCTGTGTGTCCACATGCTGGGAGGATGGTGAGCCCCATCTCCGTGGGGACAGAGGCTCTTGTGCTCAGAGCCCTTCCAGGCCTCACCCTGTGCACCTCTTCATCTGGCTGCTCATTTGTATCCTTTATAACTGCTATGGTTTGAATGTTTCCCCAAAAAAGCACCTGTTGGATATTTCATCCCGAATGCAACATTTTTAAGAAATAGGACTTTTGAGAGGTGATTGGACCATCAGAGCTCTGCCTTCATTAATGGATTAAGGCTCATCATAAAAGGACCTGAGGCTGAGTTTGACTTCCTTTCCCCCCACCTCTCACCCTCTCTTGTCCTTTTGTTTTCTACCAGATAGAGTCCCTTGATCTGGGAATTCTCATCCTCGACACCATGAACGAGACAAATTTCTGTTTGTTAAAAGTTATCCAGTCTCAGGAGTTCTGCTCTAGTGGCATAATTTAAACCAGGGGTCCTTAACCCCCGGGCTGCGGACTGGTACAGGTTCCTGGCCTGGTAGGAACCAGACTGCACAGCAGGAGGTGATCAGTGGGTGAGAGAGCATGAGCATGACACCAGAGTTCCGCCTCCTGTCAGATCAGTGGCGGAATTAGATTCTCATAGAAGCATGAACCCTATTGTGAACTCTGCATGCAAGAGATCTAGGTTGCATGCTCCTTATGAAGCGCTAATGCCTGATCATCTGAGGTACAACAGTTTCATCCGAAACCATTTCCCTCTGCCCTCCACCACCTCCACTAGTCCATGGAAAAACTGTCTTCCATGAAACCAGTCCCAGGTGCCAAAAAGGTGGGGATTTAAGCTATAACAATAAAAAACTGCAATACTGAGTGTGAAAGGAAAATAAAATTTCAGGACTCCAAATTCACTATACCAAAGGGAAAAATTAAGTTTGGAGACTGATGGAAAAACTGCCTTTCTTTCATTCCTAAACAAATAACTGCAAAGATAGAAGACCCCATATCTCCCCAGGTGGCCTCCCTCACAAACCGCTCACAAGATAATTCCTTGTGGGCCCCAACGTGTTTACTCTAAAACAGTTTTGTTGAATTTTCCCCTGACAATGTAAATTAACAGCTTATCTTCACAGGTACAGGACAAAGACAAGACTAGAAATCATCCCTCCACCCACCCAGAGTCAAACGCATATTTGACTTTTCTACCCAACGTTTACTTTATCTTATTTAAAATGCAGATTTACTGAGCATGAGATGAATGCATAGTTGACTATTTTTTTCCTCTCCTGGCTGCTCTTTCCCCTGTACATATTGAAGTCCTCAAAAGCCTGTTAGGAAAGAGCATGGGCCACAGATGCTACAATGATTTGTGTCTCTGTTTCCAAGGTGCATCTTCAGCTTGGCAAAATAAACTTCTAAACTGACTGAGACCTGTCTCAGACGTTTTTTGGTTTACACGGCTATAGCAACTTCCTGAGTTCTTTGAGTTAGTTTAAGAATTCTCAATCCTTGGGAGGTGAGAAACCCCTGATTTTGCAGCCATGTTAGACAGAAGTGCAGGTAACCTGGGACCCGATACTTGTGACTTGCTTCTGAAGTGAGGACAGACTTGTAGGACTGAGCTGGTAAACCTGTAGAGTCTGAGGCGAACTCCAGGTAGTTAGTGTCAGAATTGAGTCAAATTGTGGGACTCCCAGCTGCTGTTGGAGAATCAGAAAGTTATTTGGGTGGAAGAAAACCCCATCACTGTCCCACAGAGAGAAACTTATAGTAAGAGTAAGCAAGTAAACCTCTACCTTCTTTGGTCCCAGAGGAAAAGATAAACAAATGTAAGCATTTGTTTCATGTCCCTAAACACAGGTTGCTACCAGCTGTTCATTGTCTAGACGTGGAGTGGTCCTACCTTTAATCTAGAAGTTAGGATTTTTTAGGCCTTTGAGGGTGTCACATAAAAACTAATAAATGTTAGAGATTCTCTCCCCAGAAATATTTCCACACACAAGAAAATATAAATATTAATATAAAACATCGTGTGGAACCAGAACCTCTAATATCTTACAAACCTGGGAGTTTTAATCCTAGTAAGAGTCATGCTGAGGGAAGAGGTTTGAATAATCATTTCATCATTACAGAATGCCACTCCAAAAATCTAGACTATAAACTGGGATAGACAAAAACTTGATGTAAACCTATCCTCAAGGGAATGGGTGGAAATATGTTATTTATTAGTCACTGGTTCATTCAGCCACTCTTCGTGCCTACTGGGTACTAGATAAAGTTCTCGTCCTGGATCACTGCTCCAAGAATTAAAATTTGTCACTTTTCCCCACCCCTCACACTCCAGCACTTGAACCCGCTTACTACATCAAAATTCCACACTGTCAATGAAAAGAGTCAAACGCAGTAACATATTTAAAGAGATTTATTCTGAGCCAAAAATGAGTGACCACAGCCCATGACACAGCCCTCAGGAGACCGAGAACATGTGCTCAAGGTGGTTGAGGCACAGGTTGGTTTTACACATTTAAGGAAGATATGAGACATCAATCAAATACATGGTTTTACACATTTAAGGAAGATATGAGACATCAATCAAATACATTTAAGCTATACATTGGTTCGGTCCAGAAAGTTGGAACAATTTGAAGCAAGCAAGGGTTGCGGGGTAGTGCTTCTGGGTTATAAGTAGATTTTTAATTTTCCTGATTGGCAATTGGTTATTATCAATAGAAAGGAATGTCTGGGTTATGATAAAAGCTTGTGGAGTCCAAAATTCTCATACAGATGACGCCTCCAGGTGCCAGGCTTCAGAGAGAATAGATTGTAAATGTTTCTGATCAGACTGAAGGTCTGTGTTGATGGTAAATGCTGGTCAACCTTTCCTGAATTCCAAGAGGGAAGAGGGCATAATAAGACATGTTCAATACCTGCTTCCCATGGTGGCCTGAGCCAGTCTTTCAGGTTAACTTTTGAGCACCCTGGCTGAGGGTGTCCATTAAAATGATTGGGAAGGGGTGGCTTTGATGTTTATTTTTGGTTTACAACATGTAAAATGTTGAGAGGAGACAGACACCACCTCCCTCCCTGGAAGAGGACAACAACACTCCAGTCACCCCTGCAGTTGATCATGGACATGAGTTTTAAGCTCCACCAGTCTGATGACCACCTGCTGAAGAGGTGTCATTGTCTCAGGTAAATACTAAGTGTTCGTCATCTCACGCCAAGAAGATTAAGGACACTGACACACGAGGAGTGAGTTAGGATCAAAGGGTTTAATAGGCAAAAGAAAGACAAAGGGAAACAGCTCCTTCTTGTGAGAGAGAGGGGCACCCAAAAGGGAATTCCAGCCTGGAATGGAGTGCATCGGATTTTACAGGCAGGCTTGAGGAGATGGTGTCTGATTTATGTAGGGCCCACAGGTTGATTGTACCAGGTATGATATTTACATAGTGCGTGTGGAAGGCTGTTCACCCCACCCTCATCCTATTATGCAAATGGGCTTTCCACTTGGCCGGTGACATGTTGTCTGCTCCTTACTGTAAACGTGCCTGGCAAAGAGAAGGGAAGATGGAGCCGCCATAGTGAACATGCCCAGTCCCAGGCGTCCTATTCCTATTGGACAGCTGCTGGCATTCACCCGTGCAAACTTCCAGCTTACTTGTCTATGTCTGAAGCTTGATATTACAGGCTGCTCCTTGTTAGAAAAGAAAATAATTTGGAGCCTGCTTTCCATTAAAAGCCTTGCGTACCCTCACTACCTGTCTAAATAATTTCTTCTTCACTCCTATATCACTGCCAGACTCAGCCAGAATGAGGTGACAGAGAGGCTAGGACTGTGCAGAAAGCATTTTAGTAAAGATGGCTGAGTGACAGTAGTGATGTCCAATTTCCAGGTGCAGCAGTGACATCTGTCCTAGCCTCAGGGTCCAGTGTCCAGCACCAGGATGTCAGAGGTGTGAGCAGTGCTGTCTGTGCTCAGCAGCAGGGGCAGTTGTTCCTAGGAGAGACCTGATCCAGGGTGGGCTGTGAATTCTGTTCTTGGATGTGTAGTTTCCAGCCTGGTTCTGTGGCCTTCCCCACAATAAAACTAGCCCCCAATACCAATATACAACTTTATGTGTACATTACAGAAATTTGGTTTCCATAGTTTTCTCCAAGAAGTGAGTGAGAAATGAGTCTGTGGGCGAGTGTCAGAGAGCGGCATTCAGAGGTGTTCTTTGTGCGAGAGCCACATCCTGAATTGTCTGCCTGGCCTCTACCCCATGGTGGAGAGAACAACAGAGAATATCACCTCTCATAACTGATGATATACAGCCTCCCTTTTCTTTCTGTGAGAAAAATCCTCTTTTCAACAGGGTTTGAAAACCCACCCCACCCACCCACCCTGGGCACTCTCTGATCACTGATCTCAGTGGCTCCCATCTGTCTGAGCAATAGGATTGCTGGCGGGGACTTAGAAAATACACAGGCCACTCCCCAGAACCCTTGTCTCAGAGTATTACGCACAAGACCAAGGAATCATTTATATGACAAGCCCTAGAGGTGAGGCTGATGCTCAGACGTGTGGGATCCTGGTGTTCTTGCTACTCCAAGTGTGATCTGGAGACCAGCAACATGAGCTCCAGCCTTGTCATAAATCCAGAATCTCTTGCTCAACTCCAGACTTCCAGGATCTCAGCACCACATCCAGATGATCCTGGTGCACATGGGGTTTCCTTGTCTGAGTGTCCTCTAGACGTGGGGCCAGAACTGTGCAGTCTGCTCTGGGTGTGGTCTGATCACACCCCTTAGAACTGGAGGTCCAGGGTTCAGTCCTTGTGCTCATTCTTTTCCATAGTCGGTCACTCCCTTTGTGCCTCATCCATGCTTGAGGTTTTAAGTCTCATATATATGGTGTGACCTCCTAAATCTATTTCTCCAGCCCAGTCCTTTCCCCTAAACTCTGGAGTTGTCTGTCCAAATTCCACCCAGCTCCCCCACCCGCCTTCCTAGTAGACATCTCCTCCACTGAGTGCCTGTGATGCCCCCTCCTCAGGACGCTCCTGCCAGAGTCTCCCCATCTCCACTGACAGCAGCTCCATCCTTCTACTCACTCATTTTACAACTATGGGTGTCCTTGATTCGTCTTTCTCACACCACAGATACAATCCATTGGCAAATGCTGTGAGTCCATCTTCAAATGCATCCAGAATCCCCTCACGCCCCACTATTTCCCCTGCTCATGCCCCAGTCAAGGAAACCGACATCTCCAGCCTGGAATACTGCACTCGATTCCTACTGTTTTCCCTTCTGCCTCCCTCGTCCCTCGCCTCTCAATTCTGTTCTCAGCACAGCCGTCAGAGAGATCCTTTTAAAACAGAAGTCATATCATGGCTCTCTTCTGCTCAAAACTGTCCTCTAACTCCCCATCCCACTCAGAGCAAAGGCCAGATCCAACCCCACTCCCCTCAAGCCCACCTGTTCTGGCCACACCTCTGACCTCACCTCAGTTTCTCTCTGTCCAGCCCTCCTGGCCTCCTTGCTCTTCTGGGAACACAGACACCTTCCTGCCATAGTGCATTTGGACTGGAGCTTCCTCTGCCTGGAAAGAACTTCCCCAGACATCCTCATGTCTCTCAAATCTTTCCTCAAAAGTCACCTTTGCAACAAGGCACACACTGACTACCCAGCACAACAGCCACCTTCCCTGTCCCCACTGCCCACATCCTGGATCACCTGCCTCACAGCACTTACCACCTTCTAGCACTTTCCTTCCTTACTCTGGTTATAGTGTATCTATCGTCTGCCTCTTCCCACTGGAACATATGCTACAAAAGGCCAGAGATTTTTCTGATTTTACTTCAGTGGTGTTCCCCAGATGCAGAACCATTCTGTCCTATGTCTGGCCAATGACAAAGGTCAGTTGAATGAATGATCACTGTAGAGCACCTCCCTATTTTGAAGGCAGTATCTTTATTAACATAGCCTCAGGCCAAGTGCTGTTTTGTGGCAGCTGCAGCACAAGGACCCCTCACACTGAGATAGAGGCCGCCTATGTTTTTCTCAGCAGGGCTGCTTGTGTGCCCTCCCTCCCCATCCCTCTTTCTACAGCAACCCCCTCCCCGCACCCCCTGCCCCAGCACACTGCAGCACACAATCAGGTTCTCTCTTCAGGAAAGAACAGTCCTTGATGACGGGTCCAATTTCACAGACAAATGTAAGTCTAAATTAGACTCTGCTTTACAGATTCAGGAGTTGGGATTGGATTCAGCACCAAGATCACTAGAACCAGGGCAGGGAGAGAGGGCAGGAGAGCAGAGCAGAAAAGGAGCTCTAGAAGCAGGGCAGGAGGTGAATGGCTCTGAAAATTTGTCTCAGAATGCACAGAGACCCCCGTGTGCAGGGGCCGCCCTGGGCGATGTGTGAGCCTCTGTGGTCACAGCTCCCGCTGGACAAGTTTCCACTGAAGGGACAAGGACAATGGAGCAGTGAAGGTGACCCAGCTGAGGACTAACCACATAAAGCCCATGATGGACTCAACACCAAATGGGCACAGGCCCCGTCCACACTCGGCCCCCCACAGCCTTCTCCACACCCCACCTGCAACAGACTCAGCACAGCGAACATGCAGATTCTGGAAGGTTCTCAGGTCTTTATTTGCTCTCTCAAATTCCAGGAATTGACTTATTTAATTAATCCATCAACCTCTCATAGCAAATATTTGAGAAAACAAATTTATATTCAGATTCTTATTTTCAGTAGGGAAGTAAGAAGTTGCAGCTCAGTGCACATAAAGTTGAGACAGAGATGGAGACATCCAGCCCCACCTCTCTGGAACAAGAAAGATGACTGGGGAGGAAACACAGGTCAGCATGGGAACAGGGGTCACGGTGGACACGGGGGTGAGCTGTCTCTCCACCTCCTCACATTATGCTAACAGGGACGCAGACACATTCAGGTGCCTTTGCAGAAAGAGATGCCAGAGGCTCTTGAAGTCACAAAGGGGAGGCGTGAAGAAATCCTGCATCTCGGTCCCTCACAAGACAGCTGTCTCAGGCTACAGAAAACAACAGTCATGAACAAATTCTGGTTAGTCATGGTAAGTGATGACACTCTGAACAGCCCACCACACACGCGAAACATCCCAATCAAAGAATCTCCATTACCCAGGCCTTTCCCCTCTGCCCCCTCCCCGCCCCCCCGCCCACTCTAGACCCCAAGAATCTCACCTTTTCAAGCTGTGAGAGACACATCAGAGCCCTGGGCACTGTCGCTGGCTGGAGTAGAACAAAAACAGGACCTGGTCAGAGCCCGCAGGAGACGTGGGACAGGAGGAATTATGGGGTGGGTGAGCTCCTCCACACTCCCACCCCCACCACTTACACGCAGCCTGAGAGTAGCTCCCTCCTTTTCCACCTGTGGGAAGAAAATGTCCTGTGAGGGGACTGGGAGGAAGCAGGGCCATGAGATCTTAGAGGAACCTCCTCGTCTTGGAACCAAAAGGAATTTCCAGAAGTATGACTACAGACCCAAGGCAGGATCAGGAAACACGAGGAAAGCAAGTGTGGGTCCTGGACCAACTGCCCTCCTAAGGTCTGTCCTTAGCAGGGACCTTCCCCTGACTCATGAATGCTGGAATCAGGACCCCAACACCACAACCATCAAGGTGATACATCCGTCCTTCATTGTCACATGTGCTGCACAAAAGAGTAAGTGCTGGCACACAGGGTCCCAGGCTGTGTTAGCCCCTGTGTGGATGCTGCTTCCCAGTAATGAGGCAGGGAACACTTCTACCTGGGGCTTGAAACCCCCAGTGGGACAAGAAAACCCAGACCCCACCCCTCACCCCTTCCCTACCTGAGCTCTTCCTCCTACACATCACAGTAGCGACCACAGCTCCGATGACCACAACTGCTAGGACAGCCAGGCCAGCAACAATGCCCACGATGGGGATGGTGGACTGGGAAGATGGCTCTGGGAAAGGAGGGGAAGATGAGGGGCCCTGACCCTGCTGAAGGGCTCCAGAAGGGCTCCTGCTTTCCCTGAGAAGAGATATGACCCCTCATCCCCCTCCTTACCCCATCTCAGGGTGAGGGGCTTCGGCAGCCCCTCATGCTGTACATGGCATGTGTATCTCTGCTCTTCTCCAGAAGGCACCACCACAGCTGCCCACTTCTGGAAGGTTCTATCTCCTGCTGGTCTGGTCTCCACAAGCTCGGTGTCCTGAGTTTGGTCCTCGCCATCCCGCTGCCAGGTCAGTGTGATCTCCGCAGGGTAGAAGCCCAGGGCCCAGCACCTCAGGGTGGCCTCATGGTCAGAGATGGGGTGGTGGGTCACATGTGTCTTTGGGGGGTCTGATGGGAAGAGTCAGAAAATTCAGGCGCTTTGCATCTCTCATGGGACACCCTAGGACCACCCATGTGACCAGCCTGAGAATGGACAGGACACCTGGGGTGGGGAAGGGGCACAGAACCCAGACACCAGCCTGGACGCAGGCACCTGGGATAATCTATTCATTGGAAAGTTCGAGTCTCTGAGCGGGGAACAGAGACTTCTGCTCCTGATCTGAGTGGAGGTAAAGTGACTCAGAAGTGCTGGAATCAGAGCCCCAAACACACTGAGTGTGAGGCAGAGAACAAGGCCTGAGAGGAAAAGTCATGGTTCCCAAGGCTGCTGCAGGGGTCAAAGGGGACCCCTGATCAGTATTCTAGGGACTGTCTTCCCCTCCATTTCCTCAGAGACGTCATCCCTTAATTGTCCTAGAGAGAAGAGGGGGCCCTCAGAGGAAACTCAGGAAAACTCATGCCATTCTCCATTCAAGGGAGGGCGACATTCTAGCGCTGATCCCATTTTCCTCCTCTTCTCGTGGGAGGCCATCCCCGGCGACCTATAGGAGATGGGGAAGGCTCCCCACTGCCCCTGGTACCCGCGCGCTGCAGCGTCTCCTTCCCGTTCTCCAGGTGTCTGCGGAGCCACTCCACGCACGTGCCCTCCAGGTAGGCTCTCAGCTGCTCCGCCACACGGGCCGCCTCCCACTTGCGCTGGGTGATCTGAGCCGCGGTGTCCGCCGCGGTCCAGGAGCTCAGGTCCTCGTTCAGGGCGATGTAATCCTTGCCGTCGTAGGCGGACTGGTCATGCCCGCGGAGGAGGCGCCCGTCCGGCCCCACGTCGCAGCCGTACATCCTCTGGAGGGTGTGAGACCCTGGCCCCGGCCCCGCGGTCAGCCCCGTCCCCCCGAGCCCCGCCCCGCCCCGACCAACCCGCGGGGATTTTGGCCTCAACTGAAAATGAAACCGGGTAAACGCGCCTGGGGCTCTCGCCGGTCGAGGGTCTGGGCGGGTCCCGCGGCCTCAGGGGGGCGGATCTCGGACCCGGAGACTCGGGGCGACCCGGGCCGTACGTGGGGGATGGGGAGTCGTGACCTGCGCCCCGGGCCGGGGTCACTCACCGGCCTCGCTCTGGTTGTAGTAGCCGCGCAGGTTCCGCAGGCTCTCTCGGTAAGTCTGTGTGTTGGTCTTGGAGATCTGTGTGTTCCGGTCCCAATACTCCGGCCCCTCTTGCTCTATCCACGGCGCCCGGGGCTCCGTCCTCGGACTCGCGGCGTCGCTGTCGAACCTCACGAACTGGGTGCCGTCCACGTAGCCCACTGAGATGAAGCGGGGCTCCCCGCGGCCGGGCCGGGACACGGAGGTGTGGAAATACCTCATGGAGTGGGAGCCTGGGGCAAGGAGGGGCTGAGACCCGCCCGACCCTCCTCCCGGCGCGGCTCCCCGGGTCCTGCGCCCCCGCCTGCGGTCCCCTCGCTCCTCCCCACAGAGGCCATTTCCCTGCCGACCCCGCACTCACCAGCCCAGGTCTCGGTCAGGGCCACTGCCCCCCAGAGCAGCAGGAGGAGGGTTCGGGGCGCCGTGACCCGCATCTCGGCGTCTGAGGAGATTCTGAGTCCGGGTGGGTGCGTGGGGACTTTAGAACTGGGACCCCGGCGACACTGATTGGCTTCTCTAGACACCCGACACCCAATGGGAGTGGGAAATGGGGACGCGTCACGAGTATCCTGGAAGAAGGACCCGACATAGGTTGGGAGAAGAAGTGAAACTCGTGGGAGTGGGGAATCCCCAATGCTGCGCCTCCCCAATGCAGACAAGGCTCTCGGAGCCTGAGACCCTGAGAGCCCCGCCCGGGGCCTGGGACTTCGTCCTGATCCCTCTTCTCCTACACCAGCCTCTTTGTCACACTGTCTGCCTGAGTCCTGCACAAGGATCTGTCTGTGGAAACCAGGGAGAGACCCCCAGGCTGCGCCCACCCGCTTCCCCTTCACTTCTCCTCCTGGAATCCCTGTCCCTGAACTGGACTCCCTGCCTCTCACTCCTTACCTCTCCTCTTGGATCTTGTGTAGGGAAACTGATCACGGAGAACTTGATGCCAGAGAGTGAGCTCGCCCTGGGAATGGAGGTGTAGAGACAGGGGTTTTCTCTCTAAACCTGGCGAAGTTTTGTCTGAAGCCACCACACAGAGATTCTCATAGAGACCAGTTTCCTTTTTGTTTATTAATACAGTAGGTAGCACAATATTGGTAATCCCTGAATGATTAGAATTCCAATCTGCAAAAGACCTGTGTCAAAACAGCATTACAATTAAACTCTCAAAGCTCCTAAGTTTTACTTTCCCAGACTATGGATCTGTGACTCTGGGTTGTTGCATTTAAAATTATCTTCATTCCCCACCCCGAGTTTCCCTATATGAGTCCAGAACATCTCCTGAATATAAAGAAGGGGGGTTTGTTACTGTCTATTGCAACCGCGAACCTGTAGTCATCACCTCAAAGTTGCGAGGGCTCCATGCAGTCCCAATGCTCTTCACCAGCGCTCAAGCACTGCCTGTTTTCCTGAACTCTGCATATCCAAGCAGTGTGCATATTTTATCTGAACCCTTGGTATTTTTGTAACTCTTTTTTTTTTAATCATAAGGAGCCAATTAGTTTTTAGGAAGTCCAACAAAATGTATTAACTACCGAATGCAAAGAACCCTCTACCAGGCTCTTCCACTGCTTTAGAATTCTTTCTCCTGCTCCTTTTCCTCACCTCCTGCCTCTCCAGCCCTTCTGTCTGCCCCTCTCATCCCTCACACCCCCGCTCCCCTTAGTGCCTGCCACCCTTTCACCCCTGAATTGTGGCACTAACACTGTCCCTCACCTCCTGCCCATGTCTGTTCTCCCCACAGTGCTCAGCAGTCCTGCTAATGTGACTCAGGTCGTGTCATTTCTTCACTTGCAATGGTTGGGTTTTGGTCTACCATTTTGCTAGATGTTTTCAATTTGTCTCATATCTTTTTGTTTCTGTTCCTCCTTTACTACTTTCTTATGTGTCAAATAAACATTTTTTAGTTTATGGTTTTAATTCTCCTAGTGGCTTTTGGCTATATTTCTTTACACAATAGCAAAGAATGGAAACCCGATTCCTTGACTTTTCACAGTGAAGTTCAGGTTATATTAAGCTGCATCCAGAAAATAAAGGACACTTCTAACAGTGTAGTTTCTTGTAACCTACCATTGTGCTATTATTGTTGTATATATTACATCAACCTATATTATAAGCTCAATGATACAGTGTAATACTTTTTGTTTTAAACAAGTAGCCATATGTCTTCAGGAAATTAAGAAAATGAGTGTGAATGTGACATGTGTATGTGCATCATTTCTGTTGTTAATTGTTCCTTTCTGTATATCTGGGTCACCATCTAGTATCATTTTCCTTCACCCTGAAGCACTTCCTTTTAAATTAAATGTAGTACAGGACCCCTAGGAAATTAATTTTATGGCTTTGATTATCTAAAAATGTCTTTATTTTTGCCTCCCCTCCCCCCCTTTTATTTATTTATTTATTTTTGCTTATTAGGGCATTTATATGTAATAAAATTCACCAGTTTTAGCTGCGCTTTTTTGGCAAATATTGGTAATTATTTATAGTCATGTAACTACCACACTGCCCAGTAGAGAAACCCAGAATGCAAAGAATCCCCTGCTAGGCTCCTCCACTGCTTTAGAGTCCCTTCTCCTGCTCCTTGTCCTCACCTCCTGCTTCCCCAGCCCTTCTCTCTGTCCTCTTCCCTCACACCCTCCTCTCCCCTTAGTTCCCACCACCCAGTTACCTCTGAGTTGTGGCGCTGTAGAGAACCGTTTCTTTTCCCTAAAAACTTTCTTTCTGCCCCTTTCTATTTAATCCTTGCCTCCCACCCTCACCCCTTCCCTTCACTCAACCACCACTCTGTTTTCTGTCACTGCAATCTGAAATTTCTAGAATGTAATGGACGTGCAGTCGTATGTTATGTAGTCCTTCGTTTGGTCTCTCCTTTAGCATAACGATGTTTGAGATGATGCCATTCACTCATTTTTGTTGCTGAGCAGCTGCTGAGTATTGCGGGAATCCCAGCTTATTCATTGGTTTCTCTGCCTCCAGTTGATAGACATGTGGATTCCTCCAGTTAGGGCTTGTTATTAATGAAGCCACTATAAATAACTGCTTACAAGTGTGGCCTTACATTTTTATTTCTTTTGGATAAATACATATTTGTGGAATTGCTGGGCCATGTGGTAATAGATGGGTAACTGTATAAGAAACTGCCATACCACTTTACAAATTGGCTGCCACATTTTTTGCATTCCTACCAGCAATATCAGACATTCCTATTTTTTCCATATTCTTGACAGTATTTAGACTTATCCAATGTCTTTTTAACTTTATCTATTCTAGGTGATGTGTGATGGTTTCTCATTGTGGTTTTAACTTGCACTTCTTTGATGACTAGTATTGTTTGCTGTCTTTTCATGTTCATCTAAGTGACTTATTACATATATTTTATGAACTATTTTGCAAATTCAATGATTAATTCCAGAGACTTTTTCAGAATTCCCTAGTGTTTTCTACATATGCAATGAAGTTGGTGACAAAGACTTTTGTTTCTTCCTTTCCTATCTATTGATCTTTTTTCTTTTAAAATTATTTTTATTTGGTAGAGATGAGGTCTCACTATCAGGCTGGTCTCAAACTCCTGAACTCAAGTGATCCTTCCACCTCAGCCTCCCAAAATGCAGGGATTACAGGCATTAGCCACCATGCCTGGTCCTTCTATTGGTTTCTTATTTCATTTTCTTGCCATGTTGCACTGATTTGGATGCCTCTTAGGTGTTTAAACAAGAATGATGAGAGCTCACATGTATGTTTACAAGGAGCTTAAACAAATTTACAAGAAAAAAAACAGCCCTATCAAAAATTGGCAAAGGGTATGAACAGACACTTCTCAGAAGAAAAAACATATGAAAAAAAAGTTCAATATCAATGATCATTAGAGAAAAGCAAATCAAAACCACAATGATGTACTATCTCCTGCGAGCCAGAATGGCGATTATTAAAAAGTGAGGAAACAATAGATGCTGGTGAGGCTGTGGAGAAATAGGAATGCTTTTTCACTGTTGGTGGGAATGTAAAATAGTTCAACCATTACGGAGGATGGTGTGACCATTCCTCAAAGATGTAGAACCAGAAATACTATTTGACCCAGCAATCCCTTTACTGGGTATATACCCAAAGGAATATCAGTCATTCTACTATAAAGACACATGCACAGGTATGTTTATTGCAGCACTATTTTCAATAGCAAAGACATGGAACCAACCCACATGCCCATCAATGATAGTCTGGGTAAAGAAAATGTGGTAGATATACACCATGGAATACTACACAGCCATAAAAAGGAATGAGTTCATGTCCTTTGCAGGGACTTGGATGAAGCTGGAAGTCATCGTCAGCAAAGTAACATGGGAACAGAAAACCTAACACCAGGTGTCCTCACTCTTAAGTGGGAGGTGAACAATGAGAACACATGGACACAGGGAGGGGAACAACACACACCAGGGCCTTTTGGGGAGTCGGGGGTAAGAGGAGGGAACTTAGAGGATGGGTGAATAGGTGCAGCAAACCACTATGGCAGACTATACGTATGTAACAAACCTGCACGTTCTGCACATGTATCTGGAACTTAAAGCAAAATAAAATAAATTAAATAAAAAAAGAAAGTGCATGACTTACATGTACACATATGTTCATTGAAGCACTATTCACAATAGCAAAGACTTGGAATCAACCTAAATGCCCATCAATGGTAGACTGGATAAAGAAAATGTGGCACATATACACCATAGAATACTATACAGCCATAAAAAAGAATGAGATTACGTCCTTTGCAGGAACATGGATGGAGCTGGAGGCCATTATTCTTAGCAAACTAACACAGGAACAGAAAACTATATACCACATGTTCTCACTTATAAGTGGGAGCTAAATGATGAGAATACATGGGCATGCAGAGGGGAACAACACACACTGGGGTCCACTTGAGGGTGGAGGGTGGGAGGAGGGAGAGGATCAGGAAAAATAGCTAATGGGAACTAAGACTTAATACTTGGGTGGGTACTAATGGGTATAGAAATAATCTGTGAAACAAAACCCCATGACACAAGTTTACCTATATAACAAACCTGCACATGTACCCCTTAACTAAAAATAAAAGTTAAATTAAAAAAAAAAACAAAGAAAGTGCATGTCTGGAAAGAGCGTATGGTTGGGTTCCGTGTTTTTTTAAACCAAGTCACACAATCTCTGCCCTTCATTGGAGTGTTGATTCATATAGGTTTTTGTCATTATTGATATGATAAGTTTCACGTCTACCATGTTATTTTCCCGGTTTTTGTTTCTCTGTTCCTCTTGTCCTGATCAATGACTTTTTATTAGAAACCATAGAAACAAAAGAAAGTAGAATAACATCTTTAAAGTGCTGGAAGACAAAAAGATCAACTAAGAATTCTATATCCAGCATAGATGTCCTTCAAGGATAGGCAAATGAGATATTTCAGGTAAAAGAAAATTAAAAGAATTTGTCACCAGCAGATCTGTACAATTACAATTGGTAAAGAAAATTCTTCAGACTAGAGGCAAATGATACCAGGTGGAAAATGAGATTATCAAAAAAGATGAAGATGATCAAAAATGGTAAATATTGAGCTAAGTGCAAAAGGCTATCTTGCTCCCCTCATTTATTCTTACTTTATATACATAGAACTGTTTAAAGATAAGAAAAAGTTTTTTATCATGGGACTTACAACCTATATAGATATATTACATACAATATCTATACCATAAAAGATGGACATTTTATAGAGGATAAAAGGTTGCAATATTTCTATATTTATGGGCACTAGTACATTATTAACTGAAAGTAGTCTGTGAAATGTTAAGAATGAGTTAAGTTCTGAAGGAAATTGAGACACTAAAATCCATTCAAAAGATCCACAAATCTCGGAGATGGTTTTTTGAAAACAAATCCTAGCCAGTCTTGAGTCTCATCATCCTACGATTTCAGAACTATCGTGAATATAAAAGTAATCAAAGAACAGTCCTGCCCAGAAAGAGGAGTTATCCCTAAATATGGTGTCCCTGGGACAGCTGGCCCTCCCTGCTGGACCTCTTCCACATGGATGCTTTCTGCAGTGACTTTGTTGTCTTGCTCTTCCACTCTACCCAGTGTCCTGACCCAAGAGACAAGGGGCATCTGCTGCTGTGTCCACACTTGGAGAAGGAAATCTTGAAGGTGTCAGTACATTACAAGCTGGGCATGAACAGCTCACCCCTGTAATCCCAGCAATTCAGGACGCTAAGGCAAGAGGATTGCTTGAGATCAGGAGTTGGAGACCAGCTTGAACAACATTGTGAGAACCTCATCTCTAAAAGATATAAAAATAAGTAAACTTAGCTGGGCATGGTGGTGGGCACTTGTATTCCCAGGTATTGGGGAGGCTGGGATGGGAAGATCCCTTGGGCTTATGGATTCAAGTCTGTAGTGAGCTGTGATCGCATCACTGGACTCCAGCCCAGACCACAGAGTGGGATCTTGACTCAAAAAACAATAACAACAACAAACATTGTAAACCTTTGCTCACCATGGGTTATTTTATTTATTATTTATTCAATGTGTATTTTGATTTTATTTTACTGGCAGCACAATAAACCAGGACCTGCTGAAACTAGAAATCACATCCACTTTCCAGTGTTAAAAAGCCCAGTCCAAGCAGGTGAGAAGGAGACAGTCCTCATTAGCGCTGAGGATTCAGGGAGAATGAGATGGGCTGGGCAGGAAGGATTTTTTGTTTGTTTGTTTGTTTGTTTTCTATGAACAAGTGTAACTTTTTATTATGATAGAGTTGTTTTTATTAAAGGAATACATGAAAATTGTTAAGTAAAATCAAATGGCTCCAAAAGTCTTACAATGAAAACAACAGTCCTGCCAGTTGTTCTCTCGAGAGGCAAGCACTTTTCATTCTCTTAGTTTTTCCTCCTGGTAGTTACCTTCATAGGTTTTTCCAAATTATTATTTTTTTAGTTTTTCAAGTGGGTGCATATATTAATACATGTAATTTTAAAAAGGCTCTTCAGTTTATAACACACCCTAACAGTCTCCTGCCCCATCCCTCCTAATTCTCCAGAGCAATGACTTTTAACTCTTTTAGCAATGTCTTCTATTTTTTTCTCACATAACTACTTAGTCGTTTCTTGATTTTTTATACATTCTATAGTAATTTCTTGATATGACAGATGAGGATTTAGCTCTTACACCATCACTACCTTCACTTTTCCCCCCATATTGTCCCAAAGTAGTTACCAGATTTAGGGGCTAAGTAGTCACCACATCATTATGAGTATGTACATATTGCTCATTGTTGAGAAAAACAGAGTATTATGCTCTTGCTTCCTGTCTTGTGCTTCCTTCTGCCCTAGAATTAATGATTGCCTAACCACCCTTCTCCCTTGTTTTTTTTTTAACTTTTGCTTTATCTTCAATGAACTACTTTCCAAATGCCCCAAATCTGGCAATAACCTATTATTATTTTTAAGAGAAGGGAATCTTACTATGATGGCCAGGCTGGTCGGGAAATCTTGGGCTCAAGCCAACCTCTTGCTTAGCCTCCTGAGTAGCTGGAACTACAGGCATGGGCCATTCCACCCAGCTAACCTATTAATATTTTTACTGTTTCTTTTTAAAGCCAGCTCCATAGCTGGAATATTTCCTGAGTTGGATCCTATTTGCTGGATCCATGTCATTCTCTGGTTTGTCTACTCCTTCATTTTGCTGGAGTATTTTCTCCAATAGTTTCCCAACAAAAGATACATGGAGGTAACCCCTGAGTCTTTGCTTGCCTAAAAATGTATTATTTTACCTTCACCCTTGATTATTTGGCTGAATATAGATTTATTCGTTGAAAATAACTTTCTTTCTGGAATTCTGAAGGCATGGTTCCATTGTTTTCAGCTTCTTTTTCGAGACAAGGTCTCTTCTGTCACCCAGGCTGGAGTGCAGTGGCACAATCACAACTCACTGCAGCCTCGAACTCGCAGGCTCAATTGATCCTTCCATCTCAGCTCCCTGAGTAGATGGGACTACAGGTGTGCGCCACAATGCCCAGCTAACTTTTGTATTTTTTGTAGAGATGGGGCTTCACCATGTTGCCCAAGCTGATCTCAAGGTATCTGCCTGTCTCTGCCTCCCAAAATGCTGAGCCACTGTATTACAGGCATGAGCCACTGTGCCTGGCCAGTTTTTCTTTTATTCTCTCTCTACTTTCTTCATTTCTCAAAGGCATCTCAAACTCAGTGGGCCCAAATCCAGGGCAAACTCCATCAGAATATCCTGCTACTTCTGACTTTAAAATATATCTTAAATCACAGTTTCTTACTACATGCAACCCTTTGGTTCAAACTACCATCATCCCTCACTTGAACTTAGAATTGGTTTTCCTGCTTCTGTATTTTTTTAAAACATAAAATATTTCAAATAAACCATGTGTGGCTTTATACTTTTTACTACATAAAAAGAATAAAGATCTGGGGTGGCTCAAGCCTGTAATCCCAGCACTTTGGGAGGCCGAGGCGGGCGGATCACTTTAGGTCAGGAGTTCGAGACCAGCCTGACCAACATCGTGAAACCCCGTCTTCACCAAAAACACAAAATTAGCCGGGCGTCGTGGCATGTGCCTGTAGTCCCAGCTACATGGGAGCCTGAGGCAGGAGAATCATTTGAACCTGGGAAGTCAGAGGTTGCAGTGAGCTGAGGTTGCGCCATTGCACTCCGTCAGGGTAACAAGAGCGAAACTCTGTCAAAAAAAAAAAAAAAAAGATATGAAGAGCTTATATACTTAAACATGAAATTGCTTTAAGTGTTTGCCATTCACTGTTCACATGCATGCCAGCAGCTTCTTACTGCAAACACCTGGGACTTGCTATAGAGCAGCTGGAGTACATTCTGCCCACACACAGGACAGGGAGCTGACAACCAAGGAGTGGGGGATCAATATGCCAGCTTTCTCCCCTCCGTTTCCCTGTATCTCAGCAGTATGGAGTTTGTTACCAGTGAGAACCTGCTCACTGACTTTAAACTGGTTTTCTTACCTTCTCAGTTCCATTTCTCCGTACCTCAATTGATGATTTCTGGTAAGACCTAGAAAATAAACTGCTTTCACTGAAATTGCAGTCTTGGAACCTGCTTTGGGTTCCCCAAAAGACAGAAATATATTCATTTTCCCATCACTGGACTTCCAGGTTGTTTTCAATTTTTCACTGTTACAAACAAGGCTGCAACATTTGCGTGCAAACCTCTGGGTATACACGTAAGGAGCTTTCGGTATTTCCCACTAGTGAAACTTCTCAGTTGGAGGGTATGTGCATCTTCATCTTTAAGAAATACTACCAACATTTGAAAAGCCCGACAATGTCAAGGACTGGCAAGAGTCCCATATGCGATGGATGTGGAATGGCAGCTCACTGTAGCAGGTGCTGGGGATTCAGTCAGGGTCTTGGAGAGGCACTTAGTTATAGCAAGAATATTTCATAAGTGGTAATCTGATATAGTCAAGATTAGTGGGGAGTAAAAACATGTTGCTTAGAAATAATTATCCAAAGATCTAAAGTCAACAAAAGTCTTTTTTTCTAATGTAAAAATATAAACTTTTTATCAGAGGGAGGGGGAACAACTTAAAATAAACCAGAAAACGCCTTCATATTAATCATTCTTCTCATATACTTGAAATTTGTACTTAATACATCCGAGAGAATGCCTGGATATTCTGGCAGAATTTTATATTTCTCCAAATCAATTTCTGGAAAAAACGTGTCACTTTCAAAGTCCTGCATGATCCTTGTCACAAATAGTTTAAGATGGCCTGGGCGACTCATGGCTTCCTTATAAACAGAACTGCCACCAACTATCCAAATCATGTCTACTCTATTTGCTAATTCTGGTTGTTAAGTAAGTTTTAAGATCTCATCCAGACTTCTGGCAAGAAAATGAGCTCGTTGTGGAGGTTCCTTGAGTTCTCTGCTGAGAACTAAATTAATTCTATCCTTTGAAGGTCGATTCTTCCCAGGAATGGAGAACCAGGTCTTCCTACACAAAATCACCAGATTCTGTTTACCTTCTACTGAAGAGATTGTGTCATTCTCTGGAAATACCTAAATTCATTCCTGAGCGGCGGCCAGGGCAGGTCCCCGTTCTTGCCGATGCCCATGTTCTGAGACACAGCGACGATGCAGTTTAGCAAACGAACCATGACAGCAGCGGTGAGCTCCTCCAAGCCCGCTCGCTACACCAGGACGCGCGGCCAAGATTGGCCGGAAGGTTTTTACTTGGAAACTGGAGGATGAGCCATGACATCCCTCTCTCCACTTCAAAGCTCGTCCTGGGCATCCACCTCCTGGGAGCAGAAGCAGCGCAGCAGCGCCACCTGGTGGTCGATGCGCTTCCTTTGCAGCTCACGCACAGCCCTGAGATCCACCTCTCCTTCCTACGCACCACGCATTTCTTCACTGGACACCAGCCCGCGTCAATCTTCCTGTAAAGCAAAAGAAGCGTGAGGTTGGTAGGGGATGAATGGTGTTACCTCCACCTTTGGCGAGATCCATGTCACCGTGTTCAGGGGAAGGGCCAGGCCTTACTCCCCATGCAGAGAGGAGGCTTTGGCCGTGAAGGCGCCTGTGGAGAGGTGAGGACCCGCTCCCTCTACACTGATGGCCAAGAGCCTGCAGATGGCGGGGAAGGCTTCCCTTCAGCTGTGTCCTATCAGGTTCTTCCAGGAGTCCAGGAGTAGACCCGCATGTTGCCTCTGGTGCTGTGAGCTGCATGCACACCTAGAAGTGAGGTCACCCCTTCTGGGGGTCCTGGGGCTGCTGGTTGTCCTGGGTGCTCAGAGGGAAGATGGGGAGGGGGCTTCGTGCAAAACAGTAACCATACTCTATAAATTATTTTTTCATTAGCCTTTGTGTCATAAAATAAAATCTGGGACTCCAAAAGGAAAAAAAAGAAGGTCTAAAATTTGTGTCCTTTAATAAAAAGTAAACACCCATTAACCACCAAGGATAGACGTTTGCGGAGCAAACCAGAAGCCCCATCATTTGCCCCAGCTCAGCAATAAACTCTTTCCTCCCCCAAATAAAAATACATCTTGACTTTTACGATCATAACTTCTTTGTTCTATTTTATATTTTTATCATCCAAAACTATGATTTAGTTTTACCTTTAGAAATATGCTTTTGTTCTCTTTTATTCTATAGATTCTTTCTTGAAATTTATATTGTGTGGTAGAGCTTCCCATAGTGTGCATTTTGCTGATTGCTCCCCAAGCCATTGTTTGAATATGTGTTTTTATTATCTGTATTGCCTCTAAATTGGTAATTGGCTATGGTGGTTAGCTTCTATTCAGGCTTGATTTCTTTCTCACTTGTATTTGTTTGATGGTGCTGTATTGTGTTCTTCCATCAAGAGGAAGAACCTCACATTAGTTTTTTTTTATTGTGTTGTTAATCGCCATTGATGTTCAATGGTTAAATCTGTTAATTCTTGATGGGTTGCAAAAGAGTTATTATAGTCTCAGTCTCTCATTCCTTCCTCATTTATTATCTGAATAATTTCTAAGTAAGAGATTCACCCTCCTGTACTGTTTGTTTACTACTAGAAACTTGCTTTTTGAGAGACTAAGCCAAGCATCTACTCACCTATGACCCAGCAATAGCAGTCTTAGTTATCAACCAATAGAAATGCATGTATGTGTGTGCCAAAATATATGAAAATATTATTCATAGCATCACGATTTGTAAAATCTGTATATAACACAATTGTCTATCAACAGCAAAGGGACAAGAAATGTGAGCTATTTATAAAGTGGAGCATTGGACAGCCATGGGAGTGAATAGGCTATGACCACACACAGCAGGATGATGAGACCCAGGGGCATGATGGTGACTGTATAATGCCATTCAACTGGAACTGGCAGAACTTATCTGTGTTAGAAATCAGGAATGGCTACTCTAGGGTGTGGGAGGGTGGTTTGTGACTGAGTAAGATCCAGTGATGTTTCTGGGAGGCTGTGATTGGTGTACTTTGATGTGGGTGTTGTTTACCTGAGTGTTCACTATGTGAAACTCCACTGCCCACTTGTGGATTGTCCTCCTTTCTCCACGCATGCTGTCCTTCACTCAAATATACTTTGCTGATGTTTTGAAGCAATTCTATCTACGCTAAGAAGAATCGCTCCTACTGCACATCCTTGGAAATGCTGGATTGAAAAAATTAGTGCAATTGTTTTTAATTCCAGGAAACAAATACATATAAAGAGGAAAATCTACAACAAGAGCAGTAGGTTTGGGAGCTGACACCAGAACAGCTTTGGAAATGGCTCTCGAGCCAGGAACTGGGGATCAAACCCAAACAAACCCATAGGGGGTGGGGGGTGTGAAATGATGTCCAATAGTGCATGAATGAACGAGTCATGGGCAGTGGCTCATGGCTTGGCTGGCCAGTCACAAACTTGAGGAAAATAGAGTTGGAAAACTGGGAGGTAGAGGAGAGAGGTACGCATAGACCTCTTGCTATAGGCTGAGTGTGTGAGGATAGTGGTTGTGTGTGGATGCCTACCAGAGGGTCTTTAAGGGGATGGGGCTCCCTGTAACCAGGTGGGTGAGATGGCTTGATGGACGATGCCACTCAGCCACACAGGCGTTGCTCATGGAGTCCCTGCACAAAGTGGCCACGGTGGCTGCGATGGACACTGCAAGGGCACAGCAATTGCGTCGCCACTCACCAAGGCTGAGCTGACAGCTGCCACTGCTGAGGGCCCAGCCCACCAAAAGCAGCTGTTTCTTTGACGGAGAAATAAAACAGGCAATGGTAATTAAGAATAAAATAACATTATGATAGATAAATATGCCACTAAAGATATAGTAGAGGTTTAAATAATTTTGAGACTATGAACAAGATTATGGCAATGGGGAGAACTTACTACAAGTAAAGAAGTTAAAACAGTTGTAAAACTTTATTTCTGTTCAGGCATATCCAGACTGTTTTACACATAAGTTCTACCAAAACTTTGAAGAAGGTTACTGAACTTATACGTAATATTCAAGAGAATGAGGAAACATAGAGAAAGCCAGTAAACTCATTATTGTTTATGTATAAATAACATTGATTCTAAAGCCAGCTAGGGAATACATAAGAGAAAAGCATGATAAGATAATCACTTCTAAGCAATTAGAGGTAAAAATACTGAGAAAAATAGTACTAGATTGTGTCCACCAGTGAACTATAAATAAATTAAATATCCTGCCCAGGTTATTCATCCCCAGAATACAAGAATATTTAAACTTTAAATCTGTAATGCATTTTACCACTTAATTAAAGAATAAAAGACAGAGATAATGACGTTTTATTAGATGCAGAAATTACTGCAGATGAAACTCAACACTCCATCTCACCCACGTTTCTTCAGTTATCTCCACTTCTAAGAACTTGTGATCAGTACTCGCTTTGGCAGCACATATATTAAAATAGGAATGATACAGAGAAGATCAGCACGGCCCCTGCACAAGGGTGACATGCAAATTCATGAAGCATTCCATATTTTTAAACTCTCAATAAACTAGGTATTGAAGGAACATACCTCAAAATAATAAAAGTCATCTATGACAAACCCACAACCAGTATCATACTGAATGCGCAAAAGCTGGAAGCATTCCCCTTTAACACCAGCACAAGGCAAGGTTGCCCTCTCTCACCATTCCTGTTCAACACAGTATTGGAAGTTCTGGCCAGGACAATCAGGTAAGAGAAAGAAAGGATATTCAAATAGGAAGAGAGGAAGTCAAATTGTCTTTGTTTGCAAGTGACATGATCCTATATCTAGAAAACCCCATTGTTTCGGCTGAAAAGCTTCTTAAGCTGAAAAGCAACTTCAGTTAAGTCTCAGGATACAAAATCAGTGTGCAGAAGCCACAAGCATTCCTATACACCAACAATAGACAAGCAGAGAGTCAAATCGTGAATAAACTTCTATTCACAATTGCTACAAACAGAATAAGATGCCTAGGAATACAGCTCACAAGGGAATTGAAGGATCTCTTCAAGGAGAACTACAAACCGCTTCTTAAGTAACTCAGAGAGGACACAGACAAATGGAAAAACACTCCATGCTCAGTGATAGAAAGAATCAATATTGTGAAAATGGTCATACTGCCCGAAGTAATTTATAGATTCAATGCTATTCTCATTCAACTACCATTGACATTTCTCACAGAATTAGAAGAAACTATTTTAAAATTCATATAGATGATTGACATTAAAGGTAAAATTAAAATTAATATATAAAATAAAACTCAAAATTTTCAAGCCATTTGGAGCTTGTCTTGAGCTAATGAGATTAAGCTCATGTCCTCAAGAAAAATGTTTTACTCTGCTGTTTTTAAGTGTGCTTCTATAGAAAGAGTTTGAGAATCATTGATATGGATTATAGAAAATCAGGCTTCATTTAAAAATAAATGTATTTAATCCTAAAAATAGCTTTACTTAAAATGTTTATTGTTGCAGACAAGAAATCTATCTTATTTGAAAAATCAGAAATTGGACATGTCAGTGATTATAGGTTTTTTTTTTTAAATCTGAACATGAAAAAGTTTTCCCCAGTTTTAAGATAATTTACCATGCTATTCAAGTCAGCCTAAAATTTTAAAAAGCTACTACATAATAAGGTAGGGGTTGAAAAAAGAAATATTTCAGATTCAGAGAATTGTCTTTTTTTAGTACTAACTAAAACATTTAAAAAACTACATTTAATGATGTCATTCTAAATTGGCTCAGTAATATTAAATGAGGAATTTATGTTCCAGCAAACAGTGGATGAATGTGTCTATGGACAGCATTGTTTCAAAATGTTTTTACAAATATATCATTGAAGTTCTTGCTATTTTATTCAATTTCAGCCACTATTCTTTCTAGTTGATTTTTTTGTCAATCTTAAATTTTCAAAAGAAAGATTGTTTTCAAATTATTTTATATTTAATGAATAAAGTTATACATTACTGATTATTTAAATTGAAAAAAAAATTAAAATAAAAATAAAATTCATATAGAACCAAAAAGAACTTGTATAGCCAAGACAATCCTAAGCAGAAAGACCAAAGCTGGAGGCATCATGCTACTTGACTTCAAACTATACTACAAGGCTACAGTAACCAAAACAGCATGGTACTGATACAAAAACAGACACATAGACCAATGGAATAGAACAGAGAACTCAGAAATAAGACCACACATCTACAACTATGAGACTTCAGTGAACACATACAATAAAGAATACAGTCTATACAAAAATAGTTTAGAAAATGTAATTTTCACAGTTACCACATTATAATATTGAAAATGTCTAGTTTTCAACTTCAAAAAACATGAGTTATGCATGTATGAAAGTATGACTCATTCACAGGAAAAGCAATAGAAAGAAATTGTTCCTGAAGAACAATGGACTGACTTACTAGACAAAGACTTTGAATCAACTGTCTTAAACATAGTCAAAGAGCTAAAGGAAACCATGGACAAATAACTAAAGAAAATCAGGAGGACTATGTTTCACTAAATAGCAGAAATCAATAAATAATTGTGAAAAGGAAGCAAATGGAAATCTGGAGCTGAAATGTACGGGAAGCAAAATGGAAAATTGACTGGAGGGCTTCAAGAGCAGATTTTAGTTTGCAGAATGAAGAATCAGTAAACGCAAACATGGGCCAATTGAAATTGCCCATTTGAGGAGCAGAAGGGAAAAAGTATGAAGAAAAAAGAACAAAAGAGATCTAAGAGACAACATCAAGTATATGCATTTTGGGAGTTCCCAAAAGAGAGAAGGAAGAAGGGGGGAGAAAGAGTATTTGAAGAAATAATGACCCCAAACTTCCGAAATTTTTTTGAAAACATGAATCTGGGTATCCAAAACACTCAAACATTTAAAGTAGCAGTAATTCAAAGATGTCCACACTGACAGACATTATATTGAAACTGTTGAAAGTCAAAGACAAACAGAGCATCTTGAAAACAACAAGAGAAGGGACTCATTGAGTGCAAGGATCCTCCATGAGATTAACTGCCAAGTGTTCTTCAGAAACCATGGAGTTCAGAAGACATTGGCATGACAAACTTAAAGTTCAGAAAGAAAAAAAAAACCTGTCTCAACTGACAGTTTCATATTTGGCAAAACTCTTCATGAGAAATAATGGAGAAATTCAGACATGCACAGGTAAATAAAAGCTGATGGCATTCGTGTCTGGTAAACCTATTCTACAATTAATGCTAAAAGGAGTGCTTCACACTGAAATAAAAGGACATTAGATGGCAACTTGAAGTCATATGAAGCAAAGAAGTACACAGCTAAAAGTAACTTCATAGGTAAATAGAAAAGCAAGTATTTTTTGGGGGGTGGTAATTTGTAACTCCTCTTTTGTTTTCTCTATTTAATTTAAAAGAAAATGCCCATCAACCAATGAATGGATAAACAACATGTAATCTATTCTGCAATGGAATATTATTTGACCACAAAAGGAATAATGTACTGATACATGCTAAAACTTGGATGAACCTTGAAAACATGTCAAATGAAAGAAGCCAGTCACAAAAGGCCATATATTGTATGACTCCATTTTAATAAAATATTCAGAAGAAGAAAATCTAGAGAGACAGAAACTGGGTTAATGGTGCCAGGGGCTGGTGGCAGGGGAGAGTGGAAGGTGACTGCTTAACGGGTACAGAGTTTCCTTCTAGGGTGGTGAAAATGCTCTGGAACTTGATAGTGATGATGGCTGCATAACGTTGTGCACCTACTAAATGTTACTGCTTTGTACACTTAAATGGTCACAATGGCAAATTTTGTGTTTACGTGCATTTTATCACAACTAAAAAGAGGCTGGCAAATATCTTCCAAGTTTGCTTGGGAATCTGCCCATCTGTCTTTTCTCCTCAGGATTTCATCTCTTATTCAGAGCTCACCCTTGCTCTTCTGCAAGTAGAAAGCCTCCTTTCATGCAGGGACCAGCCCCACAGGGTCGGTGGGTCTCTCCCTGTGTGCGGCGATGAGAGAGTGTAGAAATAAAGACACAAGACAAAGAGATAAAAGAAAAGACAGCTGGGCCAGGGGACCACTACCACAAACGCGCGGAGACCAATAGTGGCCCCGAATGTCTGGCTGCTCTGTTATTTATTGGATACAAAGCAAAAGGGGCAGGGTAAAGAGTGTGAGTAATCTCCAGTGATAGGTAAGGTCACATGGGTCATGTGTCCACTGGACAGGGGGCCCTTCCCGGCCTGGCAGCCAAGGCAGAGAGAGAGAGGAGACAAAGAGAAAGATGGCTTACGCCATTATTTCTGCATATCAGAGACTTTTAGTACTTTCACTAATTGACTACTGCTATCTAGAAGGCAGAGCCAGGTGTACAGGATGGAACATGAAGGCAGACTAGGAGCGTGACCACTGAAGCACAGCATCACAGGGAGACGGTTAGGCCTCCGGATAGCTGCAGGCAAGCCTGACTGATGTCAGGCCCTCCACAAGAGGTGGAGGAGCAGAGTCTTCTCTAAACTCTAAGTGTGCTAAGTAGTGGGTGTTTTTCCTTGACACTTTTCACTACCACTAGACCATGGTCTGCCTGGCAACGGGCGTCTTCCCAGATGCTGGCGTCACCGCTAGACCAAGGATCCCTCTGGTGGCCCTGTCTGGGCATAACAGAAGGCTCGCACTCTTGTCTTCTGGTCACAACTCACTATGTCCCCTCATCTCCTATCGCTGTATGGCCTGGTTTTTCTTAGGTTATGATTATAGAGTGAGGATTATTATAATATTGGAATAAAGAGTAATTGCTACCAACTAATGATTAATGATATTCATATATAATCATATCTAAGATCTATATCTGGTACAACTATTCTTGTTTTATATTTTATTATACTGGAACAGCTCGTGTCCTCAGTCTCTTGCCTCGGCACCTGGGTGGCTTGCCGCCCACACTTTCAGAACACGGTCCAAGATCAGCCAGGTCCAAACCCCAAAATGACTTTCTGTCTTGCTTCCAAATGCTCAGATGCAACTCTGGGGCTAACTTCAGGGGAAGTTAGGAGATTATCCAAATAAGATGGTTCACTGGGAGAAAGAATGTTTGGCTTTAATGTTAGGGAAGTTATGTTTGCATTTCTAAAAAGGATCCTGCTCACCAGTGAATATATGGTTTTTGTCTGTGCAGGATGGAGTTCTCAGCAGAGGAATGAAAGACAGCCCTAGGAACATGATACACCTCATGGGTAGCTGACTGACCCACCCATCTACCACCCCCAGCTGAAGGAAGCAGCTAGACTGTACCCTTCACCCATCCTTCAGTTGTATTCCACTGGACGTGGACCCTCTACAAGTGTGGACATTCCTGGATCTCAGTTGCTCTTCCTGCTGTTGAGGAGTCTCCACTGGTGTGGCTCATGCCTAGATGGGCTCTGCAGGAGGCTTAGTGTCTCCCAGTTCTCAAGGCTAATATTCAGTGAACCCAGACCAAGCCTCAAAGTACACAGGGGCTCAGATTTTCATCTATGAAATGGAAGAATCCATCTCCCTCTTTCAGGTGTTGTGGTAATTATATATATATATGTAGACACACACATTTATACATGAACACATACATGACAATCCGTAATCTATATATTGATGGTGTTCTTAGTGTTGCCTTTATTGCTCAGCTGAACTCTATAACCAAAAATTGGATCATGGATTGTGAAGGAAGAACTCATTTCTTTTCTCTGGTTGAGCACTCGGTAGACATTTCTGCCCTTTGGGTTCAAATGAGAAAGTAGCTTTAGCCTGAGGGAGAAAGAAGATTATGACTATTATTAGTATTATAATAGAGATAAGGTCTTGCTATGTTGCCCAGGCTGGAGTGCAGTGACTATTCACAGCTGTGATCATAGTGGACTACGTCCTTGAACTTCTGGGCTCCAGCAATGTTCCAGCCTCGGCCTCCTGAGTAGCTGGGACTACAGGTGCATGCCACCATGTCTGGCCTCATTTCATTGTTATTTTACTTCAAATGCTTTATTTTAAATGTTAAAATATATGTTTTTATATTCAAAAGTGAAACCCTATTTGATCACAGAAGACGTTAAAATGCACAGACAGTTAGAAACATCACCTAGGCCTTTCTTTAAAAAATCACTGCTATTACATTGTTGAACCTTTGTAGACTGCAGTGCAAATGGTGGTCCCTGGAGCTGTCTTGTGCAGTGGTGCTGATTTTCATTTCGTTATTTTCTATATATGTATTTTTATATATGCTGTCATTTTACAAAGTTGCATTCATATGTTAAGGGTTATCTTGGATGTTGCTTTTGGAATGTATTATTATACAAGTAGTTTTCCGTGTTATAAGCTCTGCATAAAGTTTATACACTTTTACAAGCCATATCCCATTTCAGATAAGAAGATGTAACCCAACTTCTTTTTTTGGATCCGTCTGCCTTCATTTCGTCTTGTTGTAAATAATGTTTTGACAAGCATCTTTATATAGAAAGATTCTTCTGTTTGGAATTTTAGAAAATTCATAGAATACTCAAGTGATAAACATTAGGACACAGACTTTTAAACATTTTTAATTATTTTCATCACATTGTCACATTGGTTCTCTAAATCGTCATACTGACATATTCCACCTCACCTTTCAGGACATGCTAGGACTCAAGGCTATTTACGCATCTGGAATCACAGAGGGGTGTTGGGGGTGAATGTTGAGTGGAATCACAGGGTCTTGAGGGCAACTCCCTCAGAGAAGACCATTACCTTTTCGTTAGGGAAAGCTGGATTAACCTCGCCAAATGTGGTTGAATGAAACTGGCAAATAATTCTCAGAGGAATTTAGGAGTTCAGTGTCTTTAGCTTCATCAGGATCTGCCCAGATGTCCCCATTCTGATTTTCAGTATCGCATTTATTCCCAATCAATGCCTTCACTTAAATAACAGATATTCTTTAAGTTTGGGATTTGTTTTGTGTTGTAATTTAGCTACGCACAGAATGAGACGCTGCATTTATTTTTCAGAAATTTCAGCCCTGCAGCTACAGGAGATTAGGATTTCATTCAAAGGAAACATAGAAACTTTTAGGTGATTTATGTGACTCATGAGCTGGAAGTTTGCAGCCCTGAGTTCATCTTTTTCTTTCCCCATTTTGTCCAGCACAATTGGCAAAAATTAGCTAATCACCTTACAATAGCTAGTTTAACAAAGTCTTCTAAGGTCTCAAATACATAGTCACCCAGATCTTATAAGTATTTGATTAGGTCTATCCAATGGTGATATTCTGAGTATTCACACTCTCTGTACTAATGGAAATAGAGTCATTTGTGCCTTTAAATCCAAATAGATTAGAGAAACAATTCAAGAAACCACCCCCCCCACCACCAAATTCAGTGCATTCATTCTTAAAATTCTGTTCCAGTGTCCCTATGCCCCAGTAAGCTAGGCTGGGCATGGTCTGAGGCTTGGTGGGCCAAGGACAGCTGGCTCAGCTGGGGTGCACTATGCACTGGTGGGTCAGCAGCCCAGAATGGTGCTGGATTTATGGGCACCAAGCCTATTCGGGAGTTGCACACACTGAGTCGGGTTCCAGTGGCCCCTAGGCTTCTAAGGGGCACTCTCCTCCTGCTAGTGCCAAGCTAAGCTGTGGGGAGCAGCATGCCTCTGCATGCTGCCTGACAAACTGCAGCCCCAGCCCCTGCCACAGACACCCTGGCCTGTACCCTAGTGCTTTGTATGGCTGTGGCTGTTCAGCCGCTACTTCTGATCCCCTAGGACTGGGAGCAGCCTGCCTGGGGGAGACCATCAGGATGTCTATGGAAGGCTGCTTCATGCTACAAGGGCAGAGTTAAGTCTTTGGTATAGAGACTGGTTGGCAAAGTTGAAAATGTTGCCCCAGGTCCTTTTGGGGATTATTTACCAGCCCCTGGTTTGAGTGTTGTCTGGCAGGACCCAGGCTCTGAGCTGATCCTCCCTCACTCAAGGCCTGCTGCAGCCTCCCGCTGAGGTCTTGAAACCATCAGGAGCAGTTGTTCTTTGGCCTCCGGGACACCGCAGGGCTGAGTTGCTCCCTGCCTGGAGGTGGTCCCATGGGGCCCACTGTCTGGGTCAAGGATGGTGCAGAGCTGGTGTCCTCAAAATGCATCCTGGTGGAGCCCCAGCAGCTGCAGGTGCTGACTGCCTCTCACGAGGACCCTGGGGGCCTGCAGCTGCAGCGACTCACCCAGCATGAGCGGTGCCACTCAGTGTGCACATGACAGATGCTCCATCCTCAGGAGATGACAAAGACGTGGAGGACAAGGCTGAAGACACAAGTGCATAATCTCCTACTCACCTCATCTGGCACATTAGAAACCTGTCCTCGGCTCATGCACAAATCCACCTTTGGGTGGCCAAAGGCTCCAGCTTACTACAGAGGCCATGTGTACTCTGTGTAATCAACACACCCCACCTTCTTCCCACCTCCAGTCATCTCACTGTATCTGACATGATGCCAGCAGATTGTCTCAGCTCAAATTCCAGCTCCATTACTTACTGCTGTGTGACCTTGACCAAGTCACTTAACCTCTCTGTGCTTCACGAGCTTCCATTGTAAATGCGTGTGTTTACATATGCCAAGTACCCAGAAAGATGCCTGGAACATGGCAACACCCACCACAGAAGTAGTAGCTGCAATTATTGCCTCATTAAAACAGTGGAGATGTCACCCATCAGGGCTAGAGAGAATTTGGGAAATCCTGATCTGCTTCTGGTTTCAGGTGGGGAAACCTGTAGGACCAGCAGGAACACGGCTGCCTCAGTGCAGCTGGCACAGGGCACTGCCAGCCCAGAGCAACTCAGAGCTCAGAACACTCTGGGGTCCGAAGTCCGAACTGCTGGGGCTCAACTGTGGCGTCAGTTATGGAATGTGGACCCCTCCCTAGGGAGTCTCCCGGGCTCAAAGTCTTCCCTCAACTCCAGAAATTCAAACCCAACACTGACCTCACGGAGAAGTTCTGAAGGTTAAGGAGGAGACACGTGAAAAGTGCCTGGTGGACACCAGGGATGCCAGTGAGATGGGGGACAATGGTGAGGCAGAGTGGAGGGGCAGGTGCCCCCTCCTCAGTATGTCTCCCCCAGGTACTGTGAGGACAGGTGGAGGCTGTCTCCAGGCTCTCACCCGGCCACACACCAGCACGTCTCCAGGTTCCTCTCAGCCCCGGTTACCCCCAGCCCTGCAGTTAATCCCTGAGCTGGGAAGGAGCCCTTGAATCCACCCTGTCCTGTGTCACAGTGTCGTCCACTTGGGCTCACATTGCCACTAGGCCACTTGGCAGCCAAGGGATGGAGCCACATTTTGTACTTTCTGAAACATGGCTTCACCTTCAAGTGCGGGTGATGACAGTGCCACACAGAACAAATGTTACTGTCTATCCTCATCGACCATAATTTTCCAGTTTTCCAACCCTCAGTGAGCAAGGAAGAGCATGGCTTCCACCAAAGGGCGTGAGGTCAGCAGTCTTAGGGGCAACCAACAGGCAAAGACCCCTGAAAATAGACCCCGCAGGGAAGCACAGGTATTCACTGAGGGTGGGAACCCTACAGATCTGGCCTTCTTCAAGCACATCAGAGAGATTGCCATGAGGAGCAACTTAGCCAGAAAGACTTATTTGCCTCCTCAAAAAGCGTAAAATTATGTAACATAATACTTTAAAAATTTCTATCAACACAAAACTAATCTGGGTGCAGTGGCTTCCGGTGAGCCACTGGGACAGACGGCATCGTCAGGAAGGCTGGCTCTGTGGTGCCTCAACCTGCCAGAGCCCAGGATGGTGGTGGCCTCCCCAGAAGCACCTGGCAACTCACCTGCACAGGGCCAGGGTCCCAGCTCCCCACACCCCAGCCACCACACCTTCTTCTGCTTTTTTTTTTCCATTGTTTCTTTCTTTCTTTCTTTCTTTCTTTTTTTTTTTTTTTGGTCAAATCTCAAGGAGAAATACATAGTTGCCAGAGGGTGGAAGGTCCTGTTCATTCACATTGAAAAGCTCGGGTATTTCTATTAGAATCACATGTTTTACTTTAGGATGCCGACTCCTGTGTCCATCTCAGCCTGGGCATTGTGCTGCCACCTTCCAGAAGAGAAAAACTAGGTAGTGCCTTGTGAAGGGGCAGCGTTTCTCATTTCCAACAACGTCAGTCCCACAGCCACCCAGATGAGTAGATGGGGGACACAGGGGAGGACCCAGACCTGCTCTCCTCCCACAGCACATTCTTGAGTCTTGGAAAGAGTTGTGAAAATGCCACAGGTACAAACACCTGCAGGCCACTCCCACAGGGACAACTCCGTGAGGCGGTGCCACTCATTCCCACAACCTCCTGCCACAGGCAACACTTAACACTTAGACAGTGACCCAAGGCCGACCAGGGAGGACGCCAGCCAGGATGTGTCATCCTCAGCTCTTCAGGACATGATGCCAGCAGGGGCAAAGTTATCCCTAGCAACAAGACAGAGGAAGAAAGGAAAGCAGAAGAAAGGACAATGTCACAGTAGCCCCCATGACCAACAGAGACGGTTCCAGAAGTGCAGGACAACTCCATATGCAGATGCTGTTGCTGTGCGATTACACTCCAAGAGGGGAGTCCAGCTGGCTCTCAGGGTGCTCGCTGCCCTCAGCTGGGGGCCTGCAGGACATCAAGTCCTGAGAATGCCAGGTTCTAGTGGAGTAGGATGAACTGACAGATACACAGCAAAGCTCCACATACTTTTCCTTTTCTTTGTGCCTGCAAAGTTCTTCTTCAGTGTCTCTCTCTTTTCAGCTACTACTGCTGGTTGGTTTAAAAAAACAGGACAATAGTAAAAATTAGAGACAAGTGTTTGGCCATAAAGAGAAACACTGGCTACCTCCCGTATTTTCAAGCGTGGGTGATGGTTGTAGTTTTCCAGCTCACCTTGTAGGGGATGAATCCAGAAAAAGCTTCTGTTACAAATCAAAATGGACATGCCAGAAGTATTAGCTCAAATCAACCTTGTCCTGTCTAACCACTTAGTGACCCAAAATACCACTTGGACTATTAATCTCAGGAGCCAGAGAATGGAGCTGGAGAAGGAGTTGTTAGATCAGGGACAAATAACCATGTTATAGTGGCAATAGGAAATGGAAGACCATTTGCTCATAACCACTGAATCACAGCAAGGTGTATAAACACACATCATTGACTGATAGTTTCAGTTCTATGCCCAAGAAAATCATCGATGGAGTGAAGTAATTGAACTATCACAGAAGATACATTTGTATTTTTTCTTTTTTCAACTTTTAGTTTCAGGGGGTGTGTATATATATAATATTTGTGTATATAAAATAATATATATATATTATTAAAGAAAGCCTTTGTACAGTTTGCTGGAGCCACAGAAGCACCGCTCCAGAGCAGAGCAATGCCTTAAATCTTCAGTGTTCATTTGTAGAACATTCACTAACAGCTACAAAAGTGACTTAATTTTCTTCTGGAAATAATGCTTGCCTGTTGTGAGATGTTGGAATATATATGAACCATCATTACATGTTAACATTCCATAAGGAGTTTTTGATACCTGATTCACATTATTAGAGTTGCTTCTTAGTATCCATGTGAATTTTCACTCCAAAACACAAGCCAGAAACTTGAGTGAAGGACACCTAGGGCAAATGGTGGCTGAAAGTGAGGAAGATCCAAATTACTGTTGCTTGTACTGTATTAGGAAAAGAAAACAATTCTTCTCTTCTTTGCCAATTAAATTCTTAATTGCTAATTTATAATTATGCTTATATACATTTCAACATTTTAATAAAGTATTTTTTATGGTTAGCTATAAAATTTTTAAAAAGATTCTGTTCCTCTAGAACCACTCTTCGTACCACAGTCTCTATCAGTCCAGATTCTTCAGAGAAGCAGAATCAATAGGGGGTGTGTGTGTGTGTATTTGTATTTGTATTCATATTATGATATTTATTCATGTGATTATTAGGGCGGTAAGTATGAAAATCTGCAGGATAAGCTAGCAGGCTGAAAACGCAGAAAGAAGATGTTCTAATTCTGAGGCAGGATTTCTTCTTCTCTGGGAAACCTCAGTTTCTGCTCTCAGAGTCTTCTACTGATCGGGTGAAGCCCATCCACATTATTGATGGTAATTTTCTTTTTGTAAAGTCAGCTAATTCAGCATGGGGAAGGGGGTCATGGTAGACATGGGGGAGGGCTGGTCTCTCCACCTTCTCACATTAGGCTAACAGGGACGCAGACACATTCAGATGCCTTTGCAGAAAGAGACACCAGAGGCTCTTGAAGTCACAAAGGGGAGGCGTGAAGAAATCCTGCATCTCAGTCCCTCACAAGACAGCTGCCTCAGGCTACAGAAAACAATAGTCATGAACAAATTCAGGTCAGTGGCCATAAAGCGTAACACTCTGAACTCCTCACTACACACTCAAAGTGTCCCAAAGAATCACCGTAATCCAGTCTTGTCCCCTGTACCCCATCCCCCTTCCACATAAGGCCCTCCAGGACGCCACCTTTACAAGCTGTGAGAGACACATCACAGCCCTGGTCACTGTCACTGCCTGGGGTAGAACAAAAACAGGACCTGGTCAGAGCCTGCAGGAGATGTGGGAGAGGAGGAATTATGGCATAGGTGAGCTCCTCCACATCCGTCTCCCATAGTTACACACAGCCTGAGCACCTCCTTCTCTGCCTCTGGGAAGAAATCATCCTGTGAGGGGCTAGGGAGGAGACAGGGCCATGAGGTCCTAGAGGAACCCCCTAGTCTTGGACCCCAGAGAAGTTTCCAAAACTGTGACTGCAGACCCAGGGCAGGAAACATGAGGAAAGCAGGTGTGAGGACTGAACCAACTGCACGGTATGTAAAGACATACTTTGTACATAGTAGATACAAAGTTAGCTTTGGTCTTTGGTGAATTCATGAATATGATTGTACTAAAATGTAATTGCATTGCATAAGAATTATAAAATGAAGAATACCAAAAAATTAGGAAAGATTTTATCTTATACAAGGAGTGTACATTTCAATTCACTAGTTTATTCCAATAGAGAAAATGTTATATGCTTATCTGTTGGCCTATGTATGAATTTTCTGTTACTGCATAACATATTACCACTAACTCACTGGCTCTACACAGCACCCATTTATTTCTCTACATTTCCTTAATGAGAAATCCAGGCCTGGTGTGAATGATTCTCAGTTCAGGATTTCACGAAGCTGTGTCCTCATCTTGAGGCTGGGGTCCTCCTTCAAGCTTATACAGAGCTTGGTGGCAGAATTCAGTTTCAGGCAGTTGTGAGATTGTAGTCCTTGTTCCTGGGCAGCTGTCAGGTGGAGGTGGGGTGGAGCTGCTCTCAATTCCTGGAGCCCGCCATATCCTTTGCCACATGGCCCCTTCATTTTCAAAGCTCACAGCGGAGGAAGCCCCTCACGTTGAATCTCGCTCACACTGTGAATCTCTTTGCTGAAGAAGAAATAAGTTGTTTTAAGAGCTCACCTGATTAGGACAGTCCAAGGCAGGATAATCATGGCCTTAAAGTCAACTGATTTGGGACCTTGCTTATATCTGCAGAATCCCTTCACAGCGGCACCTACAGTAGTGTTGATTGAGTAACTGGGGAAGGTGAATCACCAGGGGTGGTTATGTGGAGGCCATCACTGAATCATCCTCCCATAGCCAGGATCTTCCTTTTGTGTTTAATTGGGTCGTAGTAGGAAACTGAAGTTCAAATAAATAGGTTGTTGTGAATGTTAATAAAATACATCCTATTGATACATGGAAATACTGAAATCTTAAAACCAAATAACATTGAATATCTTTTAGTTAATTTAGAGTAAATAAAAATTAAAGTGTAGTAATTCATTCTCTCTTTTGAAGCGCTATTGTCTATTGTTGTATAATAAATAACATAAAGTTTGACAACCCAAAACAACAAATACTTATCATCTCCCACAGTTTCCAGTGGTCAGGAATCTGGGAGAGATTTCCTTGAGTGCTTCTGGCTCAGGGCCTCTCACAAGGTTTATTGGGGGACACACCTGTCAGAGAATATGGGGAGGGAGCCAGAGAACCCTGGGAAAAGTGGCACATCCAGAGGCAAGGCCGACTCCAGTCCTGGACAAAAGGAAAGAAGGGTTGTTGGACGCATCCTAGACCACAGGCAATCTAAGCAGAGTTGAGCAAGGCCATGGAGGAGTCCTCCAGCCACAGATGGCCAACAGAGGAGTCTCCTGTTGCCCAGGAATGGTCTGTCTTAGTGTCCCTGCTGTTACGTGTCAGTGGCTGGGAACAGCCCATGGGAAGCAGGGCCTCTGCACCAATGCTGCTGAGAATGACAGAGCACGGGAGGGAGGCCTTGGGAAATTTCCTGGAAATGCGGCTCAAATCTTCCTCCTGAGGGGTCTGGGCCTTTGGAAATCAAACGCTGTCAGACTGGGTTGCTGGACGATTCTGTTCACATTTACAATGGGACAAGGGAAACAAGGAGGCCCCCAAGTGAATCTCTGGGTTCCACACAAACTCCTCCTGCCCTTACTGTGTATCAGCAGCCCTGCCTCGTCCTGGGGATGAGGGTCCATCACTCCTGCCTGGAGAGGAGGGGAGTGCTCTTCTTCCCTGCTTGTCTCTAGGCCCATACAGTCCTGCGGGCAACTGTAATGTGTAGCTCAATGGGCTCTTGTTTGTCCCCTTGTCTGAGTGCCTCCCTGTGGAAAACCAGGACCTCCTATACTACAAAGCCCAGATTTGGGATATGAGAAGTCCAAGTTCCACAGTGGGTGAATATAAGGGATGGGACATGCAGCCACACTCTCTTCCATCCCTTGGTTTCTGGACCCAAGTTTCTTCCTACTGAGAATACAGCACCGTAGTGATGTCTCTGATTCAATAAATGCACCGTGCCCTGAAAGATGGCACCCATTCCTCAGTGTTTCCTCCAAGCTGGTTCTGAGTTGTGCCTGTTGAAGGCCTGTCCAATGTTCTGTGTGGCCGGCAGCCCCCGCAGGGTGCAGATGGTGATAGGATCAGTGGATCCCCTGGTCATGGTCCATGCTGCACCCACTTCCATTTCCCTGTGAGGTGGGTCCCCCAGGAAGAGGCTGTGCTGAGAGTAATTCCAAACCTGTGGATCAGGAATGTCAGTGGTGCTGGCTGAGAGTCTGAGAATAGTGGGGGAAAAAGCCTACCCATGGAGGAAGTTTCTGTCCCAGTGAGGATGAATCTCTCTGGCCCTTCCATGATGAGGCTTAATGTGGTCAATGTGTCATTTAGTGACACTTTGATCACCTAAAGAAATAGTGCCTAAGCAGGGCACATCAGGGCCTATCACGGGTGTCTAATCCTGACAAGTTGGATATTCAGAGGTGGCAGCAGCTAGTTTGGCCTTGGTAGGTGGGAGTCTCACCTTTTGGAGGCTACCTATGGGTCCAGCAGCACTGACTCCCACCGACCAAGGCCACTGAGTGACCTGGAAGGATGGGCACATGAAGGGAGCTATTGTGATTCCTGCATGCATGTTCCCACCCTGCAAGGCCTGAGATGGCCCCCAGTGAAGGCTGGCTAACTTCCATTTGTCTGCTTGGTTGTTCAGTGCCACCTCAGGGGCAGGTATTTTCTGGGCAGATGGGGTGTTAACTTGGGGTTTGGGCTCATTCCACATGGACCATTTCCATCTCATGATGGACACTGTTGGGCCTGTCCAATCTATAACTCTGTAGGTCACACAGAAGCCAATTCATACAACCACTTGGAATTACGTGGTTCTCAGTGTCCTGTGGTCAAGAATTCTATCTGATCAGGGCCAGCAACACTAAAAGTTGCTTCGAGAAGGGGGCATATATTTCTGCTGTGGATGACATGAACTTACTCCAGAATCCCAGGCCCTCCATTGTGACTTTCCCCACTGATGCTCAGTTCGCTCCATCCTGCATCTTTCCCCAGCCCTGCCACCTCCAGCACCAGGGGGTCTGAGGGATGGTGGCTGCCTGCACCACAGCCTGGATCTGCTGCAGAGTCCTTTCCTGTGTAGGCTCCACTTGAATCTGGCATCCTCCTATGTCACCCAAAATGTGGCCAAAATGATATACCTAGATGTGGAATGTGGTGTTGTCAGAACCCAAAGAGATTCACCAGGCAGTCCGCTTCTCTCTCTTTTTTTTTTTTTTCTCACTGAAGATGAAAGATGCAACGGGTTTTTTTTTCTGTTTTCTTTTGTTTTTACTTGGAAGAAATATCTCTGCATGCACCTAGCCACTGGACCCATAAAATTTCACTGCAGTTGCCACTCCTAAATTTCTGTAAGATTTATCCTCCTCTTTCTGGGGTGCATGTGTTTTACCAAGACCTCCAGCATACTTTCCACCTTCTTTCTCATCCATCCCAATCTATGATGTTGCCAATGAAATGAACAGATTTAATATTCTGTAGAATGTCCGGCATCTCTTAAGACTATGTTACAGATGACAGAAGAGTTATAACAGCTCTCAGGGAAAGTGTAAATAAATGTGGTATGAATGTGAATAACTCCATATCCACTTTCTAGCTGGAAAGGAATGCACTCAGCAAATCCTCGGCTGCACACCATTGGCCTGCAGCCTCATTAACTTCTGCTAGCAGTGATATCCAGCCAGCATGGCAGCTGCAATCAAGACCACTACTTGGTCAAGTCTGAAGTAATCCTGTTCATTCTTTAGGTCCTATCGGGCTTCTGCAAGGACAGAATACACGGAGATAATAGGCAACTCCAGCACTATCCCACCTCCTACAGCTCTCTAATGGTGGTGCTACCCCCCACAATACCTGCAATAACCTCCAAGACCTGCCCTGGGACGTAATATCGCTTCGGTTGGGATAGGGGCAGTTTCAGAGGTTTCCCTTTAGCCTTCAGCGCAATAAGAGCCATTAATCCACAGGTTAGAGACGCGGTGTGGGGGTCACTCCAGCTGCCAGTGCATCAATGCCATTATGCACTCAAGGAATAGGGAACTAAACAGGGCTGGGACTACGGGATTGTGAGCTATAATGTGTCCTGGCCTCTGGAAGCCCCTCTGTGATGGGACACGATGGTGCTGTAGGAATCTGGGCATCAATGTTAGTTCACACACAAAGTCAATACTCACCCAAATTCTGCCTATTTCCCTTTCCCGGTGTACAGTCTCCTGTGTAAATGGCTGTAGGTTCCTTTGCAGAAGAGTTCAGGGAATTGACCCAGCATATACTCCCAGGGTGTTCCAGGGTTCTTCCTCCTAGGGATATGGACTCCCCTCCTCTGTCATTGGGATCTGAATCTGAAAGTTAGGTGAGGTCTAGGCATTGAGAACAGATTATGACTTTGTCTTGGATCAAACACCCTCAGCCTCCTGCTCCTCAATTCTTGCTTTCTTTTCATAGATATCAAGCAGCGCCCTTGCTGGCTGTCCTTCTGTTCTGAACCTGGGACACTGCCCTCTGTTAACCTTCCCCACACTCCCTGCAGGTCAAGCACAACCTTGCCTGCTCTGTTGGGGTTGTCATGGTAACTGTGACCTCTGACTTTTGCAGATCACTGCCACCACTTGATCTAGCTGAAGTAGTTCTAGCTGGAAGAATAGAGAATTAAAAGAAATCTTTGTGAAGCCACCACTCAGGTTTGTCAATTTGTAACATTTTAATATTATTGGCTATATGTAGTATACATAGAAAATAATAGAAATATATGCAGATAGCCCTGATTTTCCACAGTTCTGTTATGTATGTGTTTCAGTCGATACTGTACTGAGTAAAGCAAGGACTGCCAGTGGGGAGTGGCGGATGTCTTGAATTTGGTGAATGCCTTTATACTGTTACAAAGTTTTTAAAATCCCTTTGTTTTACATGATTTTAGACTTCGTATAAATTGTTTTTTGTTGAATGTATCATTCTGTGGCTTGCTTTATCATTTAATATGGTTTATGAGGTGAACCCACACCCATAGAAACAGTTACTTTGTTTTCAGTTCTGGATAGTATTCATGGGAGGAATATCCCACAATTTATCTCTTCTGTCCGTGACCTTTAGCTTGTTTCTGTTACAGACACTGCCACAATGAACATCCTGGGTCATCTCTCTCTGGTCCCCTGTGTGAGTTCCCCAAGATATGGATGTAGGAATGGGATTACTGTGCTTTTACCATGTGGTGTTATAGGATGTCAAATTGTTCTCTGAAGAGGTTGTATCAGCTCCCCCCTTTAAAATCTTCTTTGACATTTTACAGGTCAAGTTCTCTTCCTCCCCAACTGGCTGCTCCTCCTCAGTCCCCCTTCATTGGCTCCTTTTGCTGTAGATGCTGGAGCACTCTGGGGTGTTACTACCTTCCTAATCACTCCGGTGTCCTCCACTCTCAGGATTTTAAATATCATCTAGACACAGATGGCTCCCAAATATATATCTCTACATATTTCTATAATCAAAAAAATAATGGTACCAAAACAGGTACTCTGATATACTGCAGATGGGCCTGCAAACTGGAAATGTTTTCAGGAAAGGCAGTATGGCTATTTCTGTCCAAATTAAAAATGCATACACCCAGTAGTCCCACTTCTAGAAATGTGTCCAAAACACACCTGCATTCCTGAAAAATGACTGTATTCAGAATTATATGTTGCAACCCTGTTTGTAAAAGCAAAAAGAAAAGAAGAAAGAAAATGACAGATAAAAGAAAAAATAATCCAAATGTCTGTCACTAGGGGACTGGTTAAAAAAGCATTGCAAGCTGGGCACAGTAGCATTCACCTGTGAATACACTCTACTCCACTCTGGGTAACATAAGGAGGCCTCCCTTCTTAAGAAAACCCAAACAAGCACTGCATAGCTACACGGCAGAGTCTACAAACATTTAACACAAAAGAAGAAAGACATAGAAAACTCTTGATATTCCCTCATGAAGAAATAAAGCAAGGTGTAGAATAACATATAGAGTCTGCTAAAATTTGTGTGAAAAGGGACAAAGGATATATATGTACACATTTATATTTGCTTGCATATGCATAAAATATATTTGGAAGAATAAGCAAGAAGTTAATATCCTTGGTTGCCTGTTGGGGATGAGACAGGGTAAGAGAGAGACATTTTACCTTTTGAACATTTTGAATTTTGAATTTTGAACTATATCAAGAAATAAAAGATAATTCCTAAGGAGACCAAACAAACCCCCAAAAAATTCAAAATGAAAAACTTTTTAAAAACTAATGGAATTTTTTAACCTTTATCGAAATAAAATTTAAAAATTTTCTAAATATTATGTTATTCCTTTAACAAGGAGGTTTACCGCCATTTTAATTCAGTACATTGTTTTCTTTTTAATTGCATGATCTTTCTTTACATCTATCTTTTTTCCATTACAAGGTAAAATAACAGCATGATTAATTAAATGCAGTTTGTTTGGTGAAGGAAATTTTGTTCAAATCTTGGTCTAAGTGGGAAAGGGTTTCTAGGGGATCCAGTGCAGCAGTTATGGGTTTCAGTATGCTCACGACGCCCTCCAGTGTTTGTGTGGGCTCATGGATGCCATATCTAGAAAACACTGGAATTCTCAAGCACACGTGACTGAAGCCATTTGCCAAATGTTCAAGGTCCTATTAATGGCCCATCTGAGTACTTGTCATACGCGGTCACCCTATCTTTGGATCAGAAGGTACACTCAGAGCTCCTAGTGTCACATCCCAGGCCCAACCTGCTGAGATTAGTCGAGGAAGGTCTGGAGGTCAGTGTCGTGAGGGGTGGGAAGACTGAGGGTGTGGGGGCCAGTTGTGGAGTGGCGGGAGCCCCAGGTGCTGTATGAAGCCGAGCCTCTGGATCACCCTGTGACCCCACATTTGGTCCCTTCCTGGGTGTCTTCCATTCCCAGGACTCCCAGGAAATAAAATGCTGCAAGAATGGGGTGGGGAGCTGTCCAGGGTGGGTCAGGTGTGGTCTCACTGATCCTACACCTCTGCCTCCCAGCCCACTCCCAGCCCTCTTCTGATATTAGAAACCAACACAGATTGCCTTAGGGTGGTGGTTCTCAAAGTGTGGTCCTGGGGGAAGCAGCATTGGCATCACCTGGGAACTTAGATATGCAATCTTCAGGGCCTGGCCTGGACCTACTGTATCAGAAACTCTGCATTTAACAAGCCCCCAGCAGAATTCTGCTTTTCAAATCAGATCTCTCTCTCTCTCTCTCTCTCTCTCTCTCTGTTTCAAGTCTCAATATTGAGTAGCTGTGACTTCTGGATAGTCAGGTGTCAGACACCCTTTCTTGCCAGGAGGCACCAGGCTCCTCAATCAGCTTAGTCTCATTCTTGGCCTGGCCCAGGGAAAGATGTTCACTTCCTGGATTCTGAGCAAAGCTCTCCTATCCTGGGTGCCTGTGGGGCTCCCACTTACACCACAAAACAAAGCTCAAATAATATTTTTTTCTTTTATGAGATTTTTGGTATTCCTTCATTAGTCAGAGCTGAAGATCTACATATATGTCTACCAAGCAAGTGTGCATGTCCCACTAGCCAGTTTGTTAGTCTTGCCAATGCACCACAACGTAGCAGCCTCTCAGTCTCTCCTTGTGAGGTGTTACCTGGAGTTCTTTGTCTCACCACCAAGAGAATTAAGGAGCATGGATACAAAGGGTGAGGTTGGAGCAAAAGTTTAATAAGCAAAAGAAGAAAGCTCTCCCCCACGGAGAGGGGGCTTGGAAGATGGTTGCCATTTTTACAGCTGAATGCAAAGCCTTTTATAAGAAACTGATGAGGGCTGGGTGTCTCATTTGCATAAGGCACGAATTTCCGGTAGCTCCACCCCATCCTCCTAGTGCCCATGCAGGCCCTTAGCTTAAGTTACTCCATATTGCTTTGTTTCCCTGACTGCCCACGTATCGGGGGACAGAATTTTCCATTGCGGGCATGTCTGGGCAAGTCTCCTGTGCAGCCTTTCTTATTTGTGCAGCTGTGGGCATGTCTTAGGCAAGCCCCCCTGTGCAAGTTCCCTTCTCTGTGCCTGCAGGCCGTTCTTTTGTTTGAAATAATTCAACTGAGGACCCACCATAACTGCCCGCCTGACCAGTTTCTTCCTTTTTCCTCTCTCAATTTGTGTTATGATTTCCTTACTGATCTCTGCCTGAGCAAGACTGGGCACGCCTTGAGGGCAAGGAGGGTTTATTTCCTCTTATCTCAGTCCCAGCTCCTCTTAAAACAATGCCCTGCACACAGTAGGTATTTGATAAATGTTTACCAAATGAAGGGATTGCCTGGAATGGCTTGGCAGACAGGAAAGCAGAATGAAAACCCACAGGCCAAAAGTGGCTGGGAAAAGATTTTCCAAATCCTAGTGATGGGCACAGGGCCCCCTAAAGTTCACTTTTGGAACCTTCCCATCTGTCTTGTTCTCCTCTCATCAGGGACATCCATGCCCCTCAAAGCCCCCCTAGTCACACACTACCTTTCAGGACCACCTTCCAGATCAGCCAGGTGCAAATCCCACAGACTTCCTGCCTGTGGCTCCAAATGCTCAGCTGAAATTCTGAGGCTAATTTCAGTGGAGTTAGAGGCTTATCCCTTAGGAGTGGCAATGGCTGGCTTTAAGATTCGAGAAGTAGTGTTTACATCTCAAAAGAGAAGACCGCTCCACCAGAAATGCAGAATTTTGGTATGTGCGGGTCCGGGGTCTTCAGGAGATAAAGAATGATAGCTCCAGGAGCGCTGGGACCCCCGTGCAGCCACCAGTCACCACAGCCTAGGCAGGGGTTGGGCTCTCACCTCGGCCCCTCCCCTGCACGCCCTGGATGTGGATGGTCCCCGAGTGTGAACTCGCCTGGGCTCTGACCCTGGGTGCCCTTCCCGCCGTTGTGGAGCCTCTGCGGGTGTGATGCATGCACAGGGGGCTTCACAGGAGACCCGGGGCCCTTTAGAGTCTGAAGGCCAACATTCTTGGAGAATCCATGTCAGGCATTCAGGCTCTCAGGGACTCAGATGCCCAAACTATGAAAATGAGAGAACCTATCCCACTCTCTCAGGTGTGGTGAGATTCATATTATATGACAATCGGTCGTCTACACATTGATCACACTCTCAGTATTGCCTTTATCAGTCGGCCAATGCCTAAAACCCAAAGACGGGTCAGGCATGGTGGAGGACGAGTTCCTTTCTTACCTTCTGAAGGTGCCATCAACAGGAATTTCTACCCTGTGGAGTCTAGAGGAGACTTTCCTTGAAGCTGAGTTGGGAATGGACATTTGGACTTTTTTTTTTTTTTTTTTTTGAGACAGAGTTTTGCTCTTATCACCCAGGCTGGAGTGTAGTGGCACGATTTTGGCTCACTGCAAGCTCTGCGTCTCGAGTTCCAGCGATTCTCCTGCCTCAGTCTCCTGAGTAGCTGGAATTACAGACACCCACCACCACATCCAGCTAATTTTTTGTATTTTTAGTAGAGACAGGGTTTCGCTATGTTGGCCAGGCTGGTCTCGAACTCCTCACCTCGTGATCTGCCCGCCTCGGCCTCCCAAAGTGCAGGGATTACAGGCATGAGCCAATGCGCCTGGCCAGACATTTGGACTTCTTTAAAATTTTATTTCAAATTTTTAAAACTTTCTAATAGGTATTTTATCTTCTTAGGAAGTAAAATCTCAAGTACAGAAAATATAAAAAGGTATAAAGAAGCAGAAGGATGGAAACTGCCAGTGTCTCCACTGGGAGGATCGGGATGAAACGTTGCCTGGCAGAGCCTCAGACTTCAGAGGGAAGGGGCCTGGAGCTGTGCTTTGCAGCTGCCCCTGAGTTTCCACTCCTGGTTTTTGTGCATGCGGGTGACTGTGCAGGATGACTTAGTGTCGTCATGCTTATGAGTTATTTTGAATCTTGCTTTTCAAAACTTTATTATCAATACACAACTTTCTATCATATTACAAAATCTTCTTACACACAGCTTTCACCAGCTGTAGGCTGTTTCCAAACAGAGGACCTAGCCACTCTTCTTTTGCATGTTTTTTTCATTATTGTAATTAATATCCTTATACCTAAAGATCTTTCTATATATTGGATTTTGTTTTAAAATCACAGATTTCTCAATAAAAGTTACTGGGTCAAAAGGCATGAAATTTTTTTTTTTTTTTGAGACGGAATCTCGCTTTGTCACACAGGATGGAGTGCAGTGGCGAGATCTCAGCTCACTGCAACCTCCACCTCCTGGGTTCAAGAGATTCTCCTGCCTCAACCTCCTAAGTAGCTGGGATTACAGGCACACGTCACCACACCTGGCTACTTTTTGTATTTTTAGTAGAGACAGAGTTTCACCATATTGGCCATGCTGGTCTCGAACTCCTGACCTCATGATCCACCCGCCTCGGCCTCCCAAAGTGCTGGGATTACAGGCGTGAGCCATCATGCCTGGCCGCATGAACATTTTTAAGCCTTCTCATACATATTATCAAATTACTTCTCAAAAGCAGTGTACCGGCTGGGCGCAGAGGCTCACGCCTGTAATCCCAGCACTTTGGGAGGCCCAGGCGGGCAGATCACGAGGTCAGGAGATCCAGACCATTCTGGCTAACACAGTGAAACCCCATCTCTACTAAAAATACAAAAAATTAGCCAAGCGTGGTGGCGGACGCCTGTAATCCCAGCTACTCTGGAGGCTGAGGCAGGAGAATGGTGTGAACCCAGGAGGCAGAGCTTGCAGTGAGCCGAGATCATGCCACTGCACTCCAGCCTGGGTGACAGAGAGAGACTCTGTCTCAAAAAAAAAAAAAAAAAAAAAAAAAAAGCAGTGTACCAATTATATTCACCCATTTACTCAACCCATATTTATTGAGCCCCTTCTCTGTCCTTGGATTTCTAGATGCTGGAAATCCAAGTGGTGACTAGACAAGGTCCCTGCCTCGAAGAACATGACAACCAATGAAACAAATGAAAACAATTCTAATACCGGTGATAATTGTTATGGAGAAAATATGCTTGAGCTAGAAGGTTGATGGTGGTGAGGATGGTAGGAGATATAGTCTGTTGATCAAGATGTTCCTGGGAATTTGAACACTGGACGTCTGAGCAGAGACCTGAATGGTGTGAGGGGCCTTTGGATCCCTTTGGATCCCTGGGGAGCAGGTGCACTTGGGGAGTTCCAGTGGGAGGTGCCTGAGACAGGATTGAGCAGTGTTAGTGGAGATGAATGAGCTGGGCCGAGAGGGGTGGGATGAGGCCAGAGTGGCCAGAAGGATCCTGTGATGAGGGATGAGGGGCTGTAAAACATAGTGAGAGACTGGGGTTTCACTGTGCTAAGAAGGGAAGAGGCTGGCATGTCTGTGGGACGCGGAGGCGAGGATGAGCTCTAATTCCCATTTGAAATGCTCACTCTGACTATTGTGTGGGTGATGGACAGCGGGTGTGAGAGTCAGCAGGCAGCCCAGCTGGAAGGCCTTCTGGTTTACTATCTTGGAGAGGATGGCCCTGGGGAGGAGGCAGTAGAGGAGTGAGAAGTGATTGGATTTGGGGTTAATACATTTTTAAGATGGTGTTAGCAATAACTCCTTGGAGAACCACACATTTATTTGCTTACTTTAATTCTACAGCAACATTCGAGGTGGCTTACTGCAACAAACCCAGTGTAATAAATACATACGAATTACTTTAAAATCAACGCTAAGGAAAATATACATTTTAAAAGATTAAGGCTGGGGTAAAGCTGGAACATTACTAGGCAGGAAGGAACATCTGAAACATTTGCTGAAATGGAGTTGACCCTTTACCTAGCCATAGATTTGTTGCCTCACGATTTCATTGCATCTGAGCACCAGGGAGGGTGGTGGCAGTTCAGGTCACCAGTCCCTTGTTTCCTGATTCAGGAACAGCGTCCTGTTCTACACTTACAGTCAAAGCAAATTACATCATTATAAGATGTTTAATGATGAAGTCAAAGTCCACAGAGTCAGCAAGCAAGTGTAAAAACCTCAGGAGTCTAAGGACAGTCTACATTTCTCCTCAGAAATGGCCTCCCTATGTACTGTTGAAGGGAGAGGGTCCTTTCAAGGGGCTCCAAGACGCAGAAGCAACTGGGCTGCAGCTCGAAATAAAGATGTCCTTTCTACCTGCAGGTTCCACGAAGCCTCACAGGCAACTTTGGTGATCTCACCTGAGCTAGGAATTCGGTTTTTTGATGTGGGTTCTCTTTGAGCCATTGTGTGAGCTTTAAAATGTGATGTGGAGATTTTGCTATACTGGTGTTTCCTTGCCGGAATTTGACATCCATGGTGGCTCTGGCTTCCCTGTCTGGTCCCAGGAGGAAATGGAGTGTCCTGCACTTTTTTTCAGCTTCGCTTTGTGTAGGAAGGATCAGGAGACCTGGAGTCAGGGCTTCCTCCAATCTCACTCTCCTCCATAAAACAGTGTCTCCTAAGCTTTCTGGGGGTGAGGGCCTTGACACCGTGCTGTTCTGATGAATATAACTGTCCCAGCTCCTGAAATAAAAGCACAGGTGCACAAAATACCGACTGTTGCAAGCAATGCCTAGGTGGGGATGTTTCCTAGGCGCCAGGTTTAGCACTTTGACTTTGTATGTACACACACAGGGGCCAGGCATTGTGGTTTATGCCTGTAATCTCAGCACTTTGGGAGGCTGAGGCATGAGAATTGTTTGAAGCCAGAAGTTCAAGACCAGCATGGGTAACAAAGCAAGACCCAGTCTCTACAAAAAAAAAAAAAAAAAAAAAAAAAAGGGTATATATATACACAAACACACACACACACACACACACACACACACACACACTGGGTGTGGTGGCTCCAGTCTGTAGTCCCAGCTACTCGAGAAGCTGAGGTGGGAGGATTGCCTGAGTCCAGGAGTTGGAGCCTGCAGTAAGCTGTGATCAGGACACTGCAGACTGTCAGAGTGAGACCCTGTCTCAAAAACAAACAAACAAAACAAAAATACATACACACACACACAGCCAGAGCCAGCGCTGAGGGAGAGGCTGGACTCAGGGGTGGGGTCACAGGCGTTTCTCAGGTCCTTCTCGTGGTCTTTGTCTCTTTTTCCTGGAGGTGGGGGACTCTGTACTTCATGAGGAGAAGTTGTCTGAAGAAGGTGGGAGATACTCAGGAGCAGGGTCCAGAGAGGGAAAAGGATGAGGAAGTGGAGACAAAGCAGAGGGGGCAGGACAAGAGGAGAGCACGCAAGGAATGGGGATGGGGAGGACCTTCCAGCTGTCAGAAAGGTCACCCGCAGAATTTGGCTCTTGGTTTTTCTGCTTTATCAGGATGGATTTGGGAAACCAGCCGGAGTGGGAGATAAGGAGTCTACTTTGCAAAGGACACGTGTGAGCCTCCTCCTAGTTTGAACTCATGAGTAGCAGCTAACAGCCAGGACCCTTGTGTCGGGCACGTGAGGCCCCTTTGCAACCAGGGCGTTTTCTGCACCCCACCAGCCACCCCTCCTGGGACCACGCTGGTTCCCTCCAACCCTAACAGGGAGAGAAGGAAGGAGAGGTCTGGAGGGTTTGGGTCCTCCCTTGTGCTCCTTCTTCCTCTGCCATTTATTCCCTGAGTGTCCTCGCCTTTCCTCCGCTACCTGGACCCCACTACAGTAATGCACACTGGCCTGGACTCCCTTTGTAACCACCAAGTGGGTTCATCTTGCCGGCTACCTAGACGAAGCCGATTTATCAAGACAGGAGAATTGCAACAGAGAAAGAGTAATTCATGCAGAGCCAGCTGTGCGGGAGACCAGAGTTTTATTACTCAAATCAGTCTCCCCAAAAACTCTCATCAGTTTTTAAGGATAATTTGGTGGATAGGGGGGCCAGTGAATCGGGAGTGCTGACTGGTTGGCTCCGGTATGAAATCATAGTGAGTGGAGGCCATTCTCTTAGGCTGAGTCAGTTCCTGAACGTGGGGGCCACAGGACTGGTTGGCAGGTCCAGATGGGGCCCTCCAGCTGTTAAAAATACAAAAACCTGAAAAGACATCTCAAAAGGCCACTCTGAGGTTCACAATAGTGATGTTACCTTCAAGAGTAACTGGAGAAGTTGCAAATCTTATGACCTCTGGAATAATGGCTGGTAATATTCAGAATTCCAGCCCCTCTCATCCTAACTTAATGGCCGGTGGCCTTTCTTCGTTTTACAAGAACAGTTTCCCTTTAAACTATAAACTAAATTCCTTCCCAAGGCTAGTTCAGCCTACGCCTAGAAATGAAGAAGGGCAGTTTAGCGGTTGGAAGCAAGATGGGGTCAGTTAGGTTTGATGTCTTTCACTGTCATCATTTCCTTAGTTATAATTTTGCAAAGGCGGTTTCACCTTGGCTTCAGCCCCACCCATGCAGTAACACTGTGCCCTGTCCTTCCAACCACTGCCACTAGGTGGAAGCAGAGCGTGCATCGCCCAGATGGGCTAGATTCTCACAGGCTCACTGCTAGAACGAATATTCTTGAGACTTTAGATCTGAAAGTCAGCCTGATTTCTGAAAGCCTTGGACCGTTTCCAAAATCAAATCAATACTCCAGGAACAAGATCTGCCTCGACTTTGCCTCTACCCAAGGACGCTATGGCAACGCAGTTTTCAAACGTGCTTTGAGAATAAATGGAACAGGGTCCCCTGTGTCCCCACTCATTTGCGTTTTCCTTTTTATTACAGCCAACCGCTTTTGTAAATATTGTTACACATCTCTCTATTCCACTGAAAACATCTCTTTCAAATGCACTTTAAGAAAGATTCAATGCCATGAAAATATGAAGGATCCTCTTGAAAGAGAGTTTCTGGTGGTGGGTTTTAATGAACATTTTCTTTTTTAAAACTCTGTAACTATTTCGTTGTGGGGCTTAGCTTCATATTTTCAAACTGAAATATTCTCTTCCTTAACCTCCACATAAATCCAAGTTTATAATTTTTATTATTTTAAAATTTTATTTATTTTTCTGTTTTGGGGACAGGGTCTCCTCCTGTCACTCAGGCTGGAGTGCAATGGCACAATCATAGCTCACTGCAGCCTGGAACTCCTGGGCTTAAGCAATCTTCCTGCCTTCGATTCCCAAAGAGCTGGGATTATAGTCATGAACCACTGCAATCCACCCAAATCCAAGTTTACACTAAAAGATAAAATTCCAACATTGTAGGGGATTGGTCAGGTGGTGGGAATAATTATAAAGATAAAGTTATAGGAAATAGACACAAACCTTCTTGGAAGGTGGAAAGTTTTGCAAAAGCCTCAGGATAGGGTTATAGCTGAAAGCAGCCTAATCCCCTTACCTTGAGTTAATAGCTTCGAGTAAGTACAAAGACATGTAAGAGAGTTTATCTAAAGAGCATGTTTACCTTTGATCATTTGTAGGACTGCTCTCTCCGGGGGACTGCGACCAGATTAATTACCCACAGGTGTGTTGACTCAAAGCCTTTGTCATTAAATCTGTGCTGAATAAAGGCCCACAGGGCCAGATAGTCAGGGCACGCAGCTGCCACAACCCTTTCTGTGAGTGGCCTGGCCCTCTGGTGCACTCTTTCACTGAATATCGGTGTCTGAGTACATTATTCATCCATCGTGCAGCCTGGGTCTGCCGGTCAGACCCTGGCACAACATTTAAGAGGAAATGAAAGTCACAAAGTTATCCCAGTCTCTGGAGTCACTGTCAAAACTTTGGTGAGGAATCTTCCAGGTTTTCCCCTACTTCAAATATATATTAATATTATGTAAGTGATATTAGTGGCATTTTCGCCCAGGCTGGAATGCAGTGGCATGATCTCGGCTCACTCTAACCTCTACCTCCCAGATTCAAGCGATTCTCCTGCCTCAGCCTCCCAAACAGCTGGAACTACAGGCACCCACCACCACGCCCGGCTAATTTTTGCATTTTCAGTAGAGACAGGGTTTCACCATGTTGGCCAGGCTGATCTTGAACTTCTGACCTCAGGTTATCTGCCTGCCATAGCCTCCCAAAGTTCTGGGATTACAGGCATGAGCCACTGTGCCCAGCCTCCTTAACCTTTTAAAAAAGGTTAAAAGTATGCTGGGCACATCTTTTCATAGCAATACTTAAAATTGCTCTTACTCTTTTTAATGACAACATAGAATTTTATCGTGTAGCTGTTCTTTGGGAGACGATTAAAATCTTCTTTATCTTCACTGTGGTAGTGGAGATGTGGGTGTGTACAACAGCTAAAATTCAACAAGTTGAACATTTTAAATAGATGCAGTTTATTGCATGCAAAGTATGTCCCAATAAGATGATTTAAAAATATTATCCTCTTTGAGACTTGTACTTTGCTTATGTGAAACAAAACAAAACAAAAACCCTGTTCTTGTGCCCAGGAGACACACCCTGACACATCTGGAGGTAGAGGGTCATGCTGTCTGCAACTTACCCTCACAGGCTCTGAAATAACAATAATAGCAGCATATTTACAGATTTAGAGAGAGAGAAATTTGTGGTAAAAATGTTCACAAGTAAAACTAGATAAAGGGCAAAAATAAAAGAAATAATGAAACTACGTCTTTTAAATTTTCTCTCTCCGGCCGGGTGCGGTGGCTCACGCCTGTAATCCCAGCACTTTGAGAGGCCGAGGCAGGCAGATCACGAGGTCAGGAGATCGAGACCATCCTGGCTAACACAGTGAAACCCCGTCTCTACTAAAAATACAAAAAATTAGTCGGGCGTGGTGGCAGGAGCCTGTAGTCCCAGCTACTCCAGAGGCTGAGGCAGCAGAATGCCCTGAACCCGGGAGGCGGAGCTTGCAGTGAGCCAAGATCGCGCCACTGCACTCCAGCCTGGGCGACAGAGCAAGACTCCGTCTCAAAAAAAAAAAAAAAAAAAAAACTCTCCTTTACTTTTTCTCTCCCCTTTTCTTCCTATCTCTTCCCTCATTTCTTCAACACGTCCCCCCATCCTTCCCTCTTTTCTCCATTCTCTGCATTTGATCCCCGGTATATTCCAGCCTCCAGGCCAACAAACTTCTCCGCGTCCGCTGGGAGCAGGTCAGGGAAGGGACGCGAGGCGGCGCTGTCACCGCATTCTGAGCGCCGCAGCTCCCTGGGCCCCTTGTATCATTTCAGTGAAGGTCACTCCAGTCTTTCATGGAGGCCAAACTAAGGGTGTAAATTAGGATCCTCACTGAAGTGGCGGGACCCTAAGAGGCTTTTTCCTGGCCCCTTAGTTGTGGGTTTTCCTGCGGGCGGCGCAGCCGGTTTCCATCAGAACCGCCCAGAGGCGGACGCTGCCTTCCTGGGGTGACGGAGCAGCAGGAAGCGTTTTCGGATCCTGGAATACGTGGGCGGCCCGTGGGAGGGGCTGAGGCGCAGTTTCCTACTCACCCGGATCCGAATCCTCCGCGGTGCTGTTTCAAGAGAGCCGGATTCCAGATCGCGCTCCAGCCCGGACTCGGAATTCCTGCCCTGCGGGTCTGCATTTTCATAACGGGCAGGTGTGAGTGCCCTGCAGCTGGAGACCAGAAGCCTGAAGGCAGCTCGGCCCTCCCCAGCCCACAGCGCCGTTATTCCGTTTCTATATCAGTAAACACATTTCATTTTCCGTAGACCAGGGCGGGGTGACGGGTGATCCCAGTCCTCGCAGTGAATTCCGGGCAGCAAAATTCAAAACACATGCGGCCAAGGCCGGGCACGGTGGTTCACGCCTGTAATCCCAGCACTTTGGGAGGTCGAGGCGGGCGATCACCTGAGGTCGGGAGCTCGAGACCAACCTGACCAACATGGGGAAATCCCGTCTCTACTAAAAATATAAAATTAGACGGGCTTGGTGGTGAATGCCTGTAATCCCAGCTAGTCGGGAGGCTGAGGCAGGAGAATCGCTTAAACCTTGGAGGCGGAGGTTGCGGTGAGCCGAGATCGCGCCATTGCACTTCAGCCTGGGCAACAAGAGGGAAAACTCCGTCGCAAAAACTTTCGGGGGCGGAGCGGAGCCCCGCCCTGGGTTATGTAAGCGACCGCGCTGGGCCGTTTCTCTTTCTTTTCCGGACCCTGCAGTGGCGCCTAAAGTCTGAGAGAGGGAAGTCGCCTCTGTGCTCGTGAGTGCATGGGGTATAAGGCAAGTGCTGAGGGAGAAAACGTAGTTGATGGGGTAGAGCAGACGGGGTTGGAGGTGGGGTGGAGGGGGAGGGCTTTGGACAGAAGACCTGGGAGGCTTGGTGGGGGAGGGGCGCCCAGGCCTGGGCACTAAGAAACAAGTCCCCTGGAGCTCAAGACCATCTCGGCCTCCCCTAGCCCAAGAGAGGACTGGCTTCATGACTCCCTGAAACCATTTCTAAATGCCTTAGAACAAACCTTGCATATTCATTATTGTTATTGAACTATTAAAAGTCTTTTTTGGGGGCGAGCTGAATCAGATCCTTTGCTGGAGCTGGCACACGGAGGAAGTCCTGGAGGGAGGGTAGACACCGTGGAGGTAAGGGCTTGGGACCTGTGTCAGGAGAGCTAGGTCCATCTCCCTCCCAGTCTCTCACTAGGCTTATGATCTTTAGCAGTGAAAATAATCTCTCTAAGGTGGGGAAAGGACCCCGGTCCCTGCTGTGCTCAATAAATTATGAGGATCAAAATAAATTATCAGTGAATGTGAATGGGAAAACTAAGAAATTGTTAAAATTCTCGAATACATTACATTTTCATCCACAGAAAAGTGTAGGCTAGGGATCATGGGGGAATAGTTAGTAATGACAGGGATAGTTGAACTTAAAAAAAAAGTTTGTGAGGCTGACAAAGAAGAAACGGACACATTTCCTGATCTTGGAGGGTTCATAGGGTAGAAGATGGTAGATGACAGCTGGGTGTGGTGGCACTCGCCTGTAGTCCCAGCTACTCAAGAGGCTGTGGTGGGAGGATTGCTTGAGCCCAGGCATTCAAGGCTGCAGTGAGCTATAATCATGCCACTGCATTCCAACTGAGTGACACAGCAAGACTCCTCTCTTAAAAAAAAAAAAAAAATTCATGGCAGGGCACAATGAGTACTATCAGGAAGGTTCAAACCACGGGCTAAATCAGTAGTTCTAAAACTTGACTACACATCGGAATCACCTAGGGAACTTTAAAAGATACTAAGATTTAGGTCCAACCTGGGTTTACTGATTTAACAACCTAGGTTGTGGCTGTGGCCTGGGAACATGGATATTAAAAACTCTCCAGGTGGTTCTACGCAGTGGCTAGGTTTGATGACCTCTGCCTAGATGTCCCAACGACTAAGAGATGTGCGTTGGGGACAAGGCAATTCTCTTAGTAGAAAGAGGCTTTCGGGACAGCATTCTTATTATTGAGAATTGAGAATTCATATGCCACACAATTTATCCTTTTAAAGTGTGCAGCTCAGTGGCTTCTAGCGTAATCACAAGGTTGTGCCACCGTCACCACTGTCTACCCTGGAAGATTTTTTTTCCTTTTTTTCTTTTTTCTTTTCTTTTTATTTTAAAGGCTAGTCAAGTGAAACAGTGGGAGTGAAGAAGAAACAAAGACATCTATAACTGGTTGTGATCAATTAGTTGTAAACACTGCACTCAGACCAGCCTGGGAAGATTTTAAGGATATGGTGTGGTCTGATGGGTTCCAAGGCAGAGGTTACAATAGCCTGGAAGAGGGAGACTGCTTAGGCAGTGGCATCCTGGTGGGATAGGGTGAGGAGATCCCCGAGCCCACGTTTACTGCAACCCTGGGGAGATGTCACCAGAGAAATGGGGGTGGTGCCAGACAGCAGATTGTGGCAGCTGAGGTTTTCCACGGTAGAGTAGAAGCATCCATCATGTGTGACATTCAGCAGATGGGGCGCTGTGGGTGGCTTGGAGCACTCTGGTTGTAACTGAGGCAGGCACCGTGTTTAGGAAGGCTGTGCAGTAATCTAGGCTGAAGGGAGGGGAAAGCCTAGACTAAGATTGTGGCTGTGGGATTGAAATAGCGTTGAAGGAGCTGACTTTGACTCCCGGAGATGATGGGGAAAGAGGAAATCAGAAGGGACCAAGGATGGTGATGTTCTTAAGAGAAACTGAGGAGGAAGAGAGGATGATATGGTGGCAGACGTATAGAGAGTCTTTGTAGATCTCTCACATTGGAGGGGACTATGGTCGGAGGTACAGATGTCCTAAGGCAGGCTGGAAAAGGGAGTCTGGAGAGAGCTTGGTGTTGTAGTGAACCACAGGGAGCCGCCTCCTTGGCCCTGTGATCACCCAGGGACTGAATAGAGAGGCGGCCCTGGGAGACTTCAGACACTTAGAGGATATAAGGGGGTGAAAGGGGGGCCTGGCTTTGAGTCAAAGGGAGGAGAAGGAGATTATAAAGCTGAAACGTCTAAGAGAGTTTGTGGTCTGAGCGGTTCTACTGCGGCAGGTGCTTCTGAGAGGCAGAGGTGGCTGAGATCTGGAAACAGGTCTGCAAATCTGGTCACTGGTCTCATTGCCAGTAACGCTGTGCGCGGTTGAGGGAGTGTGTTGGGAGAATAGCCACGCGTTGTCTGTCCTGGAAGGAACAAGCCAGTGAGAGCCGGTTTAATGGGGCGGCCGGCGAAAGGGGCTTGGTGAGGCCCGCGCTCCTCGGGGTGGGGGCGCGGGGATGGGTGGTCGCGATGCCGGGAGGGCAGGCAGGGCCCTGGCCGTGCTTATGAAGTTGGAGCTGTACTCTCAGCTACTCGAAGCTGGTCCCTGCTTTAGGCTGCGCTCCCGCGTGCTCCCCATTTTCTGGGCCCCAGGTCCCGCCTTCTAAATCTCCCCAGGTCTCCAGCCCACTGGAATTTTCTCTTCCAAGCGTGGCCCCGCCCTCTCCGCTCGTGATTGGCCCTAAGTTCCGGGCCCCAGTTTCATTGGATGAGCGGTCGGGGGACCGGGCCAGGTGACTAAGTTTCCGCGGCGCCTTCTCCCCGGCCACTGCTTGAGCCGCTGAGAGGGTGGCGACGTCGGGGCCATGGGGCTGGGCCCGGTCTTCCTGCTTCTGGCTGGCATCTTCCCTTTTGCACCTCCGGGAGCTGCTGCTGGTGAGTGGCGTTCCTGGCGGTCCTCGGCGGAGCGGGAGCAGTGGGACGTTTCCGGGGGTCGGGTGGGTAGCGGCGAGCGCTGTGCGGTCAGGGCGGGGCTCCTGTGCCCTGTCGGTGGCGCAGGGAGCTGGACGCGGCCCGTTACCGCCACACTTCAGCCCTGCTTCCCCGTCACTTTTCAGTCCTCCTCGGGATCGCGCATCACCTGCACTTTCTGGTCTCCTCCTGCTCTTTCTCTCCTCGCGTCTCCTCCGCTTCCTCTCACTTTTCGGACAAACCAGTCCTTCTGAGGCCCATGGGTTCCCGGGCTGCCTCCGGGGCTGCTCCTGTGAATGGCATTCGAGTGCCCTTCCAGCGCGGCCACTGAAGCAGCCACAACCCCCGGTGCTCGGGGCGGCTCTCAGGTCCCTGAAGTCCTGTCCTCTCCCGGAGCCGACGTGTTCTCAGCTCCTGGGCCGCAGCTCCTGGAGTAGGGGCCCTCCTTTCTCGGGACCCGGAGCTGGTGCTTCCTGCTGCTGTGGGGACTGTGGGGGGTCCTGACTCTCAAGCTGAGGGGTTGGAGTCTGCAGGCTCCGGGCAGAGGATTCTTCCTGCGACTTCTCTCATCCCCAGCTCATTCTCCCCTCGCCTCTGGCTCCGAGGGTCCTCTCCTCTCTCTCATCCCACCCCTACTAATGACCAGTGATCTAAGGACACCAGATTCCCTCTCACCTCCTCCCTGCCCATCTCAGGGCCCGCTGAGTCCTTTTGCCCTCCCAGCTCCCTGCTACCCCTTCCTGTGTGCTGTTCTCTGATCCATTTCTAGGGTGTCCTCTGCCCTCATCCCCTGTCCCCGCCACCGAAGGTCCCTCCTGCACCCCTTATGGGCCTTTCCTACAAGCAGCCTTCACCCAGTGCTGCCCCTATGCCTCCCCGTTCCCAAATGTCCCTGACTCTAACTTTCTGGTGCTGCCTTTTATCCGGGGGGGTCTTCCCTCCATCCCACTCCCCTCCAGACCCCCAAGGGGAACCCTGATGCTAATGGCAGTTGGGCCTTAGGCAGGGCGCAGGGCAGCGCAGATGCCCCCTCCCCTCCAGTGCAGATGCCTGCTCTGGACCCTGCCTCATTGTGGCCCCTTCCCCACTCCTTCATCCTCAGCCTCACCCTCTTGAGGACCCCACCCTCCAGCCCACAGGTGCTGGACCATCCCTCCCTGGTCCCTCCGCCCCTCTCCACCTTGGGACCTTGTGCTGCTCCTATCTCTTGCCCAGCTGCCTTGGGCCCTCAGCACGTTCTCATCTTTCAGTGGGAAAGTGGGAGTGCTGGAGCATATGACAGTGCTGAGCATCTTTCCCAAGCCCCACCCTCCCCCAGAGCACCCTCCCCTCCTGTCCTCACCCTACCCCAAGTTCTCCCACAGTCACTCCTGCCCCATGCTCATGCCGCCCTCCAGTTCTTGCTCTGCCCATCTCCCCTCCCCAACCCAGACCTAAAACAGGCTGTTGGGCCAACTGTTCCTTGACCTTCCTTCTTTTCTTTTGGTTCCTTGACCCCAGTGGGCTCTCACTCCCCACACCGCATATCTAAAATCTGTTTTGCCTGCTCTTGGGGTGCCACTGCTCCCCCTCCAGCATTACTCCTTTTGGCAGGTCCTTCCTCAGGCTGAGAATCTCCCCCTCTACCTTGGTTTTCTCTCTCTGGCCAGCACCCCCACCCCTTGCTTTGTTTTTAATTTTTAACTTTTGTTTGGGTACGTAGTAGATATATATGTATATATTTATGGGGTACATGGGATATTTTCACACAGGCCTACAATATGTAATAATCACATCAGGGTAAATGGGTTATATCACAACAAGCATTTATCCTTTCTTTGTGCTACAAACAATCCCATTATGCTCTTTCAGTTATTTTTAAATGTACAATAAATTATTGTTGACTGTACTCACCCTGCTGTGCTATCTACTAGATCTTATTCATTCTAATTATATTTTTGTACCCATTATTAACCATCCCTGCTCCCCCACTCCCCACTACCCTTCTCAGCCTCTGGTAATCATCATTCTATTGTCTCTCCCCATGAGGTCCATTGTTTTAAATTTTGGCTGCCACAAATAAGTGAGAACATGCAAAGTTTGTCTGTCTGGGCCTGGGGCTTATTTCACTTCACAGGATGACCTCCAGTTCTTTGCAAATGACACGATGGCTGAATAGTTCTCCACATACACATGTACACCACATTTTCTTTATCCATGCGTCTGTTGATGGACACTTAGATTGCTTGCAGATCTTGGCTACTTTGAATAGTGCTGCAATAAACATGGAAAAGTAGATAGCTCTTTAATATACCGATTTCCTTTCTTTGGAGTATATGCCTAACAGTGGGAGTGCTGGAGCATATGACAGCTCTATTGTATTTTTAGTTTTTGGAAGAACCTCCACATTGTTTCCCATAGTGGTTGTACTAGTTTACGTTCCCACCAACAGTGTACATCCTCACCAGCATTCCTTATTTCTACATCCTCGCCAGCATTCCTTATTGCCTGTCTTCTGGATAAAAGCCAGTTTATCTGGGGTGGGATGTTATCTCGTAGGAGTTTTGATTTGCCTTCATCTGTTGACGAATGATGTTGAGCACCTTTTCATATACCTGTTTGCCATTTATATGTCTTCTTTTGAGAAATGACTATTCAGATCTTTTCTCATTTTTAAATTGGATTATTATATTTTTTTTCCTATAGTTGTTCGAGCTCCTTATATGTTTCAGTTACTGATCCTTTGTCAGATGAATAGTTTGAAAATATTTTCTCCCATTCTTGGATGGTCTCTTCATTTTGTTTATTGTTTCCTTTGCTGTGCAGAAGCCTTTTTACTTGATATGATCCCATTTATGCAATTTTACTTTGGTTACCTGTGCTTGTGGGGTATTACTTTAAAAATCTTTGCCCAGTCCAATATCCTAGAGAGTTTCCCCAATGTTTTCTTGTATAGTTTCATAGTTTGAGGTCATAGATTTACATCTTTAATCCACTTTGATTTGATTTTTGTATATGGTGAAAGACAGGGTCTAGTTTCATTCTTCTGCATAAGGATATCTAGTTTCCCCAGCACCATTTTTGAAGAGACTCTCCTTTGCCAATGTGTGTTCTTGGTACCTTTGTTGGAAATGAGTTTACTGTAGATGTATGGAATTGTTTCTGGGTTCTCTATTCTGTTTCATTGGTCTGTGTGTCTGTTTTTATGCCAGTATCATGCTGTTTTGGTTACTGTAGCTCTGTAGTATAATTTGAAGTCAGATAATGTGATTCCTCTAGTTTTGTTCATTTTGCTCAGGATAGCTTTATCTATTCTGGTTTTTTTGTGGTTCCATATGCATTTTAGGATTATTTTTATTATTTCTGTGAAGAATGTCATTAGTGTTTTGATAGGGATTGCATTGAATCTGTAGATTACTTTGGGTAGTATGGATATTTCAACAAAACTGATTCTTCCAATCCATGAACGTGGACTATCTTTTCCATTTTTTGTGTCCTTCAATTTTTTGCATCAGTGTTTTTTGTTTTTGGTTTTTGAGATGGAGTTTCACTCTTGTTGCCCAGGCTAGAATGCAAGGGTGTGATCTTGGCTCACCGCAACCTCCGCCTCCCAGGTTCAAGCTATTCTTCTGCCTCAGCCTCCCAAGTAGCTGGGATTACAGGCATGTGCCACTGTGCCTGGCTAATTTTCTATTTTTATTAGAGATGGGGTTTCTCTATGTTGGCCAGGCTAGTCTTGAACTCCTGACCTCAGGTGATCCACCTGCCTCGGCCTCCCAAAGTGCTGGGATTACAGGCATGAGCCACCACGCCCAGCCACATCACTGTTTTATAGTTTTTATTGGAGAGGTCTTTCACTTCTTCAGTTAGGTTTATTCCTCAGTATTTTATTTTATTTGTAGCTATTGTAAATGGGATTCGTTTCTTGATTTCTTTTTCAGATTATTTGCTGTTAGCACTGATTTTTGCATGTTGATTTTGTATCCTGCAACTTTACTGAATTTGTTCTTCAGTTCTAATGGTTTTTTGGTGGAGTCTTTAGGTTTTTCCAAATATCAGACCACATGATCTGCAAACAAGGATAATTTGACTTCTTCTTTTCCAGTTTTAATGCCCTTTCTTTCTTTCTCCTGTCTGATTGCTCTAGTTAGGATCTGCAGTACTGTGTTGCATAACTGTGGTAAAATTAGTCATCCTTGTCTTATTCCAGATCTTAGAGAAAAGGCTTTCAGTTTTCCCCCATTCAGTATGTTACTAGCTGTGAGTTTGTCATATATGGCTTTTATTATATTGAGGTCTGTTCCTTGTATACTTAGTTTTTTGAGAGTTTTTATCATGAAGGGATGTTGAATTTATCAAATGCTTTTTCAGTATCAATTGAATGATACTGGCTTTTGTCCTTTATTCTGTTGATATGACGTATTACATTGATTGATTTGTGTATGTTAAATCATCCTTGCATACCTGGAATACATTCCACTTGCTCATAAAGAATGATCTTTTTTAATGTATTGTTGAATGTGGTTTGCTAGTATTTCCTTGACGATTTTTGCATCAGTGTTCATCAGGGATATAGGCCTGTAGTTTTCTTTTTTATGATGTGTCTTTGCCTGGTTTTTGTATCAGGATATTCCTGGCTTTGTAAAATGAGTTTGGAAGTATTCCCTCCTCCTCTATTTTTCAGAACAGTTTGAATAGGACTGACATATGTTGTTCTTTAAAAGTTTAATTGTGGTAAATTATACATTACATAAATTTTACTGTTTTAACCACTTTTAAGTGTATACTCGGTGGCATTAGATACATTCACATTTTTGTGCAACCCAAAACTCTGTGCCCATTAATCGGTAACTCCCCATTCCTCCCTACCTCTGGCCCCTGGTAACCACCATTCTACTTTTTGTTTCTATGAATTTGACCACTCTAGGTACCTCATTTAAGCAGAATCATGTAATGTTTGTCTTTTTGTTTCTGGCTTATTTCACTTATAATATTTTTGAGGTTCGGTGGGCACAGTGGCTCACGCCTGGATTTCCAGCACTTTGGGAGGCTGAAGCAGGTGGATCACCTGAGTTTCGGAGTTCGAAACCAGCCTGGCCAACATGGTGAAACCCCATCTCTACTAAAAATAATAAAAGTTAGCCGGGCGTGATGGCGGGTGCCTGTAATCCCAACTACTTGGGAGGCTGAGGCAGGAGAATCGCTTGAATCCGGGAAGTGGAGGTTGCAGTGAGCTGAGATCAGGCCACTGCACTCCAGCCTGGGCAACAAGAGTGAAATTCCATCTCCAAAAAAAAAAAATAAGACAATAATAATAATAATATTTTTGAGGTTCATCCAAGTTGTAGTATGGGTCAGAATTTCATTCCTTTTAAGGATGGATAATACTCATTATATGTATGTACCACATCTTGGTTATCCATCCCTCAGACAACGGACACTTGGGTTACTTCTACCTTTTGGATATTGGCAAATATTTCATTTCCTTTGGGTATATATTTATTTCCTTTGGGTATTTCTTTTGGGTATATATCCAGAAATAGAAGCAGTACACAGGGGCTTCATTTTCTCTGTCTCTTTGCCAACCTTGCTCTGTGTGTGTGTGTGTGTGTGTGTGTGTGTGTGTGTGTGTGTGTAGGTGTGTGATAACAGCCATCCTGATTGGTTTCAGGTGGCATCTCATTGTGGTTTGGATTTCCATTTTCCTAATGAGTGCTGATATTGAGCATCTTTTCATGTGTTTGTTGATCATTTGTAATTTTCTTTGAAGAATTGGCCATTTAAGTCTTTTGCCCATTTTTTCCCCCACATAGCTTCTCATGGCTACTTTGCCCATTTTTTAGTGGGTTGACTGTTTTTGTTGTTTTTGTCAGACTTTTTTATATATTCTGGAAACTAATCTCTTATCAGATATATGACTTGCAATATTTATTTCATTTCGGGGTTGATTGCTTTTTCACTCTGATTGTGCCCTTTGATGCATAGATGTTTTGAATTTTCATCAGTCTACTTTGTCAGTTCTTTCTATTCTATCTGTGCTTTGGTGTCATATCCATGAAAGCACTGTCAAATCCTATGTCATGAACATTATCCCCAATGTTTGCTTCTAAGAAATTTTTAGGTTTTAGTTCTTGAGTGTAGAGTTTAGGTCTTTGATTCATTTTGAGTTAATTTTTGTATATAGTGCAAATTAAGGGTCCAATTTTATTTTAACACCCCCTGCCCCCAGAACTATTTGCTGAAAAGATCAGCTGACTCTTTGTCACCTGCTCACCCCAGTGGACACTAGCTGTTCCATCCAATTGCTGTCCTGGGGCCTTGTCATGCCACTCTTCCACTTTGAACCCAAGCCCACACCGTTGCTCCCCTCTGGGATACTGACCCCACTATAAACTTCTCTGGGGCTACAACCTTCCTACCCTTTGTGCCTCATGACCACCCCCTCCCTTGTCCCCACCATGCCCATGATGAGTCTCTTCTCGAGGCAGCTCCCCTTGCCTCCATCTCACCCTCACCTGTGCACCACAGCCACACTGGACATGGGTCCCTCTGAGCCTGAGTCCCTTCCCATTCCCACCATCCCCTCTGGCAAGACCTTCCTTCCACCACCTTCATGCTCCTCCCTCGCCCCTGCAGGGCAGCCTCTCCCCTTGGCCCCTATTCCCTTAGGGGGCTTGTGGCCACCCAGTCCTTGCACCTGGCCTACAAGTTTGCCATCTTCATTCCCCCTTCTTCTGTTCATCAGCCCCCTCCTCTATCCTCCCACCCTCACAGTTTTCTTTGTATATGAAATCCTCGTTCTTGTCCCTTTGCCTGTGTGCATTTCCTGCCTCCTCAGGAAGGTTGGGACAGCAGACCTGTGTGTTAAACATCAATGTGAAGTTATTTCCAGGAAGAAGTTTCACCTGTGATTTCCTCTTCCCCAGAGCCCCACAGTCTTCGTTATAACCTCACGGTGCTGTCCTGGGATGGATCTGTGCAGTCAGGGTTTCTCACTGAGGTACATCTGGATGGTCAGCCCTTCCTGCGCTGTGACAGGCAGAAATGCAGGGCAAAGCCCCAGGGACAGTGGGCAGAAGATGTCCTGGGAAATAAGACATGGGACAGAGAGACCAGAGACTTGACAGGGAACGGAAAGGACCTCAGGATGACCCTGGCTCATATCAAGGACCAGAAAGAAGGTGAGAGTCGGCAGGGGCAAGAGTGACTGGAGAGGCCTTTTCCAGAAAAGTTAGGGGCAGAGAGCAGGGACCTGTCTCTTCCCACTGGATCTGGCTCAGGCTGGGGGTGAGGAATGGGGGTCAGTGGAACTCAGCAGGGTGGTGAGCCGGCACTCAGCCCACACAGGGAGGCATGGAGGAGGGCCAGGGAGGCGTACCCCCTGGGCTGAGTTCCTCACTTGGGTGGAAAGGTGATGGGTTCGGGAATGGAGAAGTCACTGCTGGGTGGGGGCAGGCTTGCATTCCCTCCAGGAGATTAGGGTCTGTGAGATCCATGAAGACAACAGCACCAGGAGCTCCCAGCATTTCTACTACGATGGGGAGCTCTTCCTCTCCCAAAACCTGGAGACTAAGGAATGGACAATGCCCCAGTCCTCCAGAGCTCAGACCTTGGCCATGAACGTCAGGAATTTCTTGAAGGAAGATGCCATGAAGACCAAGACACACTATCACGCTATGCATGCAGACTGCCTGCAGGAACTACGGCGATATCTAAAATCCGGCGTAGTCCTGAGGAGAACAGGTACCGACGCTGGCCAGGGGCTCTCCTCTCCCTCCAATTCTGCTAGAGTTGCCTCACCTCCCAGATGTGTCCAGGGAAACCCTCCCTGTGCTATGGATGAAGGCATTTCCTGTTGGCACATCGTGTCCTGATTTTCCTCTATTGTTAGAGCCACTGGATAAAGACAGTGGGTCAGGGACTGGACCATCCAGTGTTGTAATCAGGGCAAGTAGAGGACCCTCCGACAGAATCCTGAGCCTGGGGTGGGTGTCAGGCAGGAGAGGAAGGCTTCAGGGCCAGGGCTGCCCACTCTGCCTCCCAGCCTGCCCATCCTGGAGAGTTCCCTCCTGGCCCCACAACCCAGGAGTCCACCCCTGACATCCCCCTCCTCAGCATCAATGTGGGGATCCCAGAGCCTGAGGCCACAGTCCCATGGCCCATCCTCCTGCCAGCCTGGAAGAACTGGGCCCCAGAGTGAGGACAGACTTGCAGGTCAGGGGTCCCAGAGGGCTTCAGCCAGAGTGAGAACAGTGAAGAGAAACAGCCCTGTTCCTCTCCCCTCCTTAGAGGGGAGCAGGGCTTCACTGGCTCTGCCCTTTCTTCTCCAGTGCCCCCCATGGTGAATGTCACCCGCAGCGAGGCCTCAGAGGGCAACATTACCGTGACATGCAGGGCTTCTGGCTTCTATCCCTGGAATATCACACTGAGCTGGCGTCAGGATGGGGTATCTTTGAGCCACGACACCCAGCAGTGGGGGGATGTCCTGCCTGATGGGAATGGAACCTACCAGACCTGGGTGGCCACCAGGATTTGCCAAGGAGAGGAGCAGAGGTTCACCTGCTACATGGAACACAGCGGGAATCACAGCACTCACCCTGTGCCCTCTGGTGAGCCTAGGGTGACCCTGGAGAGGGTCAGGCCAGGGTAGGGACAGCAGGGATGGCTGTGGCTCTCTGCCCAGTGTATAACAAGTCCCTTTTTTTTCAGGGAAAGTGCTGGTGCTTCAGAGTCATTGGCAGACATTCCATGTTTCTGCTGTTGCTGCTGCTGCTATTTTTGTTATTATTATTTTCTATGTCCGTTGTTGTAAGAAGAAAACATCAGCTGCAGAGGGTCCAGGTGAGAAAAGCGGGCAGTTTCTGGAGATGGTAAGGCCCCTGTCTGGGCAGTAGGGTCCCCTCATTGCTCCTGCAAAGATAGGCATGTTGGTGACAAGGCTTCTGTAACAGGGGATGAAAGTTGGGGAATTTGGGACGGGAATGGGGGCAGCATCTCCATCTACACCCATAAGTGCTGCCCAAGCGAGGGTCAAACGCCCAGCTGTGGCATCTTCCTGCTGCAGGTGAGGAGTGGGCAGCAGGGAGGGCTGCGGCGCCTGCTCTGTCCCCATCCCGGTCTCTGTGTCTCTTGGACTCACTAGGGCGCATCCAGGTGGGGTGAGCTGGGAATCACGTGCTGAATGCTGAGGACCTGGATGATCACGGCCTCAGAGGGAGCAAATAGTAAAGGCAGCTGTGATCTGGGGAGGGCCAGAAACTGGAGAGGAATCTGAGGAGAGGCGGTGCCCCTATTCCCTTCCTCTCTGCATCCCTCTCCCCTGTTTCTCCAGCCATCGGGGCGGACACCGAGAAAAAGACCTATGAGGCCCAGCCTGGAGGCCCTGCCTGTGTAGCCCTTTGGAGACCCCTTGTAACAGGGAGGGTCCTGAGCACACATGGCCATCTCTGTCCACTTTTCAGCTCCCCATGCACCTCCTCCAGGAGCTTTCTTGGGGTTGTCGTGTCCTCTGCACCATTCGAGGCCCTACTCTTTCCAGGTTCCCACAGCCTGGCCTCCCTGAGTTTCTTGCAGATGAGATGGATGAGTAGATAAGCAGATGTCCCTGGGCCATTTGAGGAGTGGGGCCCAGCCCCTCATCAGGGCAGCTGTGGTCCCTGTTTTCATCCTACCTCCGAGTGTTTTCTTCTCCAGTCCCTGAGGGACACAGTCCTCAGGGCCCATGTTTTTGGGGCTTTAATCTGTGCTCTGTGGCCTCACCTTGCCCTCCCTGAGCCAATTTCCCTTTCTAAAGGTGGTCACTGCCTGGTAAGTTTGGAGTAAGGGACGGTCAGAATCATTTCCCCTACAGTCAGGTTGTTTGATGGGGGATGAAAAGAGACAGCAGGAAGTTTTGTGTTTCTGCAAAGACAGAAGCAGTTCAGGGGACAGTAAGAGGCTGGGGTGTCCAGGAGGGTGTGTCTGGCAGTAGGGTCGCTGGTTTCTCATCCTTGAACCTAATTGCACTGTCAGTCGGCCCCTCAGGCCTGAGCAGATGGGAAGGTTTGTCCCCTGCCCTGCAGTAAGAGGGCCCTGTCCAGGAGGCACCCACAACAGGGGCAGTGCAGGTCTGTGGTCGCTCCTGCTCTCACCTGTGGTGTCTCCCGTAGAGGGATTATCAGTTCTGGTTCCCTGTGGGCAGGAATGGTTTCCTCATAGGTCACTGGAGTTTTGGCCAGGAAAAGAGTATGAAGTTCATGTGCCAGTTTCTCAAAATTCCTGCTTTCAATGTTGATGTCAAGCAAAGATATTCGTAATTTCAGCTCTATAATCTTAATAGGATTTCCTCTAATATTGTAAAGCATCTTATATGAAACAGGAACACAAATTTCTCAAAATTCCTGCGATGTCCAATAAAGATTTTCATAATTTCGGCTCTCCAATCTTAATAGGATTTCCTAATACTGTAAAGCATATTAAATGAAACAGGAACTCAAATTTGGAGCCCCCTCTCCAGGAGGTTCTGTGTGGAGATGGTGGCTGTGGCAGTGGCAGTTCCCAGGTGCAGAGGGTGGGCAGAGGCAGCCTCAGGCTAAGGGGTCTCCCCTACTCCACATGGAGAAAATCCCTTGTAGGTTGCAAGGGCAGTGGCCGGGTGGAATCCCTGCTAGGGACAGAGCAGGAAGGCCTCGCAGCCTCACCAAGCAGCAGCCCTGGGGTGGAGCTGCGTTTCCAGGGTTAAGCGGACCAGGCAGGAGCAGTGGTTACTCAACACCAGGTCACAGGCTTGGGTTGTGAGGGTCAGGAGAGGCCAGGCCTCCTCGAGCAAGGTGGGGGTCCCAGGGTCAGGTCAGGTGCAGATCCTGTGGCAGCCACGTCTTTCCATGCTGGGCCTGCTGGGCCCCCCAGGCTTTCTGATGGGGTCCCCAGTTAGGAGCTGCCTGCTCAGGGCTGGGAGGGGAGGAGCGCTGAGCTGCAGATAGAGGGCAGAGCCCACAGTGGGCAGGGCCTGCCCTGGTGTGTAGGTGCCTCTGCAGGAGAGGAGGGCCTGGGGACTGAGAGCAAGGGTCAGGGCCTCTCTTTGAGGAGGCCTCTCACTGTAACAGGACTGGTCAGGCCTGAGAGGAGGTCACTGGGTTCCCTCTTGGGTCTTGTCCTTTAGTCTTGGGGCCCTTTCCCTCCCTGCACGATGAGTGGTGGGCACAGGGCAGGGGCTGATGTTGATGGAGTGATGGGAGGGAACTGGTAGGGGCTGGGAAAAGCAAGGAGGGAGGAAGAAAAAAGTGGGGGCCTCATCTTCCCTCAGAGAAAGGGCGAATCTGGTTTTGGAGCAACTGAAGAGAGAAAAGTCCCCAGGGAATAAACACAACACTGCACCCAGTGGAGCATTTACCCGTTTCCCTCTTTTCTCCAGAGCTCGTGAGCCTGCAGGTCCTGGATCAACACCCAGTTGGGACGAGTGACCACAGGGATGCCACACAGCTCGGATTTCAGCCTCTGATGTCAGATCTTGGGTCCACTGGCTCCACTGAGGGCGCCTAGACTCTACAGCCAGGCAGCTGGGATTCAATTCCCTGCCTGGATCTCACGAGCACTTTCCCTCTTGGTGCCTCAGTTTCCTGACCTATGAAACAGAGAAAATAAAAGCACTTATTTATTGTTGTTGGAGGCTGCAAAATGTTAGTAGATATGAGGCGTTTGCAGCTGTACCATATTAATTGGTGTCACTGTTTCTGTTGTTTTCGTATTATTATTATTTTTTTTAAGACAGAGTCTCAGGCCAGGCACGGTGGCTCACGCCTGTAATCCCAGCACTTTGGGAGGCCGAGGCGGGCGGATCACAAGGTCAAGAGATCGAGACCATCCTGATCAACATGGTGAAACCCTGTCTCTACTAAAAATACAAAAAATTAGCTGGGCCTGGTGGCATGTGCCTGTAGTCCCAGCTACTCAGGAGCTGAGGCAGGAAAATCACTTGAACCTGGGAGGTGGAGGTTGCAGTGAGCTGAGATCGCGCCACTGCACTCCAGCCTGGCGACAGAGCGAGACTCTGTCTCAAAAAAAAAAAAAAAAAAAAAAGACAGAGTCTCACTCTGTCACCCAGGCTGCAGTTCAGTGACATGATCTCAGCTCGTTGCAGCCTCCGCCTCCCGGGTTCAAGCACTTCTTGTGCCTCAGCCTCCCGAGTAGCTGGGGTTACAGACATGCACCACCATACCCAGCTAATTTTTGCATTTTTCATAGAGACAGGATTTTGCCATGTTGGCCAGGCTGGTCTCAAACTCCTGACCTCAGGTGATCTGCCTGCCTCAGCCTCCCAAAGTGCTGGGATTACAAGCATGAGCCACCATACCCGGCCTATTTTATTACATTTTACTATATTTTATTTTATTATATCATCCACCATGTCTGGCCTATTTTATTATATTTTAAGATATTTTAATATATTACATGTGTTGTAATTGGATTATCATCGGTGAGCTTTGTGAGTGAGTGTCTTGGAGATGACTCCTCCTGACCAGCCCAGGACCAGCTTTCTTGTCACCTTGAGGTCCCCTCGCCCCATCACACTCTTACGCATTACTCTATGTCTACTGTTATGGGTGCATAATTTTATACCATAGATGTTTACTCTTTAAACAGACACTTCTAGTCTGTTTTATTTCATGTGTCTGGGAGCGGATAAAGTGTGAGGTTCAGGGAGAAAGAGAGGTCTGTCTCAATGCCTTGGCACGGCATGAAGACAATCTCCCCTCCTTGTCCCCTTTCCCTGCTAGCTCCTGATGACTGACAGATTCACAGCAGAACAGAAAGGACTGGGAAGGGATGGAGGTGGGACATCTGGCACTGACCTTCAGGGGCTGACCCTGTGGGGGAACATCTGCCCTGAAGAGTTGGAGCCTTCATGTGATGACACAGAGCTGAAGTGTGATATTCGGGAGGGGATAGAGAGTGCTTCGAGGTTTTCTGATTTTGAAGAATCCCAGTCAGTCAGGTTCTGGCGTAAAGTGACTGCTGGGGAGGTGTGGACTGAATGAATGAAGAATAAATGAACCAGGAAAGTGGACATGCAAGAGGTGGGTTATTCCTCACCCTATTTCTTGATGCCTCCTGACTGCTGGTGTTGGGGCACACAGATGGGTGATGCACTTCTTGGTCAAGGCAACCTCAGCCCCACCCACGTAAGGTGGTCATGGCAGAGAGTGTAAGGGTGACACCTGTGAAAAAGACCCAAGGCAGGGATGGGAGCCCTTCTTGCAGCAGGAGTGGATGCAGGACCTGCCTGGAAGCAAGAGAAGGACGAGGGACCCTGGCTGGGCCCTGTTTCCTCCCACTGCCTGGTTCACAAAGCAACCAGTAAGGGAGCTGGAGTAGGGAATTCACTCATGTGCTACTTACTGATCCAGAGATGTGTTCGTCGACATTTTCTTTTATGTTTTCAGGTTGATGTCATTTACACATTCATGCATTTATGTTGTGTATTTATTAGTCTTGTTTATTTTAGTTAGCAAGTGTGACTTGTTGAATTCTGTTCTCATTAGGTATAAATTTTCATATTCATTGAAGTTTTTATAATCAAAATTTAATTGTCCATGATTTTAAAAGTCAAATATTTGCATAGGATTTCTCTAGAGAAATGAGTCCTCTCTGCATCTTCTCAATTTCTGCCTTCCTAGAGGCAACCATTTTCAACATTTTTAGCTAAGTCTTTCAACTTTTACTTCCATATGTCTAAATACAATTCCTTCATTAATACTGCTTGATTTTTCCGTTGCAGTCATTATCTGTTGCACAGCACAGTGGTGAATGCAATAGTTAATTGTACCTGTTCCCTTTCACTCTTCCCATTCTTTCATCTTCCCGATGTATTTCTGTAGTAATTATGTTTGGTTCAGTCGTTCCTTGTTTCCTTTTCCATGACTAATTTTCTCATATGTCAGCTTGACCACTTTTCACTTCCTGAACATTTGTTCTTCCTGTAGTTAATACTTGCCTTTGTTTTTGTTTATTTTATAAATAGCACTCATTAACGTTGATATTTCTTCTATTTGTATTACTCCTTTTTTTGGGATGGAGTCTCACTCTGTTGTCCAGGCTGGAGTGCAGTGGTGCGATCTTGGCTCACCACAACCTCCACCTCCCAGGTTCAAGCGATTCTCCTGCCTCAGCTTCCCGAGTAGCTGGGATTACAGGCACTCACCACCATGCCCAGCTAATTTTTGTATTTTTAGTAGAGACGGCGTTTCACCATGTTGGCCACAATGATGTCGATCTCTTGACCTCGTGATCCACCCACCTCAGCCTCTGAAAGTGCTGGGATTACAGGCTTGAGACATCGCACCTGGCCTTTTTTTTTTTTTGAGATGGAGTCTCGCTCTTGTTGCCCAGGCTGGAATGCAATGGCACAATCTTGGCTCACCACAACCTCCACCTCCCAGGTTCAAGGGATTCTCCTGCCTCAGCCTCCCGAATAGCTGGGATTACAGGCATGCACCACCACACCCGGCTAATTTTGTATTTTTAGTAGAGACAGTTTCTCCGTATTGGTCAGGCTGGTCTTGAACTCCTGACCTCAGGTGATTCACCCGCCTCGGCTTCCCAAAGTGCTGGGATTACAGAGGTAAGCCACTGCACCCAGCCGTATTACTCTTTTAAGAAATTACAGACTTTGGATATTCCACTTTACCTTCTTGGAAATGTCCCTCCTGGGCCCTTCTCTCTGCTCCCATCTGGACTGGAGGCTTCTCCCTGTGGAGCAGAGTCACTGTCCTAGGATCTCCCTCCACCGCCATCTGGGGCAGTGCTTTACATGCAGTGGAGCCACCTGGGGTCCAGCCAAAATGCAGACTGATTCAAGATGTCAAGGCTGAGGCATATGAGCCTTTCTGTCTAGTTTCATGAGATGCTGATTCTCCTGGTTCGTGTGTGTGTGTGTGTAGAGAGAGAGAGAGAGAAAGGGAATTTTGCTCTGTCAGCCAGGCTGGAGTGCAGTGGTGCCATCATGGCTTACTACAGGCTCAACCTCATAGGCTCAAGTGACCCTCCTACCTCATCTTCCTAGGTAGTCAGGACCACAGGCCACATCCTAATATATTTTTAATTAACTGATGCAGTTTCTTTCTAAATTAGTAAGAGGGCTGAGCATTTTTTCATTGTGGCAAAAAATACACATAAAATTTACTATCATAACTATTTTTAAGAATACAGTACCATTGGCCAGGTGTGGTGGCTCATGCCTGTAATCCCAGCAATTTGGGAGGCTAAGGCAGGAGGATCACTGGAGGCCTACAGTTCAAGTCAGGCTTGGGGAAAGTAGTGAGACCCTGTCTCCAGCCAAAAAAAAAAAAATTAAATTAAAATATACTGTACTATAATAGTGTTAATTGTAAGCACAGTGTAGTGCAACCGATCTTTAGAATATTTCACCTTGAAAGCTGAAACTCTGTGCCCCTTTCACAAAAATCCTTATTACCTGGAAGTTTTACCTGGCAGCCACCATTCTACCTTCACATTCATCAAGTTTGACTGTTTTAGACACCTCATGTAAATGGAATTATGCAGTACTTGGAGTTTTTTTTTTTTTTTGATTGGCATATTTCACTTAGCAATGACTTTAAGGTTCATATACGTTGTAGCATATAGCAAGATTTTCTTCTTTTAAATGTTGAATAATATTCCATTGTCTGTATATAATCATATTTTCTTGATCTATTCATCTGTTGGTAAACATATAGGTTGCTTCCATATCTTGCCTGTTGTGAATAACACCATTATGAATATGGATATGCAATCTTTCTTTTCACTTTTGTATCCCCCCTCATTTTGGTGCAACTAATCTTCTAGTAGCTTTTCCTGAAAGCACGTGCTTAAAGTACATTTGTGTGTTTCAACATATCTACTATCATTTTGCCTCTCTCCAGGAAGAGGAAAGAAATGTATTAAGGTGCTCTTTGGCACAGCATTTAATGGTAAAGAAAGAAACAGTATAACTGGCC